>NC_000007.14:68264354-68567385 GCF_000001405.40 Homo sapiens
GGGTTATCAGAGGTTTTTACAAAGCATGTAATGTGTGTTTAGCTACTTCTGAAAGATTGTAATCCAAGGATAATTAAGATAGCGACCTGCCTTTTGCAGTTTATAGTCTAGTGAAGACACACCAACCGATCTTTAAAATCCACAGCAGTAAGTTTAAGAAGAAAGGTGTGTGCATGGGGTAACATTTGGCCACTCAGAAGCTAAAAATGTTGGAGTAAGGTGGGAAGGAGTTAGCCAGGAGGAAAAAGAGAAAGATAGTTTCAGTTGAAAGAGAAACTGGATGATGCATGCTGCTATGTGATGTTTTGCATAAGTTCAAAGTGCTGGGTGGTGCTATGAGAGGCTGGAAGCCAGGTAGGGCTCCCATCACGGGGTATTTCTGAGTCCAGATAATGAGCAGAACTGTGTCCTATTGGTGATGGGAGTCATCAGAAAGTTTTTGACAAGTGGACCTTGCCAAGTGCTGCTTCTTTGAAAGATCCCTTGGGGCTGGAGGATGGTTTGAAGAAGACAGAACGGAGGCAGAGAGATCCTGTCAATGAGAAGATTTTTTGCTGTTGCCTGGGTGATAGAGAGGAGGTGACGGCTGGACCAGGGCAGTGGAAAATATATGGAAAACAGGCAAACAGGTTAAATAGATACTTTGGAGGCAAAAAAAATCAGCAAAACCTGATACAGAGTACACACTCAATGATTATCTTTAATTAAATTGATGGGATTAGAGGAATAGAGTGGAGATAATATCCTTCTCCTAGGGTGGTAGCATGACAGTTAATGGTCAGATGCTAAGCAAACACTCAATAAATACATGCTATGGCCATAATTGTTAACAGACACAAGCTATGGCCATAATTGTTATCAGAGTGGCAGGCTATCCAGGGAGATCTTTTCAAGGCAGTAAAGAAGCTCAGGAGACGTTCCTGGACTCAGGAGCTTTGGGACTGAGGAATGATGGGTAGGCTGGTAGACTAGGATCTGGGCATTATTCCAGGTTCAGGGAAAGAGAGTCAATAATTATGGACGTCACAACATGCCCTGTAAACTATTATTGATCCCAATTCCCTGCACTCAATATGTCAGTTTCCACTCACTGTCAGCAGTTTCTACTCACTGTCAGCAGTTTCTACTCATTGAACAACATCCACGTTTGAAGCTGTAAGGGAATGGATTTGGGGTGATCCCCTGAGGAAATGTCCACTAGCATTGCCCTTTTATGTCACCAGGAGGTCTCTCACAATAGCTCCAGGCTATCTTCACCCTCACCTCCTCTTGGCCTTCAGAAAAGAAACCAATCCACACCATGGGATCACTGAAGGGGCCCATGGCAACCTTTGCATTTCTGTGTTTGCCCCAAACATCACTGGACCTTGAAACTATTAAATATAGTGAACCCCAAGTTTCTCTTCAAAGAATCAGTATGTCAGTATGTTCAGCTCTCTTATTCTTTGACTCTCTATTTTAAAGTGTAACTTCCTGATTCTCTTTGCCTCCTTGCTTCTAGTTTCATTAAACAACTTTTTCCACCAGTTATAATCAGTAGTTCACATCTGTTCCAGGGTCGCCTGCTCCATCCTGACTCATCTTGGCCACCTTCTTTGACCTGAGTCACCCCTGGTCACCTGCTCTGACCTAAGTCACCTGTTCCTAACCGTCCTTCCCACCAAACTACTCACTCCGCCACTCTGGCTCATACTTCTGCTCTCTTTAAAATAGCCAGTTGGAATTAGCTTAGACTGTGAGGTCCAACCCTAACCAATAGGGGAATGACACAGCAGTAGGGGCTACCTGCATCAGCAATAAGAACTCCTTCCCCTCCGCTGTTCAGGTGTGCTCTCGCCATTGTTCCATCTGTGAGGAGCACCCTTTCTGCAGAAAGTAAAAATTGCCTTGCTGAGAAAATTAAATTTATGTTCAAGTGCTATTTCTTTGTGGCACTGAGGAACAAGCATTTCTAACAAAGCCATGATATGTTCTGTTAGGGAGTTGAGGATAAGGGTAAGCCATATTATACCATAGTCGCCTAACTTTAGGAATACCGCTGCAAGTACTATTGATCCATTGATAGGGGCTTCTACGTGGGCTTTGGGGAGTTATAGGTGATGTCTGTATAGGGGTATTTTTACTCTAAAAGCCACAATGCATGCTAATCGTATAAGGTTATTGGATCAGGAGGCTAATAGCTCTTGGGTGGTAAGTATTATTACTAGCGCATTTAATGAACCTGAGTCATAAGTGAAGTCTGTATAGGGGTATTTTTACTCTAAAAGCTATAATACATGATAGTCATATAAGATTATTGGATCAGGAGGCTAATAGCTCTTGAGTGGTAAGTATTATTACTAGCACATTTAGTGAACCTGAGGTATTTTGAGTATAAACAAGTGTAACAAGTAGAGGAAGGGACCCTACTAGCGTATAAAATAAGAAATATTAGTTTGCATTGAGGTGTTCTGGTTGGTTACCTCAGCGGATGATGGTAGTTAGGGTAGGAATTAGTGTAGCTTCAAGCTTTGCTGGACTTTAGGCATCTGCTTTAGCTGAATTCATTTGATTTTGGTGACTCTTCATCTGATGTTTCTGCCACATCTGATCGTTGCCTTCAACACAAGCAAGACTCTGTTCACCTTTGCTGAACAATCTAGACAAAGAGTTGGCTCCTTCCCTGTGCATGGGGCAGGGAAGGAGCCACATGGGGCATGTGTCTTAGGAAAACAGCCACCCATTGCTGACACTGTGCCTAAGTCTCTGAATCCTTTTGTCTTCTGTGGACTATCAGATGCTGAAAAGTCCCATTTCGTTTTGGGTTGAAATCTAGTCTTCTCTTTGGCTAGCATTTCATCAGCTCCAGGCCTGGGAGGAGCAGTCTGATGTCTGGATGGTCTTTGCAGGCATCAGGTGGCCATTCCTGACCACAGTCCTCAGCTCCTACCCACCCTGGCATTTTCCTTATCTCACTCTACTGATAGCGCCTTGTGGGAATGCTCAATAATGAACCTGGGCAACTCCCTTCCAATAGCAAACTAAAGCTGATGCTTTCTCATCTCATTCTTCTTCTTATTATTTTTTAAAAGAAATGAAGAACATTGTCACATCAATAAAAGAGAAAAAAACACCTTATCTCAAAATAAAGAACAGTAATCATAAAGAAAAAATATTTGGCAATGTTTCACCACTGGGTACGTTGTAATATCCATATTTTTCTTTTACATTTTCTCCTGAGTAGTGAAAACTCCATTACAGATGCTGAATGCTCAGAATTGCTGTTCTTGATTCTCTAGGGAAATCCTCTTGCTGAAAGCTCCAGGCAGCTTGTGGAATACAGTCAGGGTTGGGTGAGTGGGTGTGGGAGGGGGTGGGGAACTCACAGAATCACAAGGACGTTTTAGAAGTAGAAGTAAGTTGAGTATTAGCCACAGCTCCACTCCTATTTAATAGACAGAGAGACTAAATCCAATGATGTTGCAATAAAGTATCCAAGGTCACTATTTTTTTTTCTTTTTTTGAGACAGGGTCTTGCTCTGTCACTCAGGCTGGAGTGCAGTGGCACCATCTCAGCTCACTGCAACCTCTGCCTCTCCGGTTCAAGCGATTCTCCTGCCTCAGCCTCCTGAGTAGCTGGGATTACAGGCACCCACCACCATGCCTGGCTAATTTTTGTATTTTTAGTAGAGACGGGGTTTCACCATGTTGGCCAGGCTGGTCTCAAACTCGTGACCCAAGTTGATCCACCTGCCTCGGCCTCCCAAAGTGCTGAAATTACAGGCCTGAGCCACTGCATTTGGCCCTTAAACACTTATGAACAAACTAGCTTGAGAATAGGTCTCACCTTGATGCCCATAGTTTCAGGAGTGCAAGTGATTGTGAGTACATGGCCCAACCACTGCATTGCGAGTGACTCTCCCTCTCCCAACCAAAGACCACATGAGAATATGGGCCTCATGGTCTGAGCTAGACAAAGCCACTAAGCCCTCTGAAGCCTCATGCACTGAGAGACAGCCCTCAGGGTGAGGTCTCTGTGTTCCGGGTGAAGCCAGCTCCATCCTTCATGCCTCAGCTCATTCATTGATCAGAAAGATGGTGACATCTCATCACCCAACTCAGGACCCTTCATTTGCTGTTTATCTGGCATAGCTTTCATTTCTGGATAGAGAGAAAGAGCTATCTTAGGTACAGTGAATTAAATTCCTGTCTATCTGAGAGCAAAGTACAAAAGAGCCTGGCAGAACCCAGTCACTTCTGCCTCCAGCTCTGGGATCCCCTAGACACTCTGGTCAGCACTATCATGATCACTGTGAGGTGAACTTGCAGTGGCATTTTCCTTACAGCCCCTCTGAGGTCTTCTCTCAGGCAGCAAGAATGTCAGTAGACTATGGACCTACCTTTTCTTTTTCTTTCTTTCTTTCTTTCTCTCTCTCTCTTTCTTTCTTTCTTTCTTTCTTTCTTTCTTTCTTTCTTTCTTTATTTCTTTCTTTCTTCTTCTTTCTTTTTCTTTCTCTCTTCTTTCTTTCTCTCTCTTTCTTTCTCTATCTCTCTCCCTCCCCTCCCTCCCTCTCTCCTTCCTTTCTTTCTTTCTTTTCCTTCTTTCTTTCTTTCTTTCTTTCTTTCTTTCTTTCTCTCTCTCTCTCTCTCCCTCCCTCCCTCTTTCCTTCTTTCCTTTCTTTCTCTCTTTCTCTCTCCCTCCCTCCCTCCTTCCCTACTTCCTTTCTTCTTTCCTTCCCTCCTTTCTTTCTTCTCTCTCTCTTTCTTTCTTCCACTTTTGAGAAATAGGATCTCAGGGTGGTGTGCAGTGCTGTGATCATAGCTCACTGAATCCTCAAACTCCTGCACTCAACAGATCTTCCTGCCTCAGTCTCCTGAGTAGATGAAACTACAGGTGCATGCCACCACGCCTGGCTAAATTGTTATAATGTTTTTAGAGATGAGATCTTGCTATGTTGCCCAGGCTGGTCTCAAATTCCTGGCCTCAAGTGATCATCTCATCTTGGCTTTCCAAAAGACTATGGACTTTTTAAAAGACAAAACCTTGGAGGGAACTGATCCTCAGGGATGAATGTAACACTTCCTTTCACCTAGTCCTGGCTAAGGCACAGTTTTGGCTCATCCCTCACCCTAAGTTCCTAAAGTCTTTAAACCAAGTCTGACCATACTAAGCAGACCCAGGTTGCTGCAAAAGAACAGCTCACAGTTATTTTCCAAGAGCCTCCTCTCATCCATGAGTCTGCATTGGTCTGACTCATGCATTTGAGGCAGATTGTGGACCCTGGCCAGGAACTCACAGAAGCAAATTCTCCCTCCACCACTGCCCACTTGCTGTCTGACTCTGAGCTCGTGACTTAAATGTTTACCCAGTGTTCTCATGTATGAAATGAGGTAGAGGGACTAGGCTTGTGTGTGTGGTGTGTGTGTGTGTGTGTTGCTAGGGGTTTTTTTTCTGGCTTAAAAAATAAGTGTATTCACTTCTTCTCATGCTGCTAATAAAGACATACCCAAGACTGGGTAATTATAAAGGAAAGAGGTTTAATTGACTCACTGTTCCACATGGCTGGGGAGGCCTCACAATCATGGCAGAAGGCAGGGAGAAGCAAAGCCACATCTTACACGGAGACAGGCAAGTGGGTGTGTGCATGGGAACTCCCCCTTATAAAACCATCAGATCTCGTGAGACTTATTCACTATCATGAGAACAGCATGGGAAAGACCCACCTTCATGATTCAGTTACCTGCCACCAGGTCTCTCCCACAACACGTGGGAATTATGGGAGCTACAATTCAAGATGAGATTGAGGTGGGGACACAGTCAAACCATATCAACAAAATTGCAAATATGGGGAAAAGAATTCCTGTATCCCCTTGGTTTAGATGCCCCAAATGCTTTGGCTTTCATAACCACAGAAAAATTATCAAAATTCAGGATATGAACATCGATACCACACTATTGTCTAATCTATAGACCTTATGCAAATTTTTTTCCAATTGTTCCATGGATATTCTTTTTCTGATCCAGGATCCAACCCAAGACTGCACATTCCACTTGGTCGTCAAGTCTATTCAGTCTCCTTTCATCTTTTAGTCTCTTTTATTTTATTATTGTGTTACTATTGCTATTATTATTTATCATCTTTTCAATGTTATTATTATTCTCCTGAAATCTTTAGTTTTCATGTCAAATAATTTAGATTGATAGTGTGAAAATGAACATGTTACCTTAACTTGTTAAATCCCAGCTAAGCTCATTGGTCTTAAACATAAGTATCTTTCACCCAAAGAAAAGGGAGGTAGCCAACTGGGTGCAGTGGTTCACACCTAGAGTCCTGGTTACTTGGGAGGCTGAGGCAGAAGGATTCCTTGAGCCAAGGAGTTTGAAGCTGCAGTGAGCTATGATTATGCCACTGCACTCCAGCTTAAGTCACAGAACAAGACCTCAACTCCAAAAAATAAATGGGTGCTAGAGAGGGGTTGCACCCTGCAAGGGGGTGGGAAGGAAGTAACCAGGAGGAGAAGAGGGTGCTGACATCCAGCCTGATTTCTGCTCACCACATTCACCCCCTGGCTCTAGGCTGGATCTGACCCCAAGGGTGCCTGTAATCCCAGCACTTTGGGAGGCTGAGGCAGGTAGGTCACTTGAGGTCAGGAGTTTGAGACCAGCCTGTACAATATGGCAAAACCCCGCCTCTATTAAAAATACAAAAATTAGCCTGGCATGATGGTGCATGCCTGTAATCCCAGCTACTCGGGAGGCTGAGGCAGGAGAATTGCTTGAGCTCAGGAGGTGGAGGTTGCAGTGAACCAGGATTGCACCACTGCACTCCAGCCTGGACGACAAGGAGATACTCTGTCTCAAAAAACAAAAATGAGAACACATTGCTGTAATTATATACTATCATGCTTTTTATCTTTCTATTAAATCATGGATATTTTGATGTTATGACATTAATTAATGTGTTCCATCAATTTTACAATATTTTTTTCAATTTTAATAACTGTATAATGTCACATCAAGTGACTAGACTCTGGGTTTTGTAACTTTTGCATCATAATGGAACATCCATGTGGTCTTCAGCTTTTGCCATTATAAAATACACGCTGCCCCTTATTTAGAACTATTCTCTTAAGATAGAGTCCCATAAATACTATTACGTGGTGAAAGACCACTGAGCCATAAAGCTGGTGTGCACAGCAATACTCCATCATCAAATGGAAGTGGTGTATAAGTGATTGAGCACAAGTGGGCCCTGTAGGCATAAGTGAGTTACATAAAGAAGTGGCCCAGGCTGGGCACGGTGGCTCACGCCTGTAATCCCAACATTTTGGGAGGCCGAGATGGGTGGATCACCTGAGGTCAGGAGTTGGAGACCAGCCTGGCCAACATGGTGAAACCCTGTCTCTGCTAAAAATACAAAAACTAGCCGGGCGTGGTGGTGGGTGCCTGTAATCCCAGCTAGTCGGGAGGCTGACGCTTGAACGCAGGAGTTAGAGGTTGCAGTGAGCCGAGATCAGGCCATTGCACTCCAGCCTGGGCGACAAGAGTGAAACTCCATCTTAAAAATAAATAAATAAATAAATAAATAAATAAATAAATAAATAAAAAGAAGTAGCCCAAATACCCATGGTTCTTACTCCTCCTCCAATGCCTTCTCTCTCCCAGTCTGCAACTATGACCTTATGGAGAGTTCTTTGTGATCAGCTGACAAAGGAAGAGAAGACTCAGGCCTGGTTTACAGATGGTTCTGCATAATTTGCAGGCACCACTTGAGAGTGGACGGCCCCTGCACTACAGCCCCTCTCCGGAACATCACTGAAGGACAATGGTGAAGGGAAATTGTCCAACGGGTAGAACTTCACACAGTGCACCAGGTTGCGTATTTTGCTTGAAAGGGGCAATGGTCAAACATGTGATTATGTACCAATTCATGGGCTATAGCCAATGGTTTGGCTGGATGGTCAGGGGCTTAGAAGAAACATGGTTGTAAAATTGGTGACAGAGAAATATGGGGAAGAGGTGAATAGATTGACCTCTCTGAATAGCCAAAAAAAAAAAAAAAAAAAAAAACATGTCCCATGTGATTGCTCACTGAAGGGTGACCTCAATAAAGGAGCATTTTAATAATTAAGTGGATAGAATGACCCATCCTGTAGATACCAGTGAGCCTCTTTCTCCAGACAACCCTGTCATCATCACACAGTGGTCTCATGAACAAAGTGGCCATGATGGCAGGGATAGAGGTTCTGTGTGGGCTCAGAAACATGGACTTCCACTCACAAAGGCCAACTTGCCTACAGCCACTGCTGAGAGTCCAATCTGCCAGCAGCACAAACCATTACTGAGCTGCTGTTATGACGTCATTCCCTGGGGTGATCAGCCAGCTACCTGGTTGCAGGTTGATTACATTGCACCTCTTCCATCATGAAAGGGGCAGCAATTTGTCCATACTGGAATGGACACTTAACTCTGGATATGGATTTTCCTTCCCTGCAAAGAAAACTTCTGCCAGGATTATCATCTGAGAACTTACAAATTGCCTCATTCCCCATCATGGTATTCTACACAGCATTGCTTCTCATCAAGGAATTCACTTCACAGCAAAAGCAGTGCAGCAATGGGCGCATGCTCGTGGGATTCAGTGGTTTGATCAGGTTCCCCAGTATTCATAAGAAGCTGGCTTGGTAAAACAGTGGAATAGCGCTTTGAAGACTCAGTTACACAACCAACTAGGTGATGATACCTTACAAGACTGGTACAAGGTTCTCCGGAAATCTGCACGTGCTCTGAATCATCATCCAATATTTGGTAGTGCTTCTCCCATAGCCAGGATTCACAGGTCCAGGAATTAAGGGGTAGAAATGGGAGTGGCACCACTCTCTATTACTCCTAGTGAGGCACTAGCAAAATTTTTCCTTCCTGTTTCTTCAAGTTTATACTCTACTGGCCTAGAGGTGTTTTTTTTTTTTTTTTTTTTTTTTTTTTTTTTTTTTTTTTTGAGACAGAGTCTTGCTCTGTTGCCCAGGCTGAAGTGCAGTGGTGCAATCTCAGCTCACTGCAATCTCCACCTCCCGGGTTCAGCCAGTTCTCTGCCTCAGCCTCCCGAGTAGCTGGGATTACAGGCACCTGCCACCACGCACAGCTAATTTTTGTATTTTTAGTAGAGATGGGGTTTCATCATCTTGGCCAGGCTGGTCTTGAACTCCTGACCTCATGATCCACCTGCCTCGGCCTCCCAAAGTGCTGGGATTACAGGCGTGAACCACCGTGCCCAGCCTCGCCTAGCAGTCTTAATTCCAGAGGAAGAAATGCTTCCACCAGGAGACATGACAAGATTCCATTGAATTGAAAATTAAGCCTACCACCTGGCCATTTTGTGGCACTTTATGCTTCTGAGTCAATAGGTCAATATAGGGGTTACGGTGTTGGTTGGGAGAAATTGGACTGCTAGTCCATGATGGCAGTAAAGAAGAGTATGTCTGGAATACAGAGGACCCCTTAAGGCAACTCTTATTGTTACCATGCCATATGATTGATTATAGGCAATTAAAAAAAACCACAACAACCCAATTTAGGCAGGACTATTAATGAAGGTTTGGGTCACCCCATCAGATAATGAACCACAACCAGCTGAGGTGCAGCTGAAAGCAAAGTAGGTACAATTCTGTACCTACTACAGAATAGGTAGTAGGAATATATAAGTATAATAAGTATGTAAGTATAAATATAAGCTATAACCACATGACCAGTTACGGAAATGAGGGCTG
This sequence comes from Homo sapiens, assembly GCF_000001405.40. Classification (NCBI taxonomy): domain Eukaryota; kingdom Metazoa; phylum Chordata; class Mammalia; order Primates; family Hominidae; genus Homo; species Homo sapiens. The sequence goes on from NC_000007.14 coordinate 68,274,102, forward strand.
TAATTATAATGAGTATTTCCTTTTTATTTTGCATGAATACAAATATTACATATATACACATATCTATACATATTATACACACACATACACAGAAACACACACACACGTACATATAAAGCGAATAGCTTTGTTTTCTTTTCTCTCTTAGTCCCTTATCATGTAACAGAAGATGTATTAATATTATGTTAGTATTTAAATATTGCTAATTTTACATCCTAGTATTTAAGTTAAGGTATATCAGGAAAAGAGGAAGCATCACTGAAAAACTTTATTTTCTCTTCTGAGGAAGGGATTTGTGCATTTTTCGTTGTATGAAGGATAGTCGTATCATGTTCAGTGGAAGCATGATCTTGTTAATGTCTTTATTTGGAGACTACTATGGTTTAACAAGATTCACCTGGGTGCCAACTGACAAGGAGGTGACTTCCGATGGTTAATTTTAAGTATCAACTTGACTGGGCTCAGGGATGCCCAGAGACCTGGTAAATTTCCGAGTGTGTCTGTGATGGTGTTCTCGGAAGAGATTAGCATTTGAATCAGTAGACAGAGTAAAGGTCATCCTCACCAGTGTGGGTGGCCGTCACGCACTTCACTGAGGCTCTGACAAGAACCTAAAAAGCAGATGAGGGGTGCATTTGCTCTCTCTGCCTGAGCTGGGACATCCATCTTCTCCAGCCTCAGACATTGGTGCTCCTGGTTCTTTGGCCTTTGTGTTTACACTAGAATTATGCTACTGACTTTTTTGATCTTCAGATTTCAGATGGTAGATTGTGGAACTCCCCAGACTTCATAATTGCATAAGCCAATTCCTTATAATAAATATATTTCTATATATTTGTATCTATTTATATAATCTATCTATGTAATCTATCTGTCTGTCTGTCTGTCCTATCTATCTAGCTAGCTAGCTAGCTATCTGTCTAGCTATCTAGCTATCTATCTGTCTAGCTATCTAGCTATCTATCTGTCTGTCTGTCTAATCTATCTATCTATCTATCTATCTATCTATCTATCTATCTATCTATCTATCTATCATCTATCTATCTTCTATCTTCATTCTATTCTATTCTATTCTATTCTATTCTATTCTATTCTATTCTATTCTATTCTATTCTATTCTATTGTTTCTGTTTCCCTGGAGAACCCTGACTAATATAGTCATTGAGATATTGGAGCTGTTTGTCACAACAAGAAGTGTTGATGTACTTGATACTTTGTACTGCCATGTAATACTTGGAATTAAGTAAACTGATATACAGTATGATAATTCTGATACCATCTCATGGGCTAGATGCTGCAGAAGAATATATATTGAGAAATGGAATGAATTGAAGACAGAGTACAAACAAATTTGTATGCCTGCTAAGACATTTATTCATTGTGTTCTAAAAACAGAGAGCAAATAGCCTTTTTTTTTTTTTTGAGATGGAGTCTCACTGTATCGTCCAGGCTTGAGTACAGTGGCATAATCTTGGTTCACTGCAACCTCCACCTCCTGGGTTCAAGTGATTCTCCTGTCTCAGCCTCCCTAGTAGTTGGGACTACAGGCGTGTGACACCATGCCCGGTTAGTTTTTGTATTTTTAGTAGAGACGAGGTTTCACCATGTTGGCCAGGCTGGTCTTGAACTCCTGACCTCTGGTGATCCACTGGCCTCGGCCTCCCAAAGTGCTGGGATTACAGGCTTGAGCCACCATGCCTGGCCACCAATAGCCATTTTCAAGCACAAGAGTATCAAGATGAACTAGGACTGTCAAATGCTTTTTTATTCTCTCTCTTCCCACTATTTGCTCCCTGACATCATGCTGTGATCACCATCAGTGTTTAGTAAATAATTATTTAAAGCAACGCAGGAAGGAGCCATTTGGAATGGTGTCATCAGTATCTTCATAATTCTGCTGTGCTTAGCAGTTACATGATTTTCATTCTTTATTAATTACACCCATTACTTTGAGTTACAGTGTCAGAATTTCTTACTTGAATTTAGTTTAATGTCTGTAGCTTTGCTTTGCTCCCTTTTAACCCTCTTCAAGGAATGCACTAGGTCTCTGCTCATCTTTGGAAGGACTCGCTGAAATAGCTCCCAACTGTGAAATGCATATCTCTTTATTGATTTCTGTAGGAACCTATCAGCAGGAAGCCAGCCTGAGCCTGATGTGAAGTTTGTATATTCTCCTCTTCCTTTCATAATAAGGGACTCATCATCTTTTAAGGATAACATTAAAATGTAAAGTTCAGAGAAGGTCTATAAATCACCATAAACCTTCACGTTCTCTTTCTTCTTTCCTTTACTATAGATTTCTGTGCCTAATTCGTTACATTCAATGAGAAATCAGTTATACGATCCTCCTTCCCCATCCATTCTCCATCCACTTTGTATGCGACTTCCTTTGCCCTGACTTGTTCATGATTATTCTGCCCGGTGAAATAGAAAGCTCCAGGCCGCTCACAGTATATTTATAGTATCATTTAGTTAAAGAGAAGATACTGAACATAAGCATTTTTATTTTATAAGGTCTTCCCATCTGGTCTATGACTAAGAAATTAGTAGATTGACCCTTAGTTGAAACTTTAGCTCTCCTATTAATGGTTTGTCCACTTAACTAGCCAATGATTGCCGGCCTTATTAAAGGATGCTAATGAATAAAAAACGTTATCAGAAAACAATAATTAACCTTGAATATAAAAGCATTAACCAGAGGCGATCAATCACTTTCCAAGGCTTAGTAAACACTTAGAATGCATTAAGTGTCCCTAAAGGAGCAATTAAAGAACACAGCTATTCTGTTTCAAACCGGAGTAGCAAAGGGTCAGTCATACAGACATGTAAATTTGGTGGTTGCTGGTGAAATGTAAACCAAATGGTTGACCCTGGTGTTGCACTCTTAGAGCCTGAGGCTTCATCATAGGTGAGTCTGTAACATATCTAAGCATGCGTTTCTCTAAAAGGACAAATCGGAGGTTAACACCACCTGACACAAACCGCTTTGATCATCGCCTACTTTGGCTGGTTCTTTTACATTTTTACCCATATTATAATAAGAATAGTAGTAACAATTTATGATATACCTCACAAAATTGCTTTCCTTACAGGTGATAAGCATGTGCACTGTTATTAAAAGTGTGTAGTTGGCTGGGCACAGTGGCTCACACCTGTAATCCCAGCACTTTGGGAGGCTGAAGCGGGCGATCACCTGAGGTCAGGAGTTTGAGACCAGCCTGGCCAACATGGCAAAACCTCGTCTCTCCTAAAAATACAAAAACTAGCCAGGCGTGGTGGCATGTGCCTGTAATCCCAGCTACTTGGGAGGCTGAGGCAGGAGAAATCACTTGAACCCATCGGGGGAAGGTTGCAGTGAGCCAAGATCATGCTACTGCACTCCAGTCTGGGCGACAGAGCGAGACTTCATCTCAAAAAAAAAAAAAAGAAAAAACAGAAAAAAAGTGTGTGGTTATACAGGTTTCACTCCACACTGGTCAGTATCGTGTAGTATTATGTTTCCCAGCTGTGTTGAGAAATAATGAACATACAGTAAGTGAAAATATATGAACTGTACAATTTGATACATTTTGACATGTATATACACACATGAAACCATCACCACAATCAAGATGAAGACGATACCTATCACTTGTCAAAGTTTTCTATTCCCCTTTGTAATTCCTCATTCTCCAAGCCCCTGACCCCTTTCCAGGCAAGCGCTGATCTTTCTGTCACTATCGATTGGTTGACATTTGCAAAATTTTAAATAAATAAAGACATACATTATCCTTCACTCAGAACACTTATTTTGAGATTCTTGCATTTTATACAGGTCTCAGATCTCAATATATCATCTATTTTTATTGCTGAATAACATATATGTATTTATTTATTTATTTATTTATTTATTTTTTTGAGACAGTCTTGCTCTGTCACCCAGGCTGGAGTGCGGTGGCGCGATCTCGGCTCACTGCACGCTCCGCCTCCCGGGTTTTACACCATTCTCCTGCCTCAGCCTCCTGAGTAGCTGGGACTACAGGCATGCACCACCTATGCCTGGCTAATTTTTTTTGTATTTTTAGTAGAGATGGGGTTTCTCCGCTGAGTAATATTTTATTATACAGATATGCCACATTTTACTCACTCATTCACTTTTTGTGAGACATCTGGGTTGGTTTGAGCTGTTGGCTATTACGAATAAAGCTGTTATGAACATTTGCATGCAAATCATTGTATGGACACATGACTATTTCTTTTGGTAAACATCTATGGGTCATAGAGCATGTATACTTTTAATTTTTTAAGAAATTGCAAAACTGTTTTCCAAGGTGGCTCTACTGTTTTACATTCTAAGCTGCCATGTATGAGAGTTTCAGAATCTCCTGAAATAGAATATAAAATATTACATTTATTATAAATGCTCATTTCTCTTAACAGGATGTCCATAACTTAAATATTTGCAGCTGCTGTATTTCCAAGGTGTTATTTTTCATTTTATTTCCTACTTAAAATTAATTTTTTTTTTTTTTTTTGAGACAGAGTCTCACTTTGTCACCCAGGCTGGAGTTCAGTGGCGCCATCTCAGCTTACTGCAAGCTCCGCCTCCCGGGTTCACACCATTCTCCCGCCTCAGCCTCCTGAGTAGCTAGGACTACAGATGCCCGCCACCACACCTGGCTAATTTTTTTTGTATTTTTAGTGAAGACGGGGGTTTCACCGTGTTAGCCAGGATGGTCTCGATCTCCTGGCCTCGTGATCCGCCCGTCTCGGACTCCCAAAGTGCTGGGATTACAGGTGTGAGCCACCGCGCCCGGCTTTTAAAATTAATTTTAACGCTTTAACATGAAATCAGTTTATCTTTTGTCACTGGGTCCCGATTTAAGAGAAAAAGTAGTTACTTATTTCTACCTTTCTCCACTTTATGAAATAAATCTATTTCATGGCAAAGATTTCCCTCTTGTCCTCACATCTTTTATCCTCAAATCTTTTTTTTTTTTTTTTTTTGAGACACAGAATTTCACTTTTCTTGCCCAGGATGGAGTGCAGTGGTGTGATCTTGTGAGGCTCACCGCAACCTCTGCCTCCCAAGTTCAAGCAATTCTCCTGCCTCAGCCTCCACAGCAGCTGGGATTACAGGCGTGCACCACCATACCCGGCTAATTTTGTATTTTTAGTAGAAACGGGGTTTCACCATGTTGGCCAGGCTGGTCTCAAACTCCTGACCTCAGATGATCTGCCTGCCTCGGCCTCCCAAACTGCTGAGATTACCAACGTGAGCCACCGCGCCCGGCTGTCCTCAAATCTTACATAATTTGAGGAGAGATTTCAAGGTATCTGACTGCATGTATCTGACACTCACCTCTTCCACGGAGAAGAACCAACATAGTGAGTAGATAATCACACTTCGAACAGATCATCTATGAGAGTCCAGTGGGATTCAACAGAGAAGTGATAAGAAACACCTAGGCCGGGCACGGTGGCTCATGCCTGTAACCCTAGCACTTTGGGAGGTCGAGATGGGCGGATTGCCTGAACTCAGGTGTTTGAGACCAGCCTGGGCAACATGGTGAAATCCGGTCTCCACTAAAATACAAAAAAAATTAGCCGAGTGTGTTGGTAGGTGCCTGTATTCCCAGCTACGCGGGAGGCTGAGGCACGAGAATTGCTTGAACCCAGGAGGCGGAGGTTGCCGTGAGCCAAGACCGTGCCACTGCACTCCAGCCTGGGCAACAAAGTGAAACTCTGTCCAAAAAAACAAAAAAAACAAAAAAAAAAACACCTAAAGCAAGGAAAGAGAGGGAAGTGAGGCAGCATGTTTGTCTCAGATTGACAGGAGCCTGGCAAGGATAAATGGGAGACGCCCCCGCCCCCCAACCCGTTGTTCCACGCTCCTACCACAGGCTCCTGAGTCCTCCCCACAGGAGAGCCCCTCCAGCCTTGCAGGCCCTGAGAAAACAGAGAGAGCTGCCCGGAGATGGCATGACAGCTTTGCTCCAGAGAGGGAGCTCACCCTGAGTCCCCCACCCATCCCCAAGCCCTAAGCAGCTACAGCACGTTGCCATTTTGGGAGCCAAACCCCCACCAGACTGCATCCTGCCTTGGAGCCCAACAGCCCCTGCGAGTCCACATCCATGGAGCCTCATGACATCACCTTCACAGCTGGCTGCTGCCACCAGGGCCAAAGTACATATCATTGGCAGCAACCTTCCTGCTCCCAACATCAAAGCCTCCATGCATTCTCACACGTTTCGAGGACAGAATCCCCCACCCAGAGCTGCTGCCACGGGCAGAGCCAAAGTGTGAACAACAGGCAGTGACCCCACTGCCTCAGCGTTGAAGTTGACACACATTTATAAGCACCCCAAGGAAAAGACAATCCATCCACAGCTGCCATCTAGGGCCAAAGCACGTGTTCCAGCTGCCTGCCTATGGCTGCTGCCACTGAAAGCTATGCTGTCATGCCCAGTAGCAGGGCTACAGTACAGTAGCCCAGCCACTGTGCCTCCACCCAAGCATTTTACCAGGAGCCTGATGATCACCCTGCCCCTGCCTATCACAGCCAACACCTGCACACACCACTGGGGACTTGAGGACAGGTTCGTACAGTCCAGCTCCACACCCTCCTGTGCCCAAACATGCTGTCTGGGGGCCTAGTGATCACCCAACTTTGTCCATCACCATTGGCACCTGAGCATTCCTTTCAGCGATCTAAAGTTGGGCCCATCCAACCTGTCACTGCCACTATTGCCGGCATCCACCCTTATGTGCCACCTGCAAGCCTGGGGGCTGGCTCATGCAATCCATAGCAGCCACTGCCAACACCAGTGTGGACCAATGGGAACCAGAGGATTGTTCTACCATTGCTGCTTCTGTCATTCATGCCATGCTTGCTCCCAGGGGCCTGAGGACCCGCCCAACTGCCTGGCTCACTGCTGTCAATATCAACTTCCAAGAAAGCTTCCTGGAGGCCCCAAAATCAGCCTCCCTAGACTCACTAACACCAGCGCCAGTGTGCACCACATTAGGACCCAAGAACAGGCGTGTTCAGAGTACTGCAGCCACCACTGGAGCCTGAGGACTGACTCATCTTGCATTCCTGTCACCAGAAACACTTTACAGCCTCCACTAATAAGCACACCTGAAGCCACTGAGAAAACCACAGATGCCACTGATGCTGTTTACAGCTGAAAAAATCATAGGGAAACTACATACTGCATACACTTAGAATTAAAGCCAAAGTGGGCCAGGTGCGGTGGCTCACACCTGTAATCCTGGCACTTTGGGAGGCCGAGGTGGGTGGATCACCTGAGGTATAGAGTTTGAGACCAGGGGAGTTTGAGACCAGCCTGGCCAACATAGAGAAACCCCATCTCTACTAAAAATACAAAAATTATCTGGGTGTGGTGGTGCACACCTGTAATCTCAGCTACTTGGGAGGCTGAGGCAGGAGAATCGCTTGAATCCAGGAGGCAGAGGTTGCAGTGAGCTGAGATTGTGCCACTGTACACATTGTGCCAGGGTGACAGAAAGAGACTCTGTCTCAAAAAAAAAAAAAAAAAAAAAAAATTAAAGCCAAAGTGCACTACTCAACCAACATCAGAGATACATCTTCAGGAAAAATTCCTTACCTATGAAAGCAAATTTAAAAATTGGAAGAAGCAACTATTACACCAGATGTACAGATATCAACATAAGTGCACAAAAACATGAAAAAGCAAGGAAATATGATACCTCCAAAGGAACTCAATAGTTCTCCAGCAACAGATTCCAGGGAAAAAGAAATGTATAATATCCTGGAGAAATAATTTAAAATAATGATATTAAAGAAGCTCAGGGAGATACAAAAGGACATAGATAATACAAAAAATTAGAAAAACAATTCAGAATATAAATGAAATATTTACCAACGATATAGTTATAATAAAAAAGAACCAAACAGAAATACTGAAACTGAATAATTTATTGAAGGGAATGCAACATAAACATTTGAAAACTTTGGCAATAGTCTACATCAAGCAGAAGAAAGAATTTCAGAACTTGAAGACAGGCCTTCTGAAATAACACAGCCAGACAAAAGTAAAGAAGAATAAAGTAGAATGAATAAAGCTTCTGTGACATATGGGACACCATAAAGTGATCATATATTTGAAATTTTAGTATCCCAGAAGTTGAAGAGTAAACAAAATGGATAGAAAACTTAATTAACCAAATAATAACTGAAAATTCCCAAGCCTAGCAAGACATTTAGACATCCAGACATAAGAAGCTCAAGAATCCCCAAATACACACAATTCAAAAATACCTTCTTTATGGCACATTATAGTGACACTGTCAAATGTCAAGAAAAACAAGATAATCCTAAAAACAGCAAGAGAAAAGTGTCTAGCCACTAATAAGGGAACCCCCATCAGACTAACAGTAAATTTCTTAGCAGAAACCTTATAAGCCAGGAGAGACTGCGATGACATATTGAAAGCGCTGAAAGAAAAAAAAAATTTACCAGCCAAGGATACTTACTATACTCAGTGAAGATAGCAAAGATACCCTTCACAAATGAAAATGAAATAATATCTTTCTCAGACAAGAAAAAGCTGAGAAAATTCATCACCACTAGACCAGTTCAACAAAAAATGCTTAAGGGAATCCTACACATATAAGTGAAAGGATCATATCTACCTTCATGAAAACACATGAAAATATGCAATCCACTGATAAAGCAAACCTACAAATAGGGAAAAGAAAAAACTCAAATGTTACCACTACAGAAAACCACCAAACCACAATGATAAATAATAAGAGAGAAAGAAAAGGACCAAGGATATACAAAACAACCACAACTCAGTTAATAAAATGACAGAAACAAGCCCTCACATATCAATAATCACCTTGAATATAAATGAATTGAACTTTCCACTTCAAAGATATAAAAAAGGATTTTTTTTTAAAAAAACGACCCAACTATATGCTGACTACAAGAAACTCATCTTATCCGTAAAGTCACATATAGACTGAAAGAAAAGGAATGGAAAACTATATTCCATGGAAACGGAATCTAAGATTAAGCAGAAGTAGCTATACATTAAGTATACTTTAAAACGTACTTTAAGTCAAAAACGGTAATAAGAGACAAAAAAGTCATTATACAATGATAAAAGGATTAATTCAGTAAGAGGATATAAAAATTCTAAACATACATGAATACAACACTAAAACACCCAGATATTTAAAGCAAATATTATTAAGTTGAAAAGGATAGACTCCAATACTATAATAGTCAGATACTCCAACATCCCACTTTCAGTAGTAATCAGGTCACCTAGACAGGAAATTAACAAAGATTTATTGGATTTAAACTGCACTTTAGAACAAATGGACCTCAAAGACATTTACAGAACATTTTATCCGACAGGTACAGAATACACATTCTTCTCATCAGTACATGGAACATTCTCTAGGACAGATTATATGTTGAAACACAAAACAAGTCTCAACCATAAAAAAAATTGAAATCATGTCAAGTATCTGTTCAGACAATGGAATACATCAAAATCAATAACACGAGGAACTCTGAAAACTGAAAAAAATACATGAAAATTAAACAACATGAAAATCAAAACACAACACACCAAAATCTATGGGATACAACAAATGCAATTCTAAGAGGGAATTTTATACCAATTAGCATCTACATCAAAAAAGTAGAAAGATTTCAAATAGACAATCTGATGACGTACCTTGAGGAACTAGGAAAGCAATAATAAACCAGATTCAAAATTGGTAGAAGAGAAAAAATGATAAAGATCAGAGCAGAACTAAACAAAATGGAGACTAAAAAAGTTACAAATGGTCAATGAAACAAAAAATTGTTTTTTGAGAAGATAAACAAAATCAATAAACTGCTACCCAACTAACCAAGAAAATAAAAGCAAAGACTCAAATTTTTAAAAATCAGAAAAAAAACCAGGAGGCATTGCAACTGGTACCACAGAAATACAAAAAATCATCGGAGACTTATGAACAAGTATACATTAACAAACTAGAAGATCTAGAGGAAATACATACACTCCTGAACATATTCAACATATCAATATTGAACTGGGAAGAAATAGAAACCTGAACAAACCAATAATCAGAATAATCAGATTGACTCAGCAATAAAAAGACTCCCAAAAAAAGAAAAGTCCAGGACTGATGGCTTCATTGAATAATTCTATCAACCTTACAAAGAACTAACACCAATTCTCCCTATTCCAAAAAAAATGGAGAGAAGGGGATTCTCCCCATTCATTCTATGAGACTAGTATTACCCTGATGTCAAAACCGGGCAAGGATGCAATGAAGAAAAGAAAAATACAAGCCAACATCCCTTTTGAACATAGACACAAAACTCCTCAACAAAATACTAGCAAACTGAATGCAACAGTACATCAAAAAGATAGTACACCATGATCAAGCGGGATTTATCCCAGGGATGCAAAAATGTTTTGACATACACAAATAACTAAATGTAATACATCACATCAGTAGGACAAAGGACAAAAACCACATGATCATCTCCATAGATGCAGAAAAAGAATTTGATAAAATTCAACATTTCTTCATGATGAAAACTCTTAACAAACAAGGCACAGAAGGAAATACCTAACATAATAAAAGCCGTATATGACAAATCCATGGCTGATATTATACTGCTTGGGGAAAAGCTAAAAATCTTTCCTCTAAGAACTGAAACTAGACAAGAATACACATTTTCACTACTCTTATTCAACATACTACTGGAATTCCTAGACAGAGCAATCAGGCAAGAGAAAGCAATAAAAAGTATGCAAATTGGAAACAAAGAAATTAAATTGTCCTTCACAGATGACATGATCTTACCTCTACAAAAACTTAAAGACTCCACCAACAAACTCTTAGATCTGATAATTAAATTCAGTAATGTTGCAGGATGTAAAACCAACATACAAAAATCAGTAGCATTTCTATACATCAATAATGAACTAGCTGAGAAAGAAACCAAGAAGGTAATTCCATTTACATATCTACCAAAAAAAACCCTTCCGAGTAATATATTTAACTAATGAGATGAAAGAGCTCTACAAGTAAAACTATAATACAAAATGCCAATGAAAAATTTGAAGAGGATGCAAACAAATGGAAAGACATCTCATGTTTATGAATTGGAATAATTAATATCATTAAAATGGCTATACTGCCCAAAGCAATCTATAGATTCAAAACAATCCCTATCAAAATATCAATGCCACTTTTCTTAGAAATAGAAAAGCAATTCTAAAGTTCATGTGGAACCAAAAAAGAGCCTAAGTAGCCAAAGTATTTCTGAGCAAAAATAATAAAGCTAAAGGCATTACACTACCTGACTTTGAAATATATTTCAAGACTATGGTAACCAAAAAAGCATGGTACACATCAATGGAACAGAATAGAGAACACAGAAATAAACCTATGTATTTACAGCCAACTGATTTTTGACAAAGTCAACGAAAACAGGCACTAGGGAAAGAACATGGTCTTCAATAAATGGTGCTGGGAAAATTGGATATCCATAGGCAGATGAATGAAACTGGACCCCTATCTTTCACCATATACAAAAATCAACTCAAGATAGATTAATGACTTAAAAGTGAGACACTGGACACAGTGTCTCACGACTATAATCTCAAAACTTTGGGAGGCCAAGGTAGGAAGATCACTTGAAGCCAGGAGTTTGATACCAGCCTGGGCAAATAACAAGAACCCAACTCTACAAAAAAAAATTAATAAAAGTAAGACTCAAAACTATAAAAATACTAGAAGAAAACATAGGGGAGATACTCCAGGACATTGTTCTGGGCAAATTCTATGAAAAAGGTGATGGCTAAGGAAACAATCAACAGAGTGAAGAGACAATCTACAAAATGGGCAAAAATATTTGCAAACTATGAATCTGACAAGGGATTAATATCCAGAATATATAAGGAACTCAAACACCACAACAGCAAAAAAACAAAAACAAAAACAAAACAAAACACAAATAATATGGCTGATTTAAAAATCAGTAAAAGATCTAAACAGAGATTTCTCAAATGAAGACACACAAGTGGCCAATAAGTTCATGAGAACATGCTCACCATCACTAACCATTAGGGAAAGGCAAATCAAAACCAAAGTGAGATATCACTCACCCTGGTTAAAATGTCTATCATAAAAAATAAACAAAATAAGAAGTGCTAGCAAGGATGCAGAGAAAGGGAAACTCTTATATACTATTGAAGGGAATGCAAAACTACACTTACGAGCAACAGTAAGGAGGTTTCTCAGAAAATTAAAAATAGAACTATCATATTATCCAACAATCCTACTAGTGTGTATATATCCAAAGGAAATGAAATCAGTATGTTGAAGAGATAATGCAGTCCCATGTTCATTGTAGCATTATTCACTCTAACCAAGCTATGGAATCAACGTAAGTGTCCACCAATGGCTGACTGGATAAAGAAAATGTTGCATATGTGCATAATGGAATACTATTCAGCCATAAAAAAGATGAAATCCTGTTATTTGTAACAACATGAATGAACCTAGAAAACAATTACGTTAATGAAATAGGCCAAGCACATAAGGACAAATGTTGTATGATCTCACTCATGTGTAGAATCTAAAAAAATATTGATCTCATAGAAGCATATAAAAGAACAGTGGTTACCAGAGACTGGCGAGTGTAGGTGAGGAGAGGGAAAGAAAGAGAAGTTGGTCAATGAGCACAAAGTTACAGTTAGACAGGAGAAATAAATTCTGGTGTGCTGTTGCACAGCAGAGTGACTATAGTGGACAATACTGTATGGTACACTTCAAAGTAACTCGGAGAGAGGATTTTAAATGCTTTTTTTTTTTTTGAGACAGACTCTTGCTTTGTCTCCAGGCTGGAGTGCAGTGGTGCAATCTCGGCTCACTGCAACCTCTGCCTCCTGGGTTCAAGGGATTCTCCTGCCTCAGCCTCCCAAGTAGCTAGAACTACAGGCACGCACCACCAGGCCCAGCTAATTTTTGTATTTTTAGTAGTGACGGGGTTTCACCATGTTGGCCAGGATAGTCTTGATCTCTTGACCATGTGATACCCCTGCCTCAGTTAAGTGTTCTTACTACAAAGAAATGGCAGGCATTTGAGATGATCAATATGCTAACCATTCTGATTTGATCATTACATAATGTACAGCAAACATCACACTACATCTCATAAATATATATAATTATTATGTGACAATGAAAAACAAAATAAAACTTATTACAAAAAAGGAGTATGATTTGACTGCCACCCCTGTCCCCGACTTATTTCTCCTGGTGCCTTATACCTGGTTTATCTCCTCTCCTGCTGGTGTTGGTTGTTTCTAGCAGTTGTGGCTGCTGCAGCTGGAGGTGGGCTTGCCTGGGCAGAGGTAGGAATATCTATAGGCATCCCTGGAGGCAGTATCTGACTTCATCCAGAGGTTCCAGAAACTGGACACTGAGCTACAATTCATTGTCCTAATATCCCCCACTGGGAACCAGCTGGAGAGGTAGTATGTATACCCTTCTATCCCAAATAGCCCCTTCTCCATTCTGTCAACTTTCTCTTATTCCAGCCCTCTGACATCCTTTCTTTAGATGCCCTAGAGCAAACCACTTCAAAGAGACTCCAGGGAGAAAGAAGACATCCACACTACATTGATTAATTGGCTTTAAATGAAAAATAACAAATCACTATCCTTAAAGTGAACTTACATAGATAAGTCTTATCTTAACAACAACAGAAAAAGATTTACTTCTTTTCTCGGTCAAATGAAGATTGACTTCCTCATTTTCTCAAAGGGACCTTTAATTAAAACTGATTTGAGCAAAGGATGGGAGCAAATGTTTACTGATTTCCCACTCTGTGCCAGACATTGTGTTAAGCTCTTATGTAATCCCATCCCATGGGGTATGTGTTTTTACCTCCAGTTTATGGGTGAGGAAACTGAGGCCCAGAGAAGGTCAATGACTTGGCCTTGTTCATCCAGATGGCGATTGAAGGGGAAGGAATTGAGACTTTGCTGGGCTTGGCTCCAAAACAAAGACTGCTTCCAGGCCATTATGCTGTAGATCTCTGGTACAGGATGATCTATAGGGCAGACCTGGCAAAATAAATATGTTACATCGTAAACATCAGACAAGTCAGATATTTGTCAAAGCAAACAAATTCTAATGTGAGGTGAAACAGGAGAGATCCTCTTGTCTCTGAATCTCCATACTACCCTTGAGTGAACAAAGTAATTATTGGTTGAGGCAAAATCATGGCATCTGTATAACTCATTAGCTCTTATTTGTTTAAAGTCTGATGGTGTATGACAAAAGAATTTGTTCCAGATGTCAAATCAGCACAATAGAGCCTAACAGTCTGTGTTAGAAAAGCTCCAATGCAGAAGACTCAGGAGGCTACCGAGGCAAAAAGAGCAGCTGGTCAAAACCGGTAGAACCTCTCGGAGAGTCCCCACCTCCGGTCCAGGGAAATCGCCACATCCCACCCACCCCTCAATCCAAGTTCTGTCCCTCCTCAGCCATCAATTATTTGCCTATGACTCTGAATGTTAATGCTTTTTCCATTCTCTGAAGTTAAGGTATTTAAAAGGATTATTAAGGTACATACTCTTTAGCGTTTGATGCTGGAAAAACATCTTATCTGAAAAAAATATGTATACATGAGGACTAAGCTCTGATTTTTTTTCTTGCCCAAATTCCTATCCAAGGGGTCTGGAGAGTCATGGCCTACAAACCATAAATTCTCATCAGATGGGTTTTATTTTACATTTTTATTTTATTTATTTATGTATTTATTTTTTTGAGACGGAGTCTGTCGCCTAGGCTACAGTGCAGTGGCGCAATCTCGGCTCACTGCAAGCTCCACCTCCTGGGTTCACGCCATTCTCCCGCCTCAGCCTCCGGAGTAGCTGGGACTACAGGCACCTGCCACCACGCCCGGCTAATTTTTTGTATTTTGTTAGTGGAGGCAGGGTTTCACCGTGTTAGCCAGGATGGTCTCCATCTCCTGACCTCGTGATCCGCCCGCCTCGGCCTCCCAAAGTGCTGGGATTACAGGCGTGAGCCACTGCGCCCGGCCCAGATGGGTTTTATTTAACCCTATATTTTGTGACTTACTTTCTAATCTAACTCTGGCATAACATTATGTGACAAAGAAGAAAGTCAAAATATTTTACCCCAAAATACGTTTCTTTGCCATATCTTGAAATGGCCCTGCAAAGCTGTCCTTTGTGGGCAAAAACTTGCATCTGTAAAGAATCTCTATCAACATAGCTAGATCTTTTTGTTACAGGCCCTCTCAATCCTAAAGACATTAACTAAGAGTCTAGCACCTTTTGATGATCTGAATAGGAAACATTTGTCATCTATTGTCTCTAAGGGCAGCCACTATAACACTTCAAAAGAACCTTGGTCTCCACAATCTTTTACCTTAACCTGGACATTTCTTTTGTATGGATCCCAGGTCTTTAGACAAACTCAACCAATTGTCAACCAGGAAATGTTTAAATTTTCCTATAGCCTGGAAGCCCTTGCTTGGAGTTTTCCCGCCTTCCTGAATGTATTCCTTAAATGTATTTGATTGATGTCTCATGCCTCCTAAAAATGTATAAAACCAAGGTGTACCCTGACTACCTTGGACACATGTTCTCAGGACCTCCTGAGTGCTGTGTCATGAGCCATAGTCACTCACATTTGGCTCAAATCAAATCTCTTCAAATATTTTACAGAGCTTGACTCTTTTTGATGACATACATATGTCTATATTTTTTAATTGCGTAAGTTAAATGACCAAATTCAGTATGTTTTGCTCACTGCTTGTCAGAAAGCTCAGTGCCCACTTTTCTACTCAAGTGCAAAGTGCAGCATTGCCTAATTTCCTCATAAAATTATATGCTGTATTAGGGTTTCTCAGAAAAACAGAGATTATATATAATCTCTGCTGTTGCAAAGGTTTTATTTTAAGAGCTACCACGGTTATCTGAACTTGGCTGTTGCATAGAATTTATTCTAAGACCTAAACTCTCCATATATATTTGGAGCACTTTGCATTGTTTTGCAAATAATTATAAAATTATGAAAATTGGTTTATGTGATTATGGAGGCCAGGAAGTCCAATGATCTGTTACCTGTAAGCTGGAGAACCAGGAAAGCTGATGGTGTAACTTTCAGTCCAAGGACAAAGGTCTGAGAACCAGGGCAGGGGTTAGGGGACAGGCTGGTATAAGTCCTGGAGTCCAAAGACCCAAGAATCAGTAGCTCCAATGTTCAAGGGCAGGAAAAGATGGATGTCCCAGCTCCAGAAAAGAAAAATAATTAGCCCTCCCTCAGCCTTTTCGTTCTATCTGGACCCTCAATGGATTGGTTGGTATTCACCCACGTTACTCTTTTTTTTTGAGATGGAGTTTTGTTCTTGTAGCCCAGGCTGGAGTGCAATGGCGTGATCTCGGCTCACTGCAACCTCCGCCTCCGGGGTTCAAGCAATTTCCCTGCCTCAGACTCCTGAGTAGCTGGGATTACAGGTGCATGCCACCACACCCAGAAAATCTTTGTATTTTTAGTAGAGACGGGGTTTCATCATGTTGTCCAGTCTGGTCTCGAACTCCTGACCTCAGGTGATCCACCCGTCTTGGCCTCTCAAAGTGCTGGGATTACAGGCATGAGCCACCGCACTCGGCCTTTTCCCACATTACTAAGAGCAGCTCTTTTTCACTCAGTCTACTGATTCAAATGCTAATCTCCTCCAGAAACACCCTCACAGACACCCCCAGAGAAAATGTTTTGCTAGTTGTATGGGTATCCCTTAACCTAGTCAAGTTGACATATACAATTAACTCTCACTTATGCCCACCCTGTTATATGTCTTCTTTTATCACTATTTAAGTTTTCCTCTATTGTTTGTATGAATTGTTATTCCTTTTATCCTAGTTTATTGTTTCCTTAGTAATTATGACCACCTGGCATATTATTTATTTGTAAATCAGTTTGTTATCTATCTTCTAACTTAAATGTAAAACCCCAAACTATAAAAATCCTGGAAGAAAACCTAGGCAGTATCATCCTGGACCTAGGAATGGGCAAATATTTCATGACAAAGACATCAAAAGCAATCACAATGAAAACAAAAATTGGCAAGTGGGATCTAATTAAACTTAAGAGCTTCTGCACAGCAAAAGAAACTATCAACAGAGTAAACAGACAACCTACAGAATGGGAGACAATATTTGCAAACTATGTATCTGACAAAGATCTAATATCCAGCATCTATAAGGAATTTAAACAAATTTACAAGAGAAACCACCCCATTGAAAAGTGGGCAAAGGACATGAACAGACATTTTTCAAAAGAAGACATACATGCGGTCAAGAAGCATTTAAAAAAAGCTCAATATCACTGATCATTTGAGAAATGCAAATCAAAACCACAATGAGATACCATCTGAAACCAATCAGATTATTAAAATGTCAAAAAATAACAGATGCTGGCAAGGTTGTGGAGAAAAGGGAACACTTACACACTGTTGGTAGAAGTATAAATTAGTTCAACAATTGTGGAAAGCAGTGTGGCAATTCCTCAAAGAGCTAAAAGCTGAACTACCATTCAACCCAGCAATCCCATTACTGGGTATATACCCAGAGGAATATAGATCTTTCTACCATAAAGACACATGCATGCAAATGTTTGTTGCAGCACTGTTTACAATAGCAAAGACATGTTATCAACCTAAATGCCCATCAATGACAAATTGGATAAAGAAAATGTGGTATATATACACCAGGGAATACTATGCAGCCATAAAAAAGAATGAGCTCATGTTATTTGCAGGAACATGGATGAAGCTGGAGGCCATTACCCAGGAACAGTAAACCAAATACTGCAGGTTCTCACTTGTAAGTAGGAGATTAATGTTGAGAACCCATGAACACAAAGAGAAGAACAACAGACACTGGGGTCTCCTTGAGGGTAGCAGGTGGGAGGAGGGAGAGGAGTAGAAAAGATAGCTATTGGGTACTGAGCTTAATATCCAAGTGATGTAATAATCTGCCAAACAAACCCTTGAGACACGAGTTTACCTGTGTAACAAACTTTCACATGTACTCCCGAACCAAAAAAAATTTTTTTAAAAAGAATTCCCATTAAAAGTATGCAAGGTGGAGACAACCATACACCTCACATTCATAAGCCTTAGAAGTAAGAAAGGAAAGTCAAGACGTGGGTAGCATTTGAGCAATCATGATCCTTTCCAATATTCTTCCTTGGGAGATTAGAAAACCATCTATCCGGCCGTGCACGGTGGCTCATGCCTGTAATCTCAGCACTTTGGGAGGCCGAGGTGGGTGGATCACCTGAGGTCAAGAGATCACAACCATCCTGGCCAACATATTGAAACCCAGTCTCTACTAAAAATAAAAAAATTAGCTGGGCGTGGTGATGTGCACCTGTAGTCCCAGTTACTACGGAGGCTGAGGCAGGAGAATCACTTGAACCCGGGAGGCGGAGGTTGCAGCGAGCCGAGATCGTGCTACTGCACTGTAACCTGGGTGACAGAGCAAGACTCCATCTCAAAAAAAAAGGAAAGAAAAAGAAAACCATCCATCTGTTATTAAACCATTGTAACCTATACACATGCTTGATATCTGTGGCCATAGAATGATGGTCATTCCAGCTTTACTGGTTGCAATTGCTCAGGATCCTCTGATCTTTTTCTCCCGTTACAGCTCATCTAGTTTCCTCCCCCTTTATTTTAATTTTGTCCATTTTTTTACTTTCACCATAGCTCTTCTTTAGACTTTGTGTCCTTTCAGCTTGTTGACTTGATTTCCTTGCTTGACGCTGTTTTCTCTACGAAGAACTTGGGAGAGAAATTAACCATTTGACCAGCTTACTCTTGAGTGTTGCCTATAAAACTCCTGAATTTTTTACCCCAGGAGTCCTCTGAGAAGGAAGGCTTGGTGTGTGTGCAATATTCACAACCCTACCCGCATTGACCTGCACTCACCAAGTCCCTGGGAACCTGAACTTCTCAGTTCTCTCCTTTTTCTGCCTGGGTCCAGCATGGTTGGGGAGGCCCTTTGGCAGCTATTAAAGTGTTTCTGGTATTAGTGACAGTGCCATTCATCTGTCACCAGCTTTATGACTTGATTGTGTGATTTCTGTTTTGTAAGTTTTCTTCTTTCTCCATAACTACCTTAATTTGGCCAAAACAAGAAGGGATATTCTATGAACTACATTCTCAGCCTATTAATAACTCATGTAAGGGTGCCCACATTTTTCTGCGAATAAATAGTTACCTATACTAAAGAAATTAAGACAAGTTGCCAAGACTAGGCTGAACAACCATTCTATGACCAACCCCTATTTATTGTTTTCTGCTATTGACATGGGCCAAGTCTTCAATCTTCTCCTCCCCTTGGGTTGGCACAGCTTCAGCCATCATTTCGAAAGCCCTCACTGGCACTTAGAATGTTTAGTAGATCCTCTTTAAAATAAAACAACTTTCTCTAATTTTCCATAGTTATAGGGTGACATGATCCATCCCTCACCAATATCAAATATGAAATAATGCCCTTATTGTGTGACACATACAAGCATTGATCCTTCATTTTTGTGCTTTGTTCTCCCTCATCTGTGAGGGCTGTCTTTCTGACAGGAATATGAGATCCTCAAAGACAGACAATGTTTCTTAACATTCCTGCATTTTCAAATAACCTAGAACAGTGCATCTTACATGGGGAGTGATTGATAAATATTTGTCATTGGAAATAGATATTCACTTTTATTTTATTTTATTTTGAGACAGAGTCTTGCTGTGTTACCCATGCTGGAGCGCAGTGGCATGATCTCAGCTCACTGCAATCTCTGCCTCCTCAGTTCAAGTGATTCTCGTGCCTCAGCCTCCCTAGTAGCTGGGATTACAGGTGTGCGCCACCACGCCTGGCTAATTTTGTATTTTTAGAAGGGCAGGTTTTGCCATGTTGGTCAGGCTGGTCTCAAACTCCTGATCTCAAGTGACCCACTCACCTTGGCCTCCCAAAGTGCTGGGATTACAGGCATGAGCCACCAGGCCTGGCCAATATTCACTTTTAGATTCATTAATTACCTTTGTATCTTTTTGGAACTGGCACTAAGAGAAGAATGGGATACACATAATTTTAGGATAAAGTGTTATCCTAAACTCAACTTGGGTCCACCCACCCAGTGCAGCAAAGCCATCAGGACTGGGCATCAGAATTGCAGCAAGAGAAAGTGAAGCATTTATTTGCAGGGTGCTGAGCAAGGAGACTAGGGCAGCTCATTCTTAAGACCTGAACTCCTACCTGGCTTACAGGTAAGAAATTTTAAAGGCAAGGAAGCAGAGGTAACAGGAAAGTTATTAATCAATATGTGAATGCCATACATTGGTTTGACCTAAAAAAAGACGGGACATCTCAAAGAGGGCGCCCACAGGTCGTACGGATTCAAAGATTTTCTGATTTGTGATTGGTTAAGGAGGTAAAGTCTTGTCTAAAATTCTGTGGTCAGCAACGAAGACTACTAACTCTGGCCCACAGTGTGACCCCTCCAGACCCCTCAAAAAAGAAATTCAGGGGCAAAGGAGGTGGTTAAAGTTCAGTCCTCAGTTTCTCTTTATCTGACATCTATTTGATGGGGGTGTAGGTTTTTAAAAAACAACTCAGGGATATGTGTTAAGACGTTTCTTTAGTTTCTATAGGGAACCAAACTCTAACTTCCTTGGCTATTGTTTTAAGCTACTGTCTTCTTGCTTATCAAGTTGCTCACTTAATCTTCAAGGTTAGCTAGGTGCCTGGGACTTCCCTTGGGGAAATCAAGATTTTCCTTTATTTTTATGCTTGGGAGTGAGGGGTGTCCAACAGGCCCCTAAGAGAGGATTTCTGCTCTGTCTTAAGTGGAACCCCTCTAAGCAGTCACCCCAACATTCTAGAGCAGAGGTCCCCAATCTTTTTGGCACCAGGGACTGGTTTTGTCAAACACAATATTTCTATGAACTAGGGGTAAGGATGGTTTTGGGATAATTCAAGTGCATTATGATTACTGTGCACTTTATTTCTATTATTAATACATTGTAGTATGTAACAAAATAATTATACAACTCACTATCATGTGGAATCAGTGGCAGCTGTGAGTTCGTTTTCCTCCCATTTGGGGGTGATGGGAAACCGTGACAGATCATCAGGCATTAGATTCTCATCAGGGGTGCGCAACCTAGATACCTCACGTGCACAGTTCACAATAGGGTTCATGCTCCTGTGAGAATCTAATGCCATCACTGATCTGACAGGAAGCAGAGCTCAGGCAGTAATGAGACTGGTGTGGTGCAGCTGAAAATACAGATGAAGCTTCCCTTGCCTGCCACTCACTTCCTGCTGTGCAGCCCGGTTCCTAACAGGCCACGGAGGATCGGTTGCAGTCTATGGCCCGGGGGTTGGGGACCCCTGTGTTAGAGGATTCCATGGCTTTCAGTTTCAGTCTTGTTGGAGCTGCCTGCATTATTATATCTTCCCAGCCCAGGCATTCACTGATAGAAGAAGATGTTGCCCTCCAGCTAGGTCTGCTCAATACCTATTGTTGAACTGAAGTGGTTTGTGTAGCTGACTTGCAGCCTGTCTCCATCAGCTCAAATGCTCACACACGTTTTCCAACCTTAGAGCCTTTTTATTTTCCCTTTCACACCTCCCCTGCTTCTCTTCAATTCTCCAAGCACAGTTATCTGAACTTGGCTATTGCAAAGATTTTATTCTGTGTCTTCAGGATATCTGTGCTGCTTCAATCAGTCCGAACCTCCTTTGTCCAAGGCTGACCCTCCCTGCTCTCCAACCCCTCCTCTCAATTCTCTTCCCTTAACTCCTTCCTTTGCCAATACTATGCATTTCTCAGCCAGGTGAGGCTAAGTGCTATATAGCACACAAACCCCAAGACTCAGTGGCTTAAACCCAGATCACAGCCCAATATGTATTCATGGGGTTGTCAATGGAAAGAGTCAAACTCTAAAATATTTGAAGAGATCTCTTCTGAGCCAAATGTGACTGACCATTGGCCTGTTGACATAGTCCTCAGGAGATCCTCAGAACATGTGCCCAGGGTGGCTGGTCCACAACTAGGTTTCTTAACATTTTAGGGAGATAAGTAAGGCATCAATCATACACAGAAGATGTACATTGATTCAGTCCAGAAAGGCTGAACAAACGGAAGTGGGGGCTTCCAAGTTGCGAGTAGATTCAAAGATTTTTGGATTGGCAGTTGGTTGAAAGAGTTATTATCAATAGAAAGGAATGTCTGGGTTAGGGTTACAGTAGGGGGTTGTGGAGACTGAGGTTTTATGATGTAGATGAAGCCTCCAGGTAGCAGGCTTCAGAGACAATAGATTGCAAATATTTATCAGACTGAAAGAGTCTGTTTTATAAGTAATTCCAAAGGGGCGGCGGGTATAATGAAGCACATCTGGCTCCCCCTTCCCATCATGTCCTGAACTAGTTTTATCAGGTTAACTTTGGAATGCCCTTGTTGGAGAGCAGGGGTCCATTCAGGTGGTTTGGGGAAGACCTTAGAATTTTTTGTTTGTTTGTTTACAGGGTCATTCAAGGACCCACACTCTACTATCCCCTAGAACCCCAGAGTTCTCTACTGGATATTCTGCAGTTGTCTAGAGATCTGAGGGTTAGAGAGGCATGCAGTGTGCATCATTCTGTTCATATTCCATTGTTCAGAACTCAGCCACCGGCACTTTCCACTGCAAGGGAAGCTGGGAGGGTTCTCTTGCTCTGTGCCCAGGAGGAAAAGAAAGTGAGCGTAGAGCAGTCTTTGCCACAATCAAAGTCACAGGATATATTGAACAATACCTTATACTTTTTTTTTTTAACATCCTGGGATTATTTTGTGGTTAGAGGGACTAAGCTAGAGGAAAGAATGGGGTGCATTTAATATTGGAAAGTCAGTTACTTCATAGTTGTAGTGGGTTTATTAGCAGAGATTAACCAAAAGATACAAGTCTTTTGATGATACTCATAGCATTATTTATGCTGTACCATACACTGTTTTCTTTTTGTTTGTTTGTGTTTGTTTTTGTTTTGTTTTTCAAGACGGAGTCTTGCTCTTATTGCCCAGGCTGGAGTGCAGTGGCGCCATCTCTGCTCACTGCAACCTCCGCCTCCCAGGTTCAAGCGATTCTCCTGCATCAGCCTCCCAAGTAGCTTGGATTACAGGTGTGTACCACCAGGCCAGGCTACATTTTTTTTTTGTATCTTTAGTAGAGACGGGGTTTCACCGTGTTGGCCAGTCTGGTCTCGAACTCCTGACCTCAGGTGATCCGCCCACCTTGGCCTTCAAAAGTGCTGGGATTACAGGCATGAGCCACCATGCCCAGCCCATGCACTGTTTTCTAGGCACTTAAATATTATTTCCTTCACAACATTTCTGTGAGATATGTACTACTATTGTTCCCATTTTATAGATGAGCGAACCAAGAAAGAGATAGGTAACTTTCTCAACATCAAGCAGCTAATAAATGGCAGAGCTGAGATTTGAACCCAGTCAGTCTGATTGCCTAGGATTTATGGATATGGCAATTGTGCCTATTCACAGCTGGGATATTCTGCCCTAAAATGGGATGTAGTTAGCCAAGGCATTTTCTTGGAGGCTAAAATATATGTGAGAAGATGTGAGTGTCCCATCCACGAGCACTGAGATATGCTGTATTTTTACAGCCCACGTGTAGGAGGAGCCCATTCTCCTACTTTTCCGTCTCTTTATTTTTAAAATTTATATTATTTGTATTTTGAAAATAGAGATGGGGTCTCAATGTGTTGCTCAGGCTGGTCTCGAACTCCTGGGCTAAAGTGATTTTCCCATCTCAGCCTCTCAAAGTGCTGGCATTACAGACATGAGCTTTTAATTAATTTCATTTAATTAAGATGAAAGGTGCCTAGCCTTTTCAGTCTTTTTCTCACACAAATGGTTACAAAGAACACATGGTGTTTAGCAGTTTGCCCTTTAAATTATATCTGTTGACCCTGAGGGGTATTAAAGGGGAATCAGAATGCTTCACCTTCCAGTTTCTATGCTCTTTCTCCATCTCAGCATTTCAACAATAAGAGATGTTTAATGAGCAACTACTATGTGCCAGCCATTTTTTTTTGGGGGGTACCGAGGATTGGAGAAGATGGAGGCAACATGACAACTAAATGCAATGCATGCTCCTGGATGGCATTTTGGATCCTCAAGGAAAAGAGGCATCATGGAGCAATAAACCAAGCATATCAAGTGCCCACCTCTGTGTGGCCAATAGGTAATTACCTAGTATGATGTTGGCTGCTTATGAGTGCCGCAAAGAAAATAGCTAGAAACAAGGGTAGCCAGGGGCATTCTTTCCTAAGGATATTTAAGCTAAGACATGAATGGCACGAGATAATCCACCCTTTTAAAATGTGGGGTTAGAGGTTGGGTGTGGTAGCTCACACTTGTAATCCTAGCACTTTGGGAGGCCAAGGCAAGAGGATTGCTTGAGGCCAGGAGTTTGAGACCAGCCTGGGGTAACATAGGGAGACCCCATCTCTACAAAAAATAAATAAATAAATAAATAAATTTATACAGGTGTGGTGGTAAATGCCTATAGTCCCAGCTACCTGAGGGGCTCAGGTGCGAGGATCACTTGATCCAGGGAGGTTGAGGCTGCAGTGAGTCATGACTGCACTACTACATTTCAGATTGGGTGACAGAGCAAGACTGTATTAAAACAATGTGGGGTGAGACAATTCAGGGAGGAAGAATAGCATGTTCAAAAACCCTGAGCCAACAAATTCTTCTCTGTTGATAATTATACCATTTTCTTTTTATTTACATTGTCCCCCCCCCTTTTTTTTTGTGAGATAGAGTCTCACTCTGTTGGCCAGGCTGGTGTGCAGTGGCGTGATCTCGGCTCACTGCAACCTCCACTTCCTGGGTTCAAGTGATTCCCCTGCCTCAGCCTCCCAAGTAGCTATGATTACAGGCATGCACCACCACGCCTGGCTAATTTTTGTAGTTTTAGTAGAGGCAGGGTTTCACCATGTTGGCCAGGCTGGTCTTGAACTCCTGACCTCAGGTGATCCACCCGCCTCGGCCTCGCAAAGTGCTGGGATTACAGGTGTGAGCCACTGCGCCCAGCCCATTTTTCACATTTTTAACATTTATATTCTGCTATTTAGAAATACTGTATTTTGAAATTATTACAAATGTATAGAAGTTACAAGTACAGTTCAAGTTATTCCCATAACTGCTTCATCCATATTTCCCAGCTGTTAACCATCTTATTGCATTTTTACATATCTTCCTCCCTCTCTTGTCCCCACTCTCCCTCCCTTGCTCTTATTCTTTCTCTTTTCACACACACACACACACACACACATGCACACACACACACTAGTCTTTTCCTTCACCACTTGAGCTAGCTGTGGGAACAGTATACCTTCACTTGTAAACACTTCCGTGTGCATTCTCTAAAACAAAGATCTCTCATGCAAGCTTCTAAGTCAGGAAGTCAACATTTTCACTATGCTCCCATCCAATCCATTTAGAGCCCATTCAAATTTTACCAACTCTCTCAATGATGTGTCTTTTTCCCTTGGGGTCCAAGATGCCATCTGGGAAAATGTATTGCATCTATTCTAGTTGTCATGTCTCCTAGTGTCCTCCAACCTGGACCAATTCCTTAATCTTTCCTGTCACTTATGTCCCCAACAATTTTAAAGAATACAAGCCTCCTATTCTGTGGGATGACGCTGAGTGTGGGTCCATCTGATGTCTCTCTGTGACCAGACTCAGATCAAGGATTCCTGGTAGGGATGTCACTGACATCATACTGTGTTCTCTGCATTAAGAGTGCACGATGTCAGCCAGGCGCAGTGGCTCACGCCTGTAATCCCAGCACTTTGGGAGGCCAAGGCGGGCGGATTACCTGAGGTCGGGAGTTCAAGACCAGCCTGTCCAACATGGTGAAACCCCGTCTCTACTAAAAATACAAAAATTAGCCTGGCATGGTGGCACACGCCTGTAATCCCAGCTACTTGGGAGGCTGAGGCAGGAGAATTGCTTGAGCCTGGAGGCAGAGGTTGCAGTGAGCTGAGATCGTGCCACTGCACTCCAGCCTGGCCGACAGAGCGAGATTCTGTCTCAAAAAAAAAAAAGAAGTGCACGATGTCAATCTGTACCACCCACCGCTGGTGACACTAATTTCCAGTCACCTGGTCATGCTGGAATCTCCCGGTTTTCTCCACCAGAAGGACACTAGTTTTGCTCTTGCAATTGGTTATTGTTTTGTGGGAGCATATTCTGAGATCATGCCAGCATCCTGTACATCATCAACATACCATCCGCCTGCCTTAGCATGCCTGAATGTGCGACCACAGGTCCACTATGGCCAAAGGCCACTACAATGGTTGCCAAATGGTGACTTTCTATTTTCTTTTCTTTTTTTTTTTTTTTTTTGAGAGACGGAGCCTCGCTCTATCACCCAGGCTTGAGTGCAGTGGTGCGATCTCAGCTTACTACAACCTCTGCCTCTCTAGTTCAAGAGATTCTTCTGCCTCAGCCTCCCAAGTAGCTGGGATTACAGGCACCCACCACCACACCCAGCTAATTTTTGTATTTTTAGTAGAGATAGGGTTTCACCATGTTGGCCAGGCTGGTCTTGAACTCCTGACCTCAGGTGATCCGCCTGCCTCGGCCTCCCAAAGCCCTGGGATTACATACATGAGCCACTGTGCCCAGCCTATTTTCTATTTTCATAAGTTCTGTTACATTTATTAGCTGAACTTTTATTATAAGGAAGAGCTTCTCTTTCGTCCTCTGTTTATTTATATCAGAATGAACCCAGATTCTTTTTTTTTTTTTTTTTTGAGATGGAGTCTCACTCTGTCGCCCAGGCTGCAGTGCAGTGGCACGATCCCAGAGATTCTTATTTTATTGAATGGATTATAATCTAGAACACTTACTGTTTTGAAACCACTTTTTTTCTTTTTTAGTTTAGTCCCACAGTTAAATTGATTCAATGTTTACAGCCAGTCTGTTTACCATAACGTTACCGTTCATTTCTTGGTTGGCTGAAGTTTATCATCTAGTATTTCTTTAACAAGACCCTACGGGATTTACATTCTTTAAATTCTTAGCCACCTTACAATGGTCTTCTTTTTTTTCCTGTAACAGCTTTATTGAGTTATAATTCACATACCATGCAATTCATCCATTTAAAGTGTACAATTCAATGCTTTTTAGTATATCCACAGAGTTGTTCAACTATCAACACATTTTTAGGACTTTTTTATCACTTCCAAAAAGAACCCGTTACCCATAAGCAGTCACTCCTCATTTACCCCAGCCTTCACCTCCCCCCCAAATCTAGATAACAACTAATGTACGGTAACAACAAATGTACTGTACTTTCTGTCTCTACAGATTTGCCTATTCTGGACATTTCATGTAAATGGAATCATACAATATGTGGTCTTTTTGACTGACTTCTTTCACTTAGCACGTTTTCAAGTTTCACAAACGTGGTAGCGTGTATCAGTACTTCATTTATTTGTATGTTAAATAATATTCCATTATATGGATACACCACAGTTTATTTATCCAAAATGTGTATAAAGATTTGGGTTATTTCTACCTTTTTGGCTGTGATAAATAAGGTGATATAAACATTTGTGTACAAGTTTTTGTGTGGACATACACTTTCATTTGTCCTGGATACATACCTTGAAGTGGAACTGCTGGGTCATATGGCAATTCTGTGATTAACATTTTGAGTATCAACCAAATCAACCAAACTGTTTTCCAGAGTGGCTGCACCAGTTTACATTCTTACTAGCAATGCACAAGGTTCCAATCTCTCTCCATCCTTACCAACACTTATTATTATCTCCCTCTTTATTTTATATTATAGGCATTCTAGTGGATATAAAATGCCATTTCATTGTGATTTTGATTTGCTTTTCCCTGGTGTCCACTGAAGTTAAGCATCTTTTTATTTTTCTATTGGCTATTTGTATATTTTCTTTCTGTTTATTTATTTATTTAGACCGAGTCTTGCTCTGTCACCTAGGCTGGAGTGTAGTGGTGTGAACATGGCTCACTGCAATCTCAATCTCCTGGGCTCAAGCAATCCTCCCACCTCAGACTCCCAAGTAGCTGGGGCCACAGGCACGTGCCACCATGGTCAACCTTGTATATTTTCTTTGGAGAATGGTCTATTTCAATCTTTTGCCCATTTTTAAATTGGGTTATTCTTTCTTATTATTCTATTGTAAGAGTTCTTTACATATTCTAGATACAATTCCTTTGTTAGATATATGATTTGCAAATATTTTCTCCAATTTGTGGGTTGTCTTTTTACCTTCTTGATCATGTCCTTTGAAGCACAAAAAAATATTTAATTTGGATGAAGCCAATTTACCTGTTTTTCCTTTTGTTTCTTGGGTTTTGGTGTCATATGTAAACAATTATTGCCTAATCCAAGTTATGAAGACTTATGCCTATGTTTTCTTCTAGGAGTTTTATAGTTTTAGCTCTTAACATTTAATCTTTTAATGCATTTTGAATCAATTTTTTGTATACACTGTGAGGTAGGGGTCCAACTTCATTTTTAATATGTGGATATTCTATTTCTTCAACAAAATTTGTTTAAAAAATTGTTCTGGCACACTTACCGAAAATCAGTTAACTGTAAACTTGAAGGTTTGTTTCTGGACTTTCAATCCTATTACATTAATCTAAATGTCTATTCCTATGACAGTGCCAAAATGTTTTTTTTTTTTTTTTTTTGCCTTTATGCTTTAGCAAAAGTTGTGCTGGGTTTAAAATGATTGGGTCACTGTTTCTTATCTTGAAGATATTTGGTATAGCCCCACTGTCTCTAGCACTGAATATAGAGAAGCAAGCCTAAGGCCCATCCTGTAATTTTTATGCACAGGAACAACTTGATATTTTGATTCAATGACCAAGGAATTATTTCTTTATCCATAATGTGTACTATTTTTGTTCTTTTTTTTTTAATTGGATGATAGGGATGCGGGTGTCTGAACCTGGAATTGGAAACAGTTATATCCTTTGATAGTCCCTTTTGAGAATGATTTTTTTTTGTTTGTATGTTTGTTTTCTTTGTTTTGTTTTTGAGACATGATCTCGCTCTGTTGCCCAGGCTAGTACAGTGACACAATCACAGCTCACTGCAGCCTTGAGATTCTGGGCTCAGGTGATCCTTCTGTCTCAGCCTCCTGAGTAGCTGGGACTACAGATATGCACCACCACACCTGGCTAATATTTTTTTAATTTTTACTTTTGTAGAGACAAGGTCTCACTATGTTGTCCAGGCTGCTCTCAAACTCCTGGCCTCATGCCATCCTCCCATCTCAGCCTCCCAAAGTACTAGGATTACAGGCATGAGCCATCATGCCCAGCCATGTTTACTATTTCTTAGGAAATATTTTGGTGCTGATAGTTGCATGTCAGCTTTCCTGAGAGCCATGGTTTGCTGTTTCTGTTACATAGATTTAAACTTTTTATGGAAAATTTTCTTACAGTAAATCTTAAAATATATATTTTTGTTTTGTTATTTTAATCTTTTTCTTGGGGACAACAATTATGACATGTTGGAACTTTTTTTTTTACTTTATTCTCCGCATAGATAGATAGACAGATACATGATACATAGATATAGATTATATAGGTACTCTCTATATACATATATGAAATAGGTGTATAGGTGTTTGTTGGTTTGTTTGTTTGTTTGAGACAGGGTCTCACTCTGTCACCCAGGCTGAAGTGCAGTGGTACAATCATAGGTCACTGCAGTCTCAACCTCCCCAGGCTTAGGTGATCCTCCCACCTCAGCCTCCCGAGTAGTTGGGACTACAGGCACGCACCACCACACCTGGCTAATTTTTTTGTAGAGACAGGATCTTACCATATGGCCCAGGCTGGTCTCAAAGTGATCCACACACCTTGGCCTCCCAAAGTGCCAGGATTACAGGCGTGAGCCGCTGTACCCAGCTATTTTGCTTGCTGTTCTCAACTCTTTTCTTCATAATAATTCCTGTGCTTTCAGCTATGCTAATTCTTCTTTGTCCTTCCTTTAACACAGCTTATGTTTCTCAGTAGCTTTATCTTTCTCTTCTTCTTCCTGCTTGTTCACTACTTTCTTCCAGCTAACATTTCATCTCTGTTGTCTTGCCATATCTTCTCTGCATGCTGCTATTTCTGCTTGAGCTCTAGTTTCATAAATGCCTCTTTAAGCTTTTCTTTACTGAATGAAAGCCTGGTGATACTGGTCCTCTTGCCAAAGACCCTATTTTTCTCCATGCATTTCTCATTTGCCATTTCCCTCTGTCCCTTTCCTCCTGTTTTCTTTTATAGCTTCTATCTTGGTCTCTTTTATATTACAGTTTGTCTTTGACTGAAATGAGCTTTTTTTTTTTTTTCTGAATACAATTTATGGAAGCATCCTCCTGTGGTAGGAGGGCCAGGGGCTGTGATTCAGGCCAGAAGTTATTCCCCCTGCTTAGGACTCTTGATGCCCATGTGAGCAGACCCTGACTCTTCCAAGGCAGCAGGAGCCCTCGTGTTCCAGTCCCTGTGACTCACCCTGCCTCGGGGATGGACTTCTTCCTATAATGAGGATGCACTTGTCACAGAGATGTTCATTTTTTAGTGTTCTTAAGCAGACACAGAAAATGAGTCTAACAATATGACATCTGTGGCTGTCTCTGCAGCATGTGTTATATGATGCTTTTATTCTTTTTGGTTGGCTTGTTGGACTTTTCTATATTTTCTTTTTTTTTTTTTTTTTTTTTTTGAGACAGGTTCTCACTCTGTAACCCAGGCTGGAGTGCAGTGGCATGATCTTAGCTCACTACAACCACTGCTTCCAGGGTTCAAGTGATTCTTCTGCCTCAGCCTCCCGAGTAGCTGGAACTACAGGTGCTCGCCACCAAGCCTGGCTAATTTTTGTATTTTTAGTAGAGATGGAGTTTCACTATGATGGCCAGGCTTGTCTCTAACTCTTGGCCTCAAGTGATCTTCCCGCCTTGGCCTCCTGAAGTGCTGGGATTACAGGCATGAGCCACTGCACCCAGCCTATATTTTCATTTTTAACAAAAATGTATATTCCTTCTATAATCATAAAATCAATACATTTTATTAAAAATGGAAGCTTGATCGGTACAAAAATAGAAAGACTAAGAATTGTTATGTGAGAGCACAACAGGGTGACTATAGTGAACAGTAACTTAATTTTACTTTTTTTATTAGTTTATTTTTATTTTTATTAATTAATTAATTTATTCATTTGAACTTTTATTTTTAAGTTCAGGGGTACAAGTGTAGGTTTGTTACCTAGATAAACCTGTGTTGTGGGGGTTTGTTATACATATCATTTCATCGCCCAGGTATTAAGCCTAGTACCCATTAGTTATTTCTCCTGATCCTCTTCCTCCTCCCACCCTCCACCCTCTGAAAGGCCCCAGGATGTGTAGTTTCCCCCTATGTGTCCATGTGTTCTTACCATTTAGCTCCTACTTGTAAGTGAGAATATACAGTATTTAGTTTTCCATTCCTGCGTTAGTTTGCTAAGGATAATAGCCTCCAGCTCCATCCATGTCCCTACAAAGGACATAAGCTTGTCCTTTTTTATGGCTGCATAGTATTCCGTAGCATGTATGTGCCACATTGTTTTTATCCAGTCTATCATTAATGGACATTTATGTTGATTCCATGCCTTTGCTATTGTGAATAGTGCTGCAGTGAACATATGCATGCGTGTGCCTCTACAATAGAAAGATTTATATTCCTCTGGGTATGTACCCAGTAATGGGATTGTTGGGTCAAATTATATTTCTGTCTTTAAGTTTCTAAGGAATTGCCACACTGTCTTCCACAATGGCTGAACTAATTTATAGTCCCTTAATTTTACATTTTAAAATAACTTAAAGAGGGTAGTTTGATTGTAACTCAAAGGATAAGTGCTTGAGGGATGGATACCCTATTCTCCATGATGCACTTATTTCACATTGCATGCCTCTATCAAAACATCTCATGTACCCCATACACATATACACCTACTATGTTCTCACAAAAATTAAAAATTAAAAATAACATAAACATAAATAAAGCTGATGATCCTCCCTTGTCCCCTCAAAAAGCGGAAGTTTGCACAGCTACAGTGGAATGATTGACAGACTTGGGTGAGTGGGAAAGTCGGAGCTACAAGCCTATGCCTCTGAAGCACTCATAGACAATGATGGGAAAATCGGAGTCATAGAGCTCAGACCTGGTAATGCAAGATAAGCCACTGCAGTTAAAGAAATCACTGGACTAAGGAAAAAAAAAAAGAAATCCCGACTTGATGCTGGACAGGGAAAATCTTATACATCCGGATTATTATCATAATATCGATAATTCCCAGGTGAGAGGAAGCTGGAACTCGGAGAGGTTTGGTTAATTTCCCCAAGACTCTCTCTCTATTGTAAAGATGTCAATTACATCCTGCTTTTCTAATTCCATATCCTCAGGCCTTTCTACTCCTTCTTGCCTACTTATTAGCTCTCCAGCTGGGGTGACTCAGTATATGGTGGTGCTATTATCCAAGAGAGGGAAGACCGAGGAGGGAGAGATAATGAGCTCTGTTTTGGACAGGATGAGTTACTGTGAATGTCATGCTTGCAGCTCTGCTGCAGGAATAACATGAAGGGAGAGGCATCATTTTATGTGAAAGCCCACTGTTTCTGTCACCTCGTTCCTGTCAGTCAAATGAGGAAAGAAAATCATGTTTCTAGAACCCTGCTGGTGGCTGTCTTTCTCCCAGGATGAAATCACCTAGTGAGGATGACATTGGCAATCAGGCTCTGACAGCACCTTCTCTGAGTCATCCATGAGCCAAATAGCATCAGGATCATTTCTCGGCATCCACCCTCCTCCCAGCTCTTGGACAGGGGCATTCCTGGCACCCTTGGGTTGGAGGTGGAATGGGAGAGCAATGACAGCCTTATTGAATTATCCCCGAACCTTACAGATTCAGCTTCCCTGTTGTCGCCCTAAGCAGCTAGCCTTATGGGAATTTTACCAGGGCTGAGTTTTTTCCTTAAGGTTCACAAACACAGCATCTGGAATAATTCTCTGTTTTTGCACACAGATCATTTTGCCAAGACTGATTATGAAGCTTCCAAAAACAACCACCACAACAAAAATATATCCAGCCAAACTAATGCAACCTGTGTGTGATACACTTTTTGCCCAAGAGCCAGTTGTTGAACTTCAAGCCTATTTTTTTTAAGCGTATCTATATGGAAAACAATAGTAGTGTACTATTGTATTTCCAGTTGAGATTGTATTATATGCCTGTATCCTGTATATTTTTATTTTTGTATCAGATGGGGATTCGAACTCACACTCTGCCACTTTTCGGTTCTGTTCCCCTGGGTAAGTAAGTTAGTTTCTAAACCTTAATTCCCTCATGTATAAAATCGTTATAACGATATCAATTTTACTCTTGTAAGGATCCTATTAAACGAGATAATGCATAGAAAACATTAGCACAAATCTTGGAGCATCGCAAGTGCAAAATAAATAGCAGCTATTATCAATATTCTTCTGCAAAAGACAATATTGACAAAATTTACCCCAATTGTGTATATAAGATGCTCTTTCTTTTTTTCTTTTTTCTTTTCTTTTTTTTTTCTGAGGCAGAGTCTCACTCTGTCACCCAGGCTGGAGTGCAGTGGCACCATCTCTGCTCACTGCAAGCTCCACATCCTGGGTTCACACCATTCTCTGCCTCAGCCTCCCAAGTAGCTAGAACTACAGGCGCCCACCACCACGCCCGGCTAATTTTTTGTATTTTTTAGTAGAGATGGGGTTTCACTGTGTTAGCCAGGATGGTCTCGATCTCCTGACCTCATGATCTGCCCGCCTCAGCCTCCCAAAGTGCTGGGATTACAGGCGTGAGCCACCACGCCTGGCCCATATGATGGTCTTTCATGAGGACATTGCCTTGTACACAATTCCAGTGTGGTTTTTGTGTTTAAGAATGAATGTGGCTGCCATGATGCATTTCAAGGCCTTCTTGGGTCTTCCTCTATGACTGCACAGAACTCCCTACTCCAGCATTTATGCAAGTAGAGTCTGTTATCAACATACAACAATAGCAGTGTCTATCAACTCTAGATAGTAAAAAAAAAAAAAAAAAGAGAGAGAGAGCAGAGATCACTTTTTGTTTTATGTCCCAATGTGTCCCAAGCATCTGGTACATAGTAGGATCCTAAAGATTGAATAAATAAATCACCTTCTATAAGCCAAACACCATGCAAGAGGCTTTGCCGCTCTGCTTCTGTAGAGGAGTCAGAGATCCCCTCCAACACACATTTAGCTCTTAGCCGGTGGGCTTTATAGTTGGATCTAGAAACCAAACTGACATCAGGCAGATTAACAAGAGCAAACTATATAAATTTTCTTAGTTTTATGCGTACATGGGGATCTTCACAAGAGAGTGAAGACCAAAGAAGTGGCGAAAGCAAGATGCTTTTGTACTATTTAGACAAAGAATAATAAAATTGAGAAGAAATGGCAAGACAAAAGAAAATCTGGCTGGGGGCAGTACATTTTCTGGAGGAGTTACTAGGAGATGTATAGGGGAGTGAAAAAGAGGTTGAAGATAAGGGTTACATTTTTTTTTTTTAAGACTGAATCTTGCTCTGTCGCCCAGGCTGGAGTGCAGTGGTGTGATCTCAGCTCACTGCAACCTCTGCCCGCCAGGTTCAAGCGATTCTCATGCCTCAGCCTCCAGAGTAGCTGAGACCACAGGCACGTGCCACCACAACTGTCTAATTTTTGTGTGTGTTTTTAGTAGAGATGGAGGCAACATGGGTTACATAATTAAGTACGTTTATTCAGGTCCTTTGAAGCTTTCCATCCCAAGTCTCTGGTGATAGAGCTATTTTCTCACCTGGTGTGAGAAATCTTTCACACTTGCTACATGTAGGAAGAGACAGGCCAGCCAGCCCTTTCTGAAACTACAATTTCTCTAATGTTTTCAACTTGAAATAATCAAGATCCTAATCTGGTATGTTTTGAGATGGCACACGCTTCACTCCTTTATGTCCTTTAATTTTCCTCTATCTCCTTGAAAACTAACTGATTCTTGTATCAGGACAGGCTAACTTGTGCTATGGTAACGAACAACCCTCCAATCTTAGCAACTTACAACAACAGATTCTTACTCACACCACATCTCTAACTGTTGATCAGCTGATAGCTTAGCTCCCAGGTTTCCTGACCCTAAGACCCAGGAAATGGAGCAGCCACTCTTGCTAGTATCAGGGATGCAGAGAGAGAGAGACAGAGAGAGCAGGTGAATAACAAGCTGTCTCTCAGCTCACAGCCAGAAGTGACACGTGTCTGTTGCACCTCCATTTCTTTGGCCTAGCATGTCATCTGGCCATGCCTAATATCAAAGGGGATGGGATAAGGGAAATGGCATTCTGTTAAGCTCCTGGAAGAAGAAATAGAATTTCTGTGAAGAGTCCTTGCTTCCTCACAAGGGAAACTGAGGTTCTCGGTTAAGTCACTCCGCCAGTTGTTCAGGAATTGAATATTGATCTGACTCCAAGGCACCAGTGTACAATTTGTCTTTTTGGTCAGCTTGCTTCTCATGTCTTCATGGTGCCCGATAAGGAGATCTGCTTTTTCCTAGACCTGAATAGTCTGACTAAACAAAACCAGGTTGCCATTTCCTATAAATATCAAATTCCAGGGAATTGTCTCCTAGGCAAGAGGGATCTCTCCAGAACCACAGGAATTGCTAGTTGGGAAGGCCCCAGGTAACACCAAGAAGCTTGCCTTTGTCACTCGGATGTGGCCCAGATTTCCAAGCTGTCGAGCTCCAAGTGCCAAATGATATCAGGATTCGTTGTGGAGAAGCTGTCCTTGTAATCCCGGGAGATAATCTCTATTATCTAAGAGAGGAAGGGAGCTTGCCAGAGATAAAAATGCTCACACAAGGCCAAAATTCCCCCGAAAGTAAGTTTAAAGGGACAGTGGTGACAGAACAAAGTTTTCACATGACCACAAGACCACTTAATCCAATCCCAAGCCTCCATTTCCAAAATGGCTGGCTGGCTCAGCTTTCTGCCCTACAAAATCAAAAGGCAAATATTGTTACTGGTGCTCCAATTTCAGCAAACTCTTAGAATATTTCTACTTATATAAATGTAATGGAGGAGGAAAAAGTGTATACCTTCTTTTCTTTCTAAAACAATCACTTAGTAACTCATTACTCATCAGCTGACATTTGGAAATAGCATGGTAGCCTGAAGTCAAATCTTTTTTCGTTTCTTCAATCACTCTCCTTCACTTACAGAGTGAGTCTCAGTTGTATTTTTTAAGCAGACTGTGGAAACTCACAATTCACAGGTCATGAATTGTTGGTTTCAGCATCATCAGCTACTGAAACCTTATTCAAACCACTTATAATAATATGAGTATTGGTTGGTGTTTTTAGCCTTTTATGTTGCCCAGCCATCTCTTATGCATTAGAGTATCAGGCTGGGCACAGTGGCTCACTCCTGTAATCCCAACACTTTGGGAGGCCGAGGCAGGCAGATCACTTGAGGTCAGGAGTTCCAGACCAGCCTGACCAACATGGACAAACCCCGTCTCTACTAAAAATACAAAATCAGCCAGGCGTGGTGGCGCACGCCTGTAATCCCAGCTACTTGGGAGGCTGAGGCAGGAGAATCGCTTGAACCCGGGAGGCAGAGGTTGTGGTGAGCCGAGATCGCTCCATTGCACTCGAGCCTGGGCAACAAGAGCGAAACTCTGTCGCCAAAAAAAAAAAAAAAAAAAAAAAAGTGTAAGTTTAATAGGCGAGAGAAAGAGAAAAAGCTCTCTGCCCTGCAGAGATGGAGGGGCTCCTAAGTGGGTCTTCCAGTTCCATGGTGAAATGCACGGGGTTTTATAGACTAGCTTGAGGAGGTGGTGTCTGATTTACATAGGGCCCAAAAGATTGGTTGGACGAGTTGTGCCATTTACATAGCGTGTGAAGAAGCTGGCCATCCCATCCTCATCCTGCATTATGAATATGGGGTCTCTACCTGGCTGGCGCCATGTTGCCTGTTCCTTTACTGTACACAAGGTTGACAAAGAAGAGAGAAGATGGAGCCGCCATGTTGAACATGCCTGGCCCCCAGGTAGCTTTTTCCGATTGGCACAGCTGCCAGCATTTCACCCGTGCAAGCTTCCAGCTTGCTTATCTATGTCAGCAGCTCGATTTTACAGGCTGCTTTTTGTTAGAGAAGAAAAGATTTGGCCGGGTGTGGTGGCTGAAGCCTGTAATCCCAGCACTTTGAGAGGACAAGGCCGGCGGATCATGAGGTCAGGAGATCGAGACCATTCTGGTCAACATGGTGAACCTCTGTCTCTACTAAAAATACAAAAATTAGCTGAGTGTGGTGGCACGTGCCTGTAATCTCAGCTACATGGGAGGCTAAGGCAGGAGAATGGCTTGAACCCAGGAGGCAGAGGTTGCAGTGAGCCGAGATTGCACCACTGCATTCCAGCCTGGCAACAGAGCAAGACTGTCTTTCAAAAAAAAAAAAGAAAGAAAGAAAGAAATGATTTGTGGTGAAACCCCATCTCTAATAAATATACAAAAAAAAAAAAAATAGCTGGGTGTGGTGGCGGGCACCTGTAATCCCAACTACTTGGGAGGCTGAGGCAGAAGAATTGCTTGAATCCTGGAGGCAGAGGTTGCAATGAGCTGAGATCATGCCATTGCAGTAAAGCCCGGGTGACAGAGCGAGACTCGTCTCAAAAAAAAAAAAAAAAAAGAAAGAAATAATTTGAGGGTTGCTTTTTATTAAAATGGAAACCTTACGAAGGACTTACTTACCCTCACTAACTGCCTAAATGATTTTTTTTAGCTCCCGTGTCTCTACTGACTGCTCACACCATGCTTACGTGAGTCATCTACAAGAGGGCACTAACCTGCCCTTAAACTCTGAATTTTCTGACATTGACGACATGCCTGTCCTCCCACATCCACCTATCTCCAGGTCTCTGACATTTACCTTTCTCATTGGCATGCAAGAAAATGATTGCCCTTACTTATTATTTATGTTAGTATCAGGGGTAAAATGAGGTGGTACTTGGCACCCATAGCTGAGTCACTTTGACCATCAGAGACACAGTTTTAATGAGATTGGCTGTGTAAGGCTATGACGTGGAAGGTGAATCTCTAAAGTTCTGGGATAATTCAATAAGGTTGTCACTGCTCTTCCACCCCAGCTTCATCCCCCAAAGTGCTTGGAATGCCCCCATCCAAGAGCCAGGAGCAGGGTGGACGTCAAAAAATAATCCTGATGCTATTTGGCTCATGTATGATTCAGAGCAGGTGCTGTCAGAGCCCTAATTTCCCTTGTTTTTGAACTATCATGTCATACTCCTTCGTGCATAACATTTTATCTCTCAGGATCTTCCTTCTTTCCCCCCATAAATAACTTTCCATTGCTTTCCCACCCGTAATGTGGACTATTTAGAACCTCCCCTCCTCTTGCTCTTTCACCCAGGCTGAAGTGCTGTGGTGTGATCTTAGCTCACTGCAGGCTCAAACTCCTGGGCTTGAGTAATCCTCTCACCATAGCCTCCCAAGTAGCCGGGACTACAGGTGTGTACTACCATACTCAGCTAATTTTTTCATTTTTATTTTTGTAGATACAGGGGGTCTCACTATGTTGCCCAGGCTGGTCTCGAACTCCTGGCCCCAAGTGATCTTCCCACGTCGGCCTCCTGAAATACAGGGACTACAGGCATGAGCCACCATGCCTGGCCTTAAATCTGCATTTTGTATTTTCTTCCCATTATATGGTTTGCCTCTACTGGAGACAGTCAGGCAGGATTTCCACTGTAGAAGAGGGACTTCCATAGAGTCAGCTTCCAGATCCACAGGGCATAGATTTGCAGCTCAGATCAGAAAGCAGGCTGACAGGGAATGAGGAGTGAGGAAGGATTGAGATGGGAAGTTATATTAGAATCTTCCTTTTTGGCTCTTTCCAGTGTCTGGATAACTTTTTGTGCTAGCCAGGATGACAGACTTCCCGAGAAAAGAAAGAACAGTGGAGCATGAAGGTAGACTAGTTGCTTCCTGCCTCAGTTTCCATTTTATGCCAATGTTAGTGTTACTGGTGGAGGGTGTCCAGGTTCTTGACCTCTTGAACAAGGAATTGGACAAAACGCACAAACAGAACAAGGAAAGAATGAAGCAATAAAAGTAGAGATTTATTAAAAATGAAAATATGCTCCACAGGGTGGGAGCGGGTCCAAGCACAGGGGCTCAAGATCCCCGTTATCCAGAATTTTCTGGGGTTTAAATATACTCTCGAGGTTCCCATTGGTTACCTGGGGTATGCCCTGTGTAAATGAAGAGAATGAAGTAAAGTTACAAAGCTGGCCGAGTGCGGTGGCTCATGCCTGTAATCCTAGCACTTTGGGAGCCAGAGGCAGGCAGATCACCTGAGATGGAGAGTTCGAGACCAGCCTGACCGACATGGAGAAAACTTTTCTTTACTAAAAATACAAAATTAGCTGGGCGTGGTGGCACATGCCTGTGATTCCAGCTATTCAGGAGGCTGAGGCAGGAGAATCGCTTGAACCTGGGAGGCAGAGGTTGTGGTGAGCCAAGATCGTGCCATTGCACTCCAGCCTGGGCAACAAGAGCGAAAATCTACCTCAAAAAAAAAATGTTACACAGTCATTTACTTAGTGTACGTCCTGTGAAAATGGAGAGGATATTTCCTGTCATAGCTGAAGTGTTTCTATTTGATTTAGTTCTAGGAAGTCCCCATGAGTCAGCCTTATGTTACCTGCCTCCAAACCCTATTCTCCTGCCTCAATAGTGTTTGGTTTCAAATTGAGAATGAGGTAAATCTGCATATGCTGCTATTTTCAAGGAAATAAAGAGAATCTGTACTGTGGATTATCCAGGGTACTCACAGGGGCCAGAGTGAGTGCTGCAACAATATTCCTACAAAGGGGATCTGTCGTGCTGAATCGCCCCCTGTAAAGGAGGTAAAGGAAAGAGAGTTTCAAAAGCACCATTCAGAATTTTAAAAAGTGCTCCCTGCTTTTGGGAGACACTGGGGAACTGATACCTGAGAATGTTAAAGTGCTTTGTGAATGGAGTCAGACTCGTAACCCAAGATACTGGAGGGAAGGGCTGACCACCTGCCCTGAGGGTAGAGCCTGGGGACGATGGACTTGGGATTGGCCAGCAAAGGGTCTGCCAAGCACAGGGAAGACGAGTGTTTCCTGTGGCGCACACGTGGCCAGTACTGCAGATAGAGCAGCTGTGGGTCATCTTGGGTCCTTTTCAATAAGGCTGTCCCAAGGGGCAAAGAGATTCCAGCGAAAAGAGGCTGGAGAATAACAGTTGCACACACAGGGCTGAAGAAATACTTGTAAGTCATGACCTACTAGGTG
This sequence comes from Homo sapiens, assembly GCF_000001405.40. Classification (NCBI taxonomy): domain Eukaryota; kingdom Metazoa; phylum Chordata; class Mammalia; order Primates; family Hominidae; genus Homo; species Homo sapiens. Next base: position 68,314,647 of record NC_000007.14, read on the forward strand.
CCTAGACCCCAGGTGGACTTTTCCTATTGGCACAGCTGCCAGCATTCATTCACCTGTGCAAGCTTCCAGCTTGCTTTTCTATGTCTGCAGCTTAATTTTACAGGTTGCTCTTTGTTAGAAAAGAAATGATTTGGGGGCTGCTTTTATTTTTTTAAAGGAAAACCTTACTGAGGGCTATCTTACCCTCACTATCTGCCTAAATAATTTCTTTTTAGCTCCTGTATCAGAATCAAACCACCATCCATAGCCAACTTTCCCAGGAGACACTAGGAAGACACAGAAGTCAAACTGGGTGAAGATAATGTTTAGATAGAGCTTTACTTTGGGCAACTGAACACAGAAAACTTTAACTGTGGCTACCTTTCATCACCGGAAGATTTATTACATTCTATAAATTTGCCTGGAAAAAAGCAGGTTGAAAATATATGAACGCCATTAAATTTAGTGGAGTGGAAAACTTCCCTGAAGAGGAGATTGGTGGCCGGGCGTGGTGGCTCACGCCTGTAATCCCAGCACTTTGGGAGGCTGAGGCAGTTGGATCACCTGAGGTCGGGAGTTCAAGACCAGACTGACCAACATGGAGAAACCCTGTCTCTACTAAAAATACAAAATTAGCTGGGCGTGGTGGCGCATGCTTGTAATCCCAGCTACTCGGGAGGCTGAGGCAGGAGAATCGCTTGAACCCAGGAGGCAGAGGTTGTGGTGAGCCGAGATCGCGCCATTGCACTCCAGCCTGGGCAACAAGATCGAAAATCTGTCTCAAAAACAAAAACAAAAAACAAACAAAAAGAACAAAACAAGAGTAGAGTGGCTTCAAGGGTTTGTGCTAAATAAAGGAGAATTTAAATGTGCTTATTTGGGGGTTTGGTTTTCTTTAAAAGGGGACCTTGTCTACTCCTCCCTCGTTGCTACCCTACAAACTAGCGTCAACCTATATAGTCTTGTTACCAGAAAGGAGTCCTGATCCAGACCCCAAGATGAGGGTTCTTGGATCTCAGGCAAGAAGGAATTTGGGGTGAGTCCATACAGTAAAGTGAAAGCAAGTTTATTAAGAAAGTAAAGGAATAAAAAAATGCCTACTTCATTGGCAGAGCAGTGGCATGGACTGCTTAACTAAGGACGCTTATAGTTATTTCTTGATTATATGCTAAACAAGGGGTGAATTACTTATGAAGTTTCTGGGAATGGGGTGGGCAATTACTGAAACTGAGGCTTCTTCCCCTTTTTAGACCATATAGGGTAACTCCCAGACATTGCCATTTGTAAACTGTCTTGGCATTTGTAAACTGTCTTTGGTGCCGGTGGGAATGTCTTTTAGCATGCGAATGCACTATAATTAATGTATAATGAGCAGTGAGGATGACCAGCAGTCACTTTTGTCGCCATCTTGGTTTTGGTGGGTCTTGGCTGGCTTCTTTACGGCACCCTGTTTTATCAGCAAGGTCTTTGTGACCTGTATCTTGTGCCAACCTCCTATCTCTTCCTGTGACTAAGAATGCCCCTATTCAAGATGGAGTTGCTGTGGTTCAAATGCCTCTGACAGTGTCACTGAAGAGATGATTTGACTTAAGTTGAAAAACAGGTACATAGTATTGATTGAAGATGTAGGGACAATGCCTGGGTTTAGGTGCCAGCACGGTGTAGTCAGCCTTACCATCTCATTCCCTGCCTTCTGGGTGGGGAAGTGAGTCCAGCAAGGCCAAATGCCCCCCACATTTGTGCATCTTCTTGGAAATTTCCACTTTATCACGGGAGGCATGTATTTCAAGTTGCACCAGCTGTGTTCTGGGCAACTCTTTGGATGCCTTCTTTTATAAAGTGGCATTGAGAAGTTGAGAGGATGCTGAGATAGCAATTTGCAAACTTGGTTCAAATTTTGACTCTGTGGCTAGCTCTATGAGCTGAGTATGTCACCTAATGGTGCTAGGTCTCTGCATGATCAACTCTAAAACCATGAAGGGTTGTTCTGAGGATTCAATAAAACCATGTCCAGTCCTCCCTTGATATACATGGGGGATTGATTGCTTTCAGGACCCCTGTCTTCCACCTTCTAGTCCCCACCCACCTCGGATACCAAAATCCAAGTATGCTGAAGTCCCTTATGCTACAGAATGGTGTAGTAGTTGTGTATAACCTACGTACAACCTGTTGTACACTTTCAATTTTATCTTTAGATTGCTTCTAATACCTTATACAATGTAAATGCTATGTAAATGGTTGTTATACTGTATAGATTTTTTAATTTGTATTTTTTTATTGACTTTTGTTCAGTTTTTTTCTTTTTTTTTTTGTTTTTTTGATAGAGACTGAGTATCTCTCTGTCTCCCGCTGGAGTGCAGTGGTCCCATCATAGCTCACTGCAGCCTCAAACTCCTGGGGTCAAGTGATCCTTCCCACCTCAGCCTCCTGAGTTGCTGAGATCACAAGCACAAGCCTCCCACATATTTTTAATCCTTGGTTGGTTGAATCCATGGATGTAGAACCCACAAATACAAAGAGCCAATTGTATGTAAAAATCTTTTGCATAATGCTTGACACATAGCCAGTCCTTGATAAATGATAGTTGAGTATTATGAGTCTATTTTGATAATAAAACAATAACCCTGGGAGTTCACTACTAAGATATTATAGCTCACAAAGTCAATAAATAATAATAATAATAATAATTGTTATTTTGAGACAGAGTCTTGGTCTGTTGCCCAGGTTGGAGTGCAGTGGCACAATCTTGGCTCACTGCAACCTTCACCTCCCAGGTTCAAGTGATTCTCGTGCCTCAGTCTCCCACTCAATAAATAATTCTTGAATAGGACTCAATCAATGGCTGCGAGTTAATGGACAATCAATGCTCAGCTTACTTGAAGTCCAGGTAGCACTGAGTGTGGTTGCAAAGGGAAAACTTAATATTCAGCCTATTCCAGAATGCTTACATGATCATGCGTTTCTAAACACTAAAACTGAAGAAGACTTTTGGACATTCTGTCTCTGCCTTTCCACTCCCTTTTACCTGGCTGCCAGCCTACTTAAACATTCTTCTACTTCTCATTGGTTTGTTCCAGTGAAAAGGTTTGTTGAGTAAGCCACTGAAATTTTTAAAGCCATGTTGGAAATACCTAAGTAAGCAGAGCACAGCTTTACAAACAGAGGATATTAAAGAGATAAATTGTGGATTGAAAGAGATAAAGATGTGCTACATGGCCGTGTGTGGTGGCTCACGCCTGTAATCCCAGCACTTCGGGAGGCCGAGGCAGGGGGATCATGAAGTCAGGAGTTCGAGACCAGCCTGGCCAACATAGTGAAACCCCATCTCTACTAAAAATACAAAAAATTAGCCGGATGTGGTGGCAGGCACTTGTAATCCCAGCTACTCAGGAGGCTGAGGCAGGAGAATTGCTCGAACCCGGGAGACGGAGGTTGCAGTGAGCCAAGATTGCACCATTGCACTCCAGCCTGGGTGACAGAGTGAGACTCCAACTCAAAAAAAAAAAATGTGGTACATATACACCATGGAATACCTTGCAGCCATAAGGAACAAGATTATGTCCTTTGCAGGGGACGTGGATGGATTTGGAAGCTGTTATCCTCAGGAAACTAACACAGGAACAGAAAACCAAACACCACAGGTTCTCACTCATAAGTGGGAGCTGAACAATGAGAACACATGGACTCAGGAGGGGAACGACACACACTGGGGCCTGTCAGGGAGGGGGAGTGGTGGTGGAGGGAAGGACATCGTCAGGACAAGGACAAATAGCTAATGCATGCAGGGATTAATACCTAGGCGATTCGTTGACGGTTGCAGCAAACCACCATGGCATACATTTACCTATGTAACAAAACTGCACGTCCTGCACATGTACCCTGGAACTTAAAATAAAATTAAAAAAAAAAAAAGGAGAGAGAGAGAGAGTGGCCAATAAAAAGTATGTGAAGCATTGCATGGAGCCAGTAGCTCTTTAAGGCATCTCGAGTTCTTCACATGCCACATAAGCCTTCCAATAGGTACAATGTGTTGTCCCTGGAAGTTCCCAAAATGCTCTTCGTGGAATGGGTTAACCCCTTCTCTGCCAAGAATTCTCACTCAGGAGGAGCAAATGTTCACTGAACTGCCTGCCAAATGACTCAGTGTCATGATTTCGAGTCCTTCCCACCCTGGTGTCTCTCTCCTGTAGCCTCCTGAGCTTTCCCATGTTCCTCTTTCTCTTCCTTTGATGGGAGCACCAGGCTGTGTTAATGGGGCTAGGGTTCCCGTAGGCTTCTATGGCACCCGGGTGAGTCTTGTTAAGCCTGTGGCCCATGTTCCCATCCCAACTTATTTATGTGAACAACCCTTCTCTTGAAACACTTAAAAGCAGATATTTAGTTTTATCGCCATTACAACAACACCATTTTATGACTGCCCACCAAATTCCAGATTCTGTATTAAAGGTTTCACATGTATTACCTTGTTTAATCCTCAAACCAGGAATTAGCAAACTCTTTCCATAAAGGGCCTGATAGTAACTCTTTGAGGCTTTGCAGGCCATCTGGCCCCTGTCTTAGCTGCTCAGTTCTGCCACTGAAGCATAAAAATAGCCATAGACAACATGTAAATAAGTGAGGTTGGCTGTGTTCCCATAAAACTTTATGTAGAAAAACAGGCTGCAGGGGTGAGCTTGCACATAGGTGGCAGTTGGCTGACCCCTGCTCTAAACACCCATGGAAGTAAGCAGGTTGTTAATACCCATTTCACAGATGAGTAAATGAAGCATACAGGAGATCAAGCAACTTTGCAAAGATTGGAAGGATTGTAAATGGCAACCCAGGGTCTGTGTGATACCAGGTCCTATGTAAACACTATGTCCTAGCGGCTGCAAATGAAAAATACATGAGGCTTAGAAAACAGAGAGAAGGAGGACAGGCACTTTCTCCAGCAGCCTGCCCCTTCCTCATGACCACAAGCTTCCCCCTGAGTTCTGCACCAGCAACTCACCTTTCCTTGTGGGCTGGGATCTTGCTCATGGCAGCAGTTGCTTGTAGTGCTCTGATGTGATTGTGAGGTAGGCAGGTTGACTATTGTTCTCTATTCTGTACTAGAATGCAACTTCCAGGAGCTCTCTAGATAAAGACAATAGCTATTTCTTACTTTTCCAGGAATGTAAATAATATTTATTGCCACATGTGTTAATGGCATTTACTGATTGAATAATGAAATTATTCAGTGTGTGTGTCTCTAGCATGTGTCTATATGCCAGACTAATATATATTATATATTATATAATTATTATTATGATATAATTATTACATATTATATTATATAAAATAATACAATTATTATATAGCATATAAAATAATATAATTATTATATAGTATATAAAATGTATAATCATTATATATTATATTATATAAAATGATATAATCATTATATATTATATAAAATGATATAATCATTATATATTATATAAAATGATATAATCATTATATATTATATTATATAAAATGATATAATCATTATATATTATATTATATAAAATGATATAATCATTATATATCATAAAATGATATCATTATATAGTATATAAAATGATATAATCATTATATAGTATATAAAATGATATAATCATTATATAGTATATAAAATGATATAATCATTATATAGTATATAAAATGATATAATCATTATATAGTATATAAAATGATATAATCATTATATAGTATATAAAATGATATAATCATTATATAGTATATAAAATGATATAATCATTATATTGTATATAAATAATGTAATTATTATATAGTATATAAATAATGTAATTATTATTATGTATTATATATTATATAAATAATATTATTATTGTATAGTAGATCATATATTATATGAGGTAATATAATAATTATATATTATATATAATATAATTATAGATTATTATCTATTGTCTATTATATATACTATAATTATTATATATTACTATAAAATATGTATTATGCATTATCTATTACTAAATTATCATATTTTATCTATTATATCATAAAGTCAATAATTCTTTTTTGAGACAGTCTTGTATATACAAGACTGTATATACAGCTGTATATGCTGTATATACAAGACTGTATATACAGCTGTATATGCTGTATATACAAGACTGTATATACAGCTGTATATGCTGTATATACAAGACAGAGTCTTGTATGTATAATACATACTATATTATATATTATATTATATAGTGCACTAAGTACTGGAAATATACCATGAAACAGTAAAAATGACAGGTCCTGGTATTAGCCCTGTTGAAATGATCATCTTCACATGTGTGTGACATTTTCACTTAGGTCTCTACAGTTTATCTGGTTCCTGTTTGAATTATTCTGATGGACTCTTACAACCTGAGATCAATATTATTAATTCCACGTTAAGGGTGGAAAAGCTCAGGCTGAGAGTTGCACAGAGTTGCAGAAGGTCATACAATGACAACGTCGGTGCTTAAGCTTAGTCACTGGCTGGGGGCCTCTGTCTCCTGACCCCCACACCCTTTCCTACCACACCTTGCTGCTCCACTATTACACAGCAATGCCCTGGGCCATTCTCCCTCACCACCTCCAGCTGGCAGCATCTTTGTCTGAACTTTATTTAACCTGGCTCCCTTCCAGGCCCTCTGGCAGCTGTCCCATTTCTCCTTTGCTATCTGCCCAGCATCTCCCAGGTTCGTTTCTTAAGCTCTTATCCTTCTTTGACAGCCAAATGCCCTCTATTTTGTTTTCTCCCTTGGGCACACTCATAGGATGGAGAAAAGCCGAGAGATTGTTCACTTTCTTAACAGGAGCTGCTTTCAATTCAGCCACAGCTGCTATACCTTTCAGAAGTGAGATGGATCCCAAGACAGATGGCTCAGCAGTGACTATTTTAAGCCCCAGAGTCACAAGAACAGATCCAAAATAACTCAGTCCAGCAGGGGTCAAATGCAGAGCAGAGCTTGCTGGCTTTAAAGAAAGCATGACCCTAGATCTTTGAAGTCACTGAGTTAAGTCAGCACTGGTGTTTTCTAGTTAATAAGACTTTTTCAGCACAGTTTTCTGTGCTGATGTTTCAGGACAGACTCGCTCCTATGTCTGAAAAAATCTTCCTCTGATACTTAAAAGCTCTTATTTGAATATTTTTTGCTGCTATCAAGATTTGTACCAGGGGATGTTCTGTTTACCCTTATGCATCAATGAGAAAATTGCAACAATAACACCGTGTAAGAAAATATCTCATAATTCAGTGACTTTCAGCAACACTGATTCTTTTTCACATGCCTGGACTTGGCTTGGGGTCAGCTGATCTGGACTCAGCTTGGCTGATCTTGGCTCCAAGTTGTAGATTTGCTTCTGTTGCCTTACTTAGCTGTCATCCTCCTTGGATCAGCTGCAGGCTATACCGAACGTGTTCCCGTGGTTGTGGTGGAAATGCAAGAGGGAAAGTTAAACTACACATGCATGTTTCCAGCTCTTGTTGGCATGTGTCTGCTAACAACACATTGGTCAAAGCAATTTACATGGCCATGCCCTCTATCAATGGGGCAGGAAAGATACTCTACCCAAAGTGGAGGTGGGGAGGAACTGCAAAATCACATGCTGAAGGTTGAGGCTAGGAGAGGAGTGAATCATGGGAGCCACAATGCTATTCATCATGCCCGGGTGGCAGAGCACCTGGAGAAGAAGGCTATCTAGAGGGCAACAGAGAAATCAGGTGATTCTTTTCCCTTCTAGCAGCTGTGGCTACTCATTACCCTTTCCTCTCCAGGGAGGAGACAAGGCCACAGAAGATGGTTTGACATCTCCCTTTGGAATGACCTTAAGCTATCTCTGCACTCTTTTGTAAAGACCACTTTCTTGTCTTCTGTCTACTGAGTGAGCTGCCCATAGCTGTTGAATTCTTCAAGCTGGCTCCTCGGAGGTATTTAAGAGATTTCAGGAGTTCAGAGATGCACACCGGATGGAAAGTATAGGGTCGTTTAAAGGAACCCTTTTCTTATCGTATCTCCATCCCTGCGTATAAGAGTACCTTCAGTTTCAACAAGAAGACTATTACAGAACCATACCGGGGGCTGTTTACCTGGCACAGTAAGACCACATATCCACACTGAGGCTTTGCAGTCATAGAAAGAAATGTGGATATTTGCAGAGTGCCCAGCAAGGAGGACCAGGCGGATAATGCTTAAATCCTGACTTCCCCACTGATAGCTTGCAGATAAGGGATTTTAAAGGCAGGGGTAAATTTCAGGAAAACAGAAGTTACAGGCAAAATCATAACTCAATACATGGAGTTTACACATCAGTTTTGGCTTAAAGGGGCAGGATGTCTTGAAGCAGAGGCCCGCAGATCACAGGGGGAGTCAAAGATGTTCTGATCTGCAATTGGTTCTGGAGGCAAAGCTTTGTCTACAGATTTGGGATGGGCAGAGAAGAATGTTAGCTCTGCCTCACGGGTGTGACTTCTTCCAGATCTCACAGGAAGAAATTTAGAACCAAGAGCAGGGGCCCGATTTCAGTCCTCAGTTCCCCATTATCTGAGGTCTATAAGCCAGTGGACTGATTTGATGGGGGGCTGGATTTCTGAAAAACAATTCAGGGATATGTGTTATGTGTTAAGATGTTATATTTAATTTCCATAGGGAACATCTCATGACTCTAAAGGCTTGAAACTTCCCTGGCTATTGTTTTAAGCTACTATTACCCTCTTGCTTATTAAGTTGCTTATTTGTTTCTCATGGCTGGCTAAGTGCCTGGAACCTTCCTTGAAGGAACTTAGGATTTTCTTTTATTTTCATGCTTGGAGGAGGACCACAGGCCCCAGTAACAAGGCCCCTGCTCCCTCTCAAGACCAGAGGGGTGAGCTCTCCATCAGGTTGCTAGAGATAAAAGCATATGGGATAAACACTGCCCTGTTTTGGAGGCCATCGTAATGTGTCTGAGGGCTGTCACTGGGGGTAGGAGAAGCCCTGCCTACCTGTAGGGATTTTTACATAGAAAGACTGTGTAACACTAGACTGCACAATTGATAGAATCCCACAGAGCTCTCCATCACACATGCCTCCATGTAGTGTACTGAGCTTTGGTGATAGTGAGAGACAGGACTAGCTGGATTTCCTAGGCCGACTAGGAATCCCTAAGCCTAGCTGGGATGGTGACCGCTTCCACCTTTAAACACAGGGCTTGCAACTTAGCTCACACATAACCATTCAGATAGTAAGGAAAGCTCACTAAAATGCTAATTAGGCAACAACAGGAGGTAAAGAAATAGCCAATCATCTGTTGCCTGAGAGCACAGCGGGCGGGACAATGATCGGTATATAAACCCAGGCATTCTAGCTGGCAACGGCAACCCCCTTTAGGTCCCCTCCCTTTGTATGGGAGCTCTGTTTTCACTCTATTTCACTCTATTAAATCTTGCAACTGCAATCTTCTGGTCCATGTTTGTTACGGCTTGAGCTGAGCTTTCGCTCACTGTCCACCACTGCTGTTTGCCACCATCGCAGACCTGCTGCTGACTCCCATCCCTCCGGATCCAGCAGGGTGTCTGCTGTGTTCCTGATCCAGCGAGGCGCCCATTGGCACTCCTGATTGGGCTAAAGGCTTGCCATTGTTCCTGCACAGCTAAGTGCCCGGGTTCATCCTAATCAAGCTGAACACTAGTCACTGGGTTCCATGGTTCTCTTCTGTGACCCATGGCTTCTAATAGAGCTATAACACTCACCGCATGGCCCAAGATTCCATTCCTTGGAATCCCTGAGGCCAAGAATCCCAGGTCAGAGAACATGAGGCTTGCCACCATCTTGGAAGCAGCCTGCCACCATCTTGGAAGTGGCTTTCCGCCATCTTGGGAGCTCTGTGAGCAAGGACCCCCAGTAACAATAGGAGCACCTTCCCCCAGGATCATGGGACAACATTCAGCACCTTCTGTCTCTGATCACTCTATCCCTTTTGGCCTCTTTAAAGTGTTTATAAAATTTATCACCATACGACATTATTTATGTTATCTATATATTTATTTATTTATTGCCTGACTCTTCCACCACTTCTTGTGGGCAAGATCGCTATCTTGTTTAAGGCTATATGCCCAGAACCTAGACGGTACACATGGTATTTATCAAAAAGGGATGTAATAGGTATTTGTTAAATGAATACGTGAATAAATATGCAGACTTGTTACACTGTGTAGTACTGGATTGGAGCTTAATATATATTCATTCCCTCCCTCCCTCCCTCCCTCCCTCCCTCCATATACAGATTAATATCCCTGCCCAAAACCCTACTTCATTTTGCATGATTCTGTAACATGTTCTCCAATGCGCAATGCCAACTTCCCTTTAGCTATATTAACGTTTGGAGCCAATGGTGATTTCAGAGGGGAAAAGTAGTGAGTCTTGGCTCAGGTAGGCCCATGAATTTTGAAATTCAGATATGAGAGGGCACTTTACAAGCATTGGTATAACAGGACACCCTCCGTTTCTAAGAATGGCCTCTGCAGTTTGTCCTAGAAGAAAGGAATGCAGGCCGGGTGTGGTGGCTCATGCCTATAATCCCAGCACTTTGGGAGGCTGAGGCAGGTGGGTCACTTGAGGTCAGGAGTTCAAAACCATCCTGGCCAACATGGTGAAACCCCGTCTCTACTAAAATACAAAAAACAAAACAAAAAAAAATTAGGCAGGCATGGTGGTGCACACCTGTAGTCCCAGCTACTTGGGAGGCTGGGAGGCTGAGGCAGGGGAATCACTTGAACCCGGAAGGTGGAGATTGCAGTGAGCCAAGATTGTACCACTACACTCCAGCCTGGTGACAGAGTGAGAAGCTGTCTCAAAAAGAAAGAGAGAAAAAGAAAGAAAGAAAGAAAGAAAGAAAGAAAGAAAGAAAGAAAGAAAGAAAGAAAGAAAGAAAGAAAGAAAGAGAAAGAAAGAAAGAAAGAGAGAGAGAAAGAAAGAAAGAGAGAGAAAGAAGAAAGAAAGAAAGAAAGAAAGAAAGAAAGAAAGAAACAAAGAAAGAAACAAAGAAAGAAAGAAGAATGAAAGAATGAAAGAAGTGCAATGACTGTCTGTTGCATAAGCTGGTGCCTGGCTGCTGTGATAGGAAAGATACCCTTCCTTTTTTTTTTTGAGACAAGGTCTCACTAAGTTCCCCAGGTGAGAGAGCAATGGCATGATCATAGTTCACTGTAGCCTCCACTTTCTGAACTCAAGTGATCCTCCTGCCTCAGCTTCCGAAATACCTGGGACCATAGGCACACACCACCATGCCCAGCAAATTTTTAAAATTTTTTGTAGAGATGAGGCCTCATCATATTGCCCAGGCTGGTATACCCTTCTTTTTTTAGCCAAAAGAATAAGGATTTGTAGAGAAGTTTTAGGATTTGTTTGTTTTTCCCATTTGTGATAACCTTAAGTTCATAGATTCCACTGGGAGAAGGGATAGTCATTAGATATTCACAAATTATCTTACTCTTCATTCACAAGAAAATATTTAGAAATGGGTGAAAGAGGACATCATCTGGGAATTAGACATCTTACATTCTGGTATAAACTTAAACTGACCAGCTGTGGTCAACAGAATATTGGTTCCCCAGTGATGTCCACATCCTAGGCCTCAGAACCTGTGAATATGTTGGATTGGATGGCAAAAAGGGAATTAGGGTTACAAATGGAATTAAACCTTCTAATCGACTGACCTTGTGATAAGGCGGTCCTACTGGATTATCTGGATGGACTCAACTGTTAAAAAGATAAGGGTATTTTTTTTTCCATGGAGCAGAGGGAGGCAGAAGAATCAGTGACAAAATGATGTTATGTGAGAAAGATTGAGCAAGCCACTGCTGGCTTTGAAGATGGGAATGAAGAAAGTCAAAATACTTTACACTACAATATATTCCTTTAATATATTTTGAAACGGCTGCTTCAGGGCTAGCAGACTGAGATGGAGAAAATTTGCATCTGTAGAAAATCTCTGTAAATTTAGCCATACCTCCCCTTTCTATGCTTCTCTTGGATCTGGGAGAGATTGAGAATATGACACCTTTAAAAGTCTAAAAAGACACATGCACCTGTATGTTAATTGTGGCATTATTCACAATAACAAAGACATGGAATAAACCTAGATGTCTATCAGTGGTGGATTAGATTTTAAAAAAATGTGGTACATATACACCTGGAATACTATGCAGGCATAAAAAGCAGGAAATGATGTCCTTTGCAGCAACGCAGATGCAGCTGGAGGCCATTATCTTAAGCAAATTAACTCAGAGACAGAAAACCAAATACTGCAGGTTCTCACTTATAAATGGAAGATAAGCATTGGGTACACACAGACATAAAGATGGGAATGATAGACACTGGCATCTACAAGAAGAGAGAGGAAGGGAGGGGGGTAAAGGTTGAAAAAGCACTTACTGGGCCAGGCACAGTGGCTCACGCCTGTAATCCCAGCACTTTGGAAGGCCAAGGTGCGTGGATCACTTGAGGTCAGGAGTTGGAGACCAGCCCAGACATCATGGCAAAACCCCATCTCTACTAGTAATACAAAAATCAGCAAGGTGTAGTGGTGCACACCTGTAATCACACCTACTCAAGAGGCTCAGGCATGAGAATTGCTTGAACCCAGGAGGCGGAGGTTACAGTGAGCCGAGATGGTGCCACTACACTCCAGCCTGGACAACGGAGTGAAACTGTGTCTCAAAAGTGAAATAAAATAAAATAAATAAAAAGTACCTATTGGGGTGCTATGCTCACTACCTGGGTGATGGATTTGATTGTACCCCAAACCTCAGCATCATGCAGTATACCCTTGTAATAAACCTGCACACATACCCCTGAATCTAAAATAAAAGTGGAAAAAAATATCTGGAAAGAAACCTTAACCACCTTTTCTCTCTGAGGGAGACTTCATCTACGTAACAAGACCACCTTTGCTAGCCAGGCCTCTTCCTTTCTCTCTTTCTCATAACCTGTCTTGCCACTAAACCTGATTTATCAACATAACCTGCTTCTGGCTTCACTGGGTCTGCATTCTTTCAAATATAAGCTTCTGTTTCTTACTGTTGGGTTGGGTGTTCATTCTGAAGGCTCCTTGTACACACATTGAATAAACTTGTATGCCTTTCTCCTATTAAGCAATCTGTTTCATGCCAGTGAAATTTCAGCAAACATTTAGGGGGACAGGAGCCTGTGGCCCCCATGGGGACCATCAGCCAAGGAATATGGAGACTTCCAGAATTGCAAAAGGCAAGAAAATGTACTTTTCCCGAGAACCCTCAGAGATGAACAACCCATGCTGACACCTCAGTTTTAGTCTATTTTGGACTTTTGACCTCCAGAACAGTAAGATAATTCTGCATTGCTTTAAGCCATTAAGATTTTCTTATGGCTTTAATTTGTTACAGCAGCAATGGAAAACGAATACACTTATGTACTAGACAGGATTTTTTAAAAAAAATATATTTAAAACCAAGGGAGTTGAGCTGGATAGCTCCAACGATTGTTTCAGTTCTAATCTCCTGTCTTTAGAAAAATCTTCAGTTTTCCAAACTCTCAAGGAAGCAAATGCGGTAATGACAGGACGGTGGAGTCGAGCTGACCTTGGATGACCAGGGGACCCTCAGCTCCATCTGAGCCTGCTTGCTCACTGGCGGATCACCCAACCTCTTCCCACAAGGCTGCAGTGAGCAATGATGAATCCATCATAGTTCAATATGCTGTGTCTTCTTCCATCTTTCTTTCTGTCTTCCTTTCTTTAATGAATATAGGGGAAGGTTGGCAGCAGGGAAAGTATGGAATACAGTAAACAGTGAAGAGACCAGCCTAACATTAACTAAAGCAACAATGCTGGGTGCGTTGTTCGGTTTTGTTTGTTTACTGCTGTATCTTAGTCAAGTAAAGGGAAATAAAAATCTCAGGGTCCTGCAAACTACTTATGCAAAAGAGAAGGTCATTGCAACACCCTCTTCCAAATGAATACCTGTCACTAATATTATGCATCAGCCAGGTTGCCCGTGGAGAGGTAAAAGACCTAAGGCATCTGGGAAGGACAGCCTCCACATCATTCATAAGCAAATTCTTTTTTTCTTTCTTTTTTTTTTTTTTTTGAGACGGAGTCTCACTATGTCACCCAGGCTGGAGTGCAGTGGTGCCAACTCGGCTCACTGCAACCTACGCCTCCCAGGTTCAAGTGATTCTCCTTCCTCAGCCTCCTGAGTAGCTGAGGTGTGTGTGTACTCCTGAGTAGCCAGGTGGTGTGCCACCACGCCTGGCTAATTTTTTGTATTTTTAGTAGAGATGGAGTTTCAGCATGTTAGCCAGGATGGTCTCGATCTCCTGACCTCATGATCCACACGCCTAGGCCTCCCAAGGCGCTGGGATTACAGGCATGAGCCACCGCACCCAGCCCATAAGCAAATTCTTTGCTGACCTTCCATAAACAAAGACATACCAACTGTAACTTTAAATCTGCAACCTAATTCTAGCTCCTAAAACTCCACACTGACAATGTTGATTACAAGCTCATCTTCCCAGGTGCAGAACAAAGTCAAGATTCCTTCTTCCATGTACCCAGAGAGGTCTGCATAACTGACTCTTCCTTTATTCCCCTTTTTCTCTCTGGACATTCACATTATCTTATGTAAAATGTAGATTTACTAAACTAACTAAATTCTCTCAGGAATGTAGCTATCCGCTGCCTGCCTGCCTCTCTTCCATCCCCCACTCTTTAAGGAAATCTATAAGTACTAACCTCCTGTTTGGGCGCCCTGGTTCACACCTGTAATCCCAGCATTTTGGAAAATACAAAAATTAGCTGGGCATGGTAGCTGGCACCTGTAATCCAAGCTGCTTGGGAGGCTGAGGCACAAGAATTGCTTGAACCTGGGAGAAGGAGGTTGCGGTGAGCTGAGATTGCCTCCGCACTCCAGCTTGGGCAATAGAGTGAGACTCAGTCTCGAGAAAAAAAAAAAATACTAACCTCCCTACCAAAAACCTTTTCTGAAGAACAGCCACAGATTTATCTGTGGCTTGTGTTTTTCCTGGAGCTGCCCTGAAGTGGCTTGATGAACCTTGATGATCGAGGCAGGGCGCTGTGGCTCACATCTGTAATCCCAGCACTTTGGGAAGCCTAGGCAGATGGATCACTTGAGATCAGGAGTTTGAGACCAGCCTGGCCAACATGGTGAAACCCCACCTCTACTAAAAATACAAAAATTAGCCAGGTATAGTGGTGTGTGCCTGTAATTCCAGTCACTCAGGAGGCTAAGGCATGAGAATCACTTGAACCCAGGAGAGGAGGTTGTAGTGAGCCAAGATCGCACCACTGCACTCCAGCCTGGGCGACAGAATGAGACTCTGTCTCAAATAAATAAATAAATAAAACAAAACAAACAAACAAACAAAAAAACAAGAAAACCACCCACAAAAAAACCTCGATAATGGAGACTTATGCCTCACTCACTCATTTTGGTTGTCAGCCATATTCACTTTCTGTTTCCATCTCTGTGCTCCTCAGCAGTGACATCTCAGGGACATTTTTTAAGAACAAAGATGATTGTGTCATGCTGCCATGGGCCAGGCTGTCAAGGCTCTCTCCTCCTCCACCTTGATCAGCAGTTTCTTCTTCAGAAAATGCTCCTACTACAGCCAGAAGAACAATGAGAATCCTTGAAGATGCACTGGTTCAGAAAAGAGTCTGAGGTTCTCCCCTTGGACTAAAATTTTATGAATTTGGTTAAGGGGAGAAAAATAAAATTCAATTAGGCATGCAGTACAATCAGTAGTCCTTGTTAAGACAGCTTGCCCTTTGTTACACTTCCTTTAGCTGGATGCTATTTATCCCAAGACTCTTTATTTGTTCTGTAAATAAAATCAAAGACATTATGAGATGATAAACTCTCTGTTTGAGTTTCTCCTTTAGGTTCTGCATACCAACAAAGCTACCTTACACTACTGACAACAGCTGGTCTGCAGGCTCCACAAGAAACTGACTCATGGAAGAATGCATTTTCCACATCCTGATAATTTCATCCCCCTTACCTCAACCAATCAACAATCCCAATTTTCCAGCCCCTCACCCTCCGTGATTTCCTTAAACACTGAAGCCCAAAACCCCTTAGTGAAATGGATTTGAGGCTCAAGAATTCCTCCCATTTCCTTGTTTGGTGGGCTTGTAATTATTAAACTCTTTCTCTGCTGCAAACCCTGCTGTCTTGGTGTGTTGGCATGTTGCTGTGCAGTGGTCATACCCACCTGGCAGTCCTGTAACAACCTCAGAACCACTGACAAAAGCACAATGGAGTCATATTGTAGGATATCTGCACAGGTTCTGGACAGGAGAATCTAAGGAAGGGAGGCAATTAGGGTTGAAGAGAAGGCAGCTTGGAAGGTTACGAGACTTTGGTGTGACCTCACTCAGAGGCAAATAACCAAATTATCAGAAGGTTCAATTTGATGAATTATTGAGAAATAATTCATCAAATTATTGAGAAAGGCCCCCATCCCAGGTGACGCCTTTAGTGTCTGCAGTTACACATTTTTCTTCTTAAGTGCAATTCATTTTTAATCCAAAACTAATTTATATCTTTCATAGGTAGTTTACAATATTTAAAGTGATTCTGTACTTTTGTTTCACAGATAATAAAACCTTATATTTTGGTCTAGCACAGTGGCTCATGCCTGTAATCCCAGCACTTTGGGAGGCTGAGGTGGGAGGATCGCTTGAGCCCAGGAGTTTGAGACCAGTCTGGACAACATAGCAAGATCCCATTTCTACAAAAAAAACAACTAAAAAAATTAGCCTGGTGTGGTAGGAAGCACCTGTAGTCCAAGCTACTCAGGAGGTTGAGGTGGGAGGATTGCTTCAGCTCAAGGGGAAAAGGCTGCAGTGAGCTATGATCACACCACTGTACTCCAGCCTGGGTGACAGAGCAACACTGTCTCAAAACAATAAGCAAAAAACAAACACACACAAAAAACTTACATTTTATATTAGAGATCAGGTTTAACATACAAATACTGCAAATACCTCTGAAAAGGTAGGACGGTTAGGTAAGCCCATGAAGGCATAAATACCTGGCATGTTGTTCTTGCCAAGGGCTGAAAACTCAGGCAAAAGCAGACACGCAGGGTTTCTCAAAATCAGGCAACGTTGACCTGAGGAGAATAACCAGAAAATAGGATGCAGAAAGAGAAAGCTGAGGGGCATTAAAGACAAATTTTACTGACTTCCTTGTTGGATTTCTTCAACCAGGTCATAAACACTTCTCCAGAAGGGAAATCAGGAAAGCACTTCTCTGGAAAATGTTTGCAAGGAGAAAATAATCCCTTTTGTTATATGGGAGTCATTCTTGTCTAGGTGTTAATGCTTTGGTTTCCTACATGGTTAGCCCATAAAAGCCTGAAGGGAGAGTAAGTGAATGTGGCCTCAAGTAGGAGGAACATTCTCCTTATAGACATCAAAGAGGAAACACAGCTTCAGACACATAGTCTAAGGGGAGGTTCCAGGTATGCAATAAAAGCGTTTCTTTTTCTTTTTTCTTTTATTTTATTTTAGAGACAGGGTCTTGCTCTGCCCCCAGGTTGGCATGCGATGGCACTATCACAGCTCACTGCATCCTTGAACTCCTGGGCTCAAGCAATCCTCCCAACTCAGCCTCCCAAGTAGCTGAGACTACAAGTGACCAACACCACACATGGTTAATTTTTGTATGTTTATTTTTGTACAGATGGGTTCTCACTATCTTGCTCAGACTGGTCTCAAGCTGATGGCCTCATGCAATTCTCCTGCCTCTGCTTCCCAAAGCACTGTGATTATAGATGGTGAAGTCCTAAAAGGGTCCCCACCATGGGGAGGCAGAATGGGAAGCAACAGAGGACCCTGATAGGGGACTAGTGGCCCTCTCTACCTTAACATGAGTGTGCAATTACTCAGATTCGTGACCTTTTCTGTGTTTATATTTCTAGCACCAAGTCTCTATTAAAAGATGTACACTTTTAAACTCTCCACTTGCTTTTCTTCAACAACATTGAGTTGCCTAGTCCCTTTCTCTCCTGGTCTAGGTAAGCATCAGAAACAGAAACTCAGGTTGGATCTGGTTCCTGCTCATTAGCAACTCTTGGCTACGCCTACACAGTATTAAAATGTTAGCCCCAGCAAACCTTGTACGGTAGATTACAAAATTCACCACAATATAGTACAGCTTCTGCCATCAAGGAACTGGGTCTACTTCTCCAGTCTTTGAATACAGGTTAGCCTTTTGATTTACTTAGTTTTTTTGTTTGTTTGCTTGTTTTTGTTTTTTGTTTCTTTGTTTTTGAGACAGAGTCTCAATCTGTCACCCAGGCTGGAGTGCAGTGGTGCAATCTTGGCTCACTGCAACCTCCACCTCTCACGTTCAAGTGATTCTCCTGCCTCAGCCTCCTGAGTAACTGGGATTACAGGTGCCCACCACCACACCTGGCTAATTTTCGTATTATTAGTAGAGACGGGGTTTCACCATATTGGCCAGGCTGGTCTCTAACTCCTGACCTCAGGTGATCCATCATCCTTGGCCTCCCAATGTGCTGGGATTACAGCCATGAGCCACCATACCTGGCCTTGGATTTGCTTAGAATGTGGTGGGAATTACCCTGTTTTTTGTTTGTTTGTTTTTTAAAGGAGACAGGGTCTTGCTCTATCACCTAGGTTGCAGTGCAGTGGTGCAGTCATAGCTCACTGCAGCCTCCACCTCCTGGGCTCAAGCAACCTTCCCACTTCACCCTCCTAAGTAGCTAGGACTACAGGTGTGCACTGCCATGCCTAGCTACTTAAATTTCTTTATTTTTTTTTTTTTTTTTTTTTTTTAAAGAGAGATGGGGTATCCCTATATCACTATGTTGCCAGGCCTGCCTTGAATTCCTGGCCTTAACCAATTCTCCTGTCTCAGCCTCCCAAAGTGCTGGGATTACAGGCATGAGCCACAGTCCCTAGCAGCCCCTGTTTGTTTCATTCCTAGGCCTGAAGAGCACTTGCAGCTTCCTCTCTTCCTGCTCTTACAAACCCTGCAATCACCAATTTTTGAACCAGCCTGGGCTAGTGATGAAAGGTAGAGTTTTTAATCTACCAAATGGGGCTAGTTATTAGGCAGCAAAAGCTAACTGATACACCTTGAGCAAATGATGAAAGAGAGAATCTTGAAAACAATGAGGTTCCACTTATGAAGACATTGTGAAGAATAATCATTTATTAATTGAAGTCCTACCTAGAGACTTGATTATGAATGTTTCTAGCAGGGGAAAAACAGTGTGGCTCAGGATAAAAGAGAAGAGGTTTTGAGGTTCAAATTCACCTTTTTTTTTTTTTTTTTTTGAGATGGAGTTTCACTCTTGTTGCCCAGGCTGGAGTGCAGTGACACGATCTCAGCTCACACAACCTCCACCTCTCGGGTTCAAGAGATTCTCCTGCCTCAACCTCCTGAGTAGCTGGGATTACAGGCACCTGCCACCATGCCTGGCTAATTTTAGTATTTTTGGTACAGATGGGGTTTCACCATGTTGGCCAATCTGGTCTCAAACTTCTGACCTCAGGTGACCCACCTGCCTGAGCCTCCCAAAGTGCTGGGATTACAGGCGTGAGCCATCGCACCGGCCTCAAATTCACTTTCTTTTATTGATGGACACTAATGACTTTGTAACTTATATAACTTGCTCTTTTTTTTTTTTTCCATTACAGCAGTAGCTGAGATGATACAAAAAATCAGCATAGCCTCAAGTGATGACTTTAGTAATTGTTTCCTGCTGGAAGGGATTTGGCCTTAAAATATATAGGCTAAATATCCAAATTCTGTCATCATAAGAAAATGTCCCCCACCCATCCTGACCCAGCACTTGCCATGGAATGTGTTTGCTCCCACCCTCAGCACAGTGGGTATTATTGGCTGACAAACCAGGGGAGAAATGTTCTCAAAAAGAGACCCTGGCTCTCCATTTCTTTAGGCAAGTTCTTGTGTCATTGCTTCTTTTTGGAAACAGAGCTCCCACTGACATCAAAAAGAATCTTTCTCAAAGTGCCTGGAAACCAGAGGGCAGGCAGCGGCAGAGATTCAGCCCCTGATGCATTCACTGGAGATCAAATTGGATTAAATGCCCCCTTCTAAGCAAACCCGCAAAATTGCCCAACACAAGGTCTTTCATGCATTAGACCTCGAACGAAGGGCAAGCCTCAAAGCCTGGCCTAGTTCTAAATTTAGATAAGTAATTTTACCCAAGAATGTAACCGTGTAGTGACTATTTCTGCTTTTCCTCCTCTTTGAATGCCCGAGTGGGGAGGATAGGTCTACACTGATGCCTTGACAATTTTGAGGAGGTATCACGTGGATATTTCTCGGTGAAAAGAGCAAAAGTAATAGGAGACCAGCTTAAAATGTCAAGTCACATTATTGGCAGACACCTGAGGTGATCTTTGCAGCTTTCCTCTGCTCTTAATTCAAGCAACATTACATGTGCTATGACAACAGTGAGCAGTCTGGAACAGACTGTTTGATCTCCGGGAACTGGCTGCTCTGGGGACAACCTCAATGCTTCTTCATGTATTTTCACCTCCTTAAAGAGGAGCTTATTATTTGGGGGACAGTTTATATACTCTAAGGGCTATGGCAGTGGAGATGGGGTGCAAGGCTGAGAATCTGGGTATGACTGATTTTAAGTTGAATTAATATATGAATATTTCATAGACACACACACACACATGCACACTAAGGATGCATGTCCAATTAAACATCCGGTGTCTCTGCTTTGTAACAGAATTCTCTCAACTCATCCTGACTATCTGATGTGGAAAAGAAGTTCTTGGCTGGGGGCAATGGCGCACGTCTGTCATCGCAGCATTTTGGGAGGCCAAGGTGGGAGGATCACTTGAGCCCAGGAGTTTGAGGCTAGCCTGGGCAACTTAGCAAGACCTCCATCTACCCAAAAGTGAAAAAAAGAGTTAGTCCTGGCATGGTGGTGCATGCCTATAGTCCCATCTACTTGGGAGGCTGAGGTGGGAGGATCACTTAAACCCAGGAGTTTGAGGTTGCAGTGAGCTAGGATTGTGCCACTGCATTCCAGCCTGGGTGACATAGTGAGACCCTGTCTCAAAAAATAAAAAAATAGAAAAGAAGAAAGCAAGCGAGAGAGAGGGAGGAGAAGGACAGAGGGAGGGAAGGAGGGAGGGAGGGAAGGAGGGAGAGAGAGAAAGAAGAAAGAATAAAAGAAAGAAAGAAAGAGAGAGAGAGAGAAAGAAAAAGAAAGAAAGACCAATTGGCAATTCTATATATATTCATTTAACAGAAAAGTAAGACAAAACTAATGATTAGGCTACAGATTCAGTATGTTTAGGACTCAGGGGGAAGAAGAAAGAGTCTGTTTATCCTGCTCTGGAATTAAAAGCTCTCCTAAAAGGGTGAAGCCAAGGAATTAAGCGGCTGCTTTAGGAGAGGTTAGTGTTTCTTTCCTTCTTTCTTTCTTTTTGAGATAGGGTCTCACTCTGTTGCCCAGGCTGGAGTGCAGTGGTGTGGTCATGGCTCACTGCAGCCTCAACCTCCCAGGCTCAAGTGATCCTCCCACCTCAGCCTCCTGAGTAGCTGGGACCACAGGCACACACCACCACGGCCTGCTAACTTTGCTTAGTTTTTGTAGAGACAAGTCTCATTATATTGCCCTGGCTAGTCTGGAACTCCTGGCTTCAAGTGATCCTCCCCTCTCAGCCTCCCAAATTACTGGGATTACAGAGGTGAGCCACCATGACTAGCCGAAGCTCTTGTTTCTGCCATGGTTAACAGTGTAACCACTGGAGATGCAGATGTCTAAATGAAGATTTTTCAGAACCATCCGCACACTCTAGAGGCAAATCTTGGACTTACCTGTCTCTCTTATAACCTGAAGAGTGGGGCATGGGGTTTGGATTGAATTGCCTAGTAATTCTGTCGTGAACGGCACTGTGTTTTTCTCCCTTGAACACATTACTGATGGTAACAAGGGAGCTATTTTCAATCAAGGCATGCTACAACGAAAAAGACTTCTCCTAACATTGTGATCCCTTCCTCTGAAATCCATTTCAGATTGGCGGATAAAATGTGATTATATTTACACTTCCCTGACACAATTCAGGCAGCAAAATAACAGCCTGTCGGAGACATTTTTCTTCTTCGTATTTAGATCTGTCAGTGTAGTGCTCAGGGAACGGGGAGGGGTGGCGGAGGCAGCTGGGGCTGCTGATATGCTTTTGTTGGCTCACAAATAGAGATATTCTGTGTACTGTAGGGCTCACTATCTCCTTCTCATCTCAGAGTTCCTTGAATGCCGTCTTGAATGGTTTTCAGAGCGATGATTCAGTATGCTAATCAATAGTACTCTATGCAAACAGAATTTCTCATTTTTGCCTTGACACAGCCCATACATTATTTCAGTGTAATCCTTTAATTGCTTCATACTCATTAGTGAATGTACAATGTATAACTCGTTAGTATCTGTGGAAGTCACAGTTGCCATTTGTGTTAAAAATCCAGATTGCAAGGCTAATATGGAGGATGGGGCAGGGTTGAGGCAACACAGGATTGCAGAGAAAGAGCCCGGGATGGAGTGAGGAATTCTGGTTCCAGTTTTCAGCCCATAAGGGATTCGCCAAATCTGAATGTAGGCAACTCATCCAACTTCTCTGAGCCTAGGCGTCCTCATTTATTAAATGAGTGGGTTGGTTTAGGGACCGTCAAGTTTCTATGTGTGTGTGATAGCTCTGCCTGTACTCCTCGGGGAGATAATATCAAACTTCTATTCAAGTTTCTATGTACAATTACAAGTTCCACTCTCAGTAAAGGATGTATTGTACATTCTATTTCAACGAGACTAGAAAGATCATAAGAATCTCATGTACATCACCTTGAAATCTTCCTAAGCAATCAGTGTTTCTAACCAAATATAACACTGGACCCCAGAAAAGAAGAGGACACTACTCTTTAACAGGTCTTCTCTGAGCTCTTGATATACAGGGAATGTCGTGGCCCAGGAATAAAACATGTGTTATCCCAGTTGCTGGGATGCTACCAACAGATACTCTCTATGGGAACTACCTTAGCAGCAGAGAGACACCTCACCCCAGGCCACACCCAATTCCTGGAACAGCCTACATCCCATGACTGATGGATGTCAGGATGTAAAGGCTAGGTCCTCTCACCCTAATATGGGCTAGCTGTAGAGGGTCATTCCATCTTGAGAACTCCCCAAAGGGTTGGCTGAAGCTTCTGTTGAGACTTCAACATGGCTCAACGTCTCCCTCTGCTCAACATTGCTTCTTTCCCTTCCTTTCCACTGGTGTTGGTCACAATGAAGCGGTGTTGTTGTGTGGGGTAAATACCTGAGGTTCGTCAACTCACACCAAGGAAATTGGGGATGCAGACACATAAGAAGTGAGTTTAGGAGCAGAGGTTTAATAGGCAAAAGGAAAAGAAAGAAGAATAGCTCTCTCTCCTATGAGAGGGGCGCCTGAGTGGGACTTCCGGCTTTGTGGTGAAGTTCATCTGATTTTATAGACAGGCTTGAGGAGGTGGTATCTGATTTACATAGGGCCCAAAGATTGGTTGGACCAGGTGTAACATTTACATAGCGAGCAAAGAAGCTGGCCACCCCACCCTAATCTTCTATTATGCAAATGGCTTCTCTACCTGGCCGGCCATGTTGCCTGCTCCTTATTTTACACATGGTTGGCAAAGGAAAGGGAAAATGGAGCCGCCATTTTGAACATGCCTGGTTCCCAGGTAGCCCCTTTCCTATTGGCATAACTGCTGGGATTCACTCTTGCAAGCTTCTAGCTTGCCTTTCTGTGTCTGCAGCTCAATTTTACAGGCTGCTCTTTTTAGAAAAGAAAATGATTTTGAGGGTGCTTTTCATTAAAAGGGAAACCTTACCAAGGACTTCCTTACCCTGCCTACATAATTTCTTCTTAACTCCTATATCAACAAGAGCATTTCCTAGTCAACTTCTTACATGCTTATCTCCATCTCAGTGTCTGCTTGCCAGGGAGCCCTACCAGCACCATGACAGAGTGTTTCCTCTAGGAGAGGAAGTTTAAATGCCTTTCATTCAGCCATACAGTGTGGACCCTAGACCTGGGTTCAGTACTAAACCTTTGAAAAACAGGAGACATTATAATCAACCTACAGATTGATGGATTAAATCCAAACTACAGATTTAAAAGATTACATCAATTATTTATTAATTTAAAATATTACGTAAATCCACACTACAGATTTTGCAGATTCTTTGGGAAAACTGAAAGGTTTCCCAAAACTGAGACAAACCCAACAATCAGCTGAGACTGAGTATCTTCTACCCCTGAGACAGGATGGATCCCTCCTCCCAAACTTACCACACTCCTCCTCTCTATCCTAGAGAGGGTGCAAAGCAAAGCTCCCCAGTGCAAAGCTCAGTGCTGACAGCTACTTTTCATTGTATTTGCAGAATTTATTTTATTTTGGTAAACTCAGAGGAAAATAAAACATTCTTTATTTTTATTAAAAGTGAGGTTGAGGTTGATTGCATAAAGAAAGTGTGGTATTACACACACACACACACACACACACACTCACACTTACCATGGGATACTATGCAGCCATAAAAAAGAATGAAATCATATTCTTTACAAAAACATGGTTGTATCTGGAGGCTATTATCCTAAGTAAACTAACTCAGAAACAGAAAATTAAATACTGCATGTTCTTGCTTATAGGTGGGGACTAAACAATGGGTGCATGTGAACATAAAGGTGGAAATTATAGACTCTGTGGACTCCAAAAGCGGAGGAAGAGGAAGATGGTTAATGGTTGAAAATTACCTATTGGGTACAATGTTCAATATTTGGGTGATGGATAAACTAAACGCCCAATCCCCACCATTATACATGCAATACCCATGTAAAAAACAAGCACATGTAGTCTTTTTTTTTTAAGTGAGGTTGAGGTAGGAAGGGGTGGTGTGTTTTTAGAAAAACAGGGGAGAACATATTTATCTGCGGAAGTAAAAGATACTTCCTTATATAATAGCCCCAGACTTCATTCATTGATTGACATTCCCTGTGCAGCAATTTTGGGCAGTTGAGTTTCAACACCTCTTCTGGGGCCTTAAGCCATCAGTAGGCCTTCAGCATATTTTCTTCATGTTACAAATCTATGTACCTGCCCCAGTAGTAAGAGGAAGGAGGAATAAAGGCAGAGAAGGGAAAGAGAAAGAGGAGAACAAAAACAAGAAATATATTCCTGTGATCTTTATCACCTTTTAAATACACTCTCCATGTTTTCTAGAATCTTTGGAAGTTCCCACCTTCTCACTCCCTCTCCCAAAGTCTTCAATCACTGCAGTCGTCCTTTGTCAACATTATTCTGGTCAGGCACTGTGGCTCATGCTTGTAATCCCGGCACTTTGGGAGGTTGAGGTGGGAGGATCACTTGATTCAGGAATTTGAGACCAGCCTGGGCAACATAGTGAGACTCCTTTTGTGCAAAAAAAAAAAAAAAAAGTTAGCCAGCCATGGTGGAATGTGTCTGTAGTCCTAGCTACTTGGGAGGCTGAAGCAGGAGGATCTCTTGAGCAAGGGAGGTCAAGGCTGTAGCGAGCCATGATCACACCACTCAACTGCAGCCTGGACCACAAAGCAAGACCCTGTCTCAAACAAAACAAAACAATAACACACACACAGATACACACACACACACACACACACACACACACACACGCCATCCTTATACTAAAAGTGCACCAAGAAAAGTTACTACTGAAGACAATGGTTGGTCAGTTTTAAAACATGGCTGCAAATTCTTAGGTATCCATCTAGTCAAGAGGTGGGCTCTAAGTCCCCTCTCCCTGAATCTTTGACCAATAGGTCAAGGGTCTTCAAACTATGGCTTGGGGGTGAAATCTGGCCAGCTCCCTGGTATTTTATGATGTGACCTGAAAATGGTTTTTATATTTTAAAATGGTTCTGTTTTAATCAGTCATGTAAGAACCTGCCTAATACCCTTCTTTTTGCCTCTTGTCTCACAAAACTTAATATTTTTACTACCTGGCCTTTTAAGAAATAGTTTGCCAACCCCTGGAATGGGTTATGACAGGAGTGATGGTGATGCTATAGGACTTCCAATGCTAGGTAGTTTTCTCTGTTTTCAGTGGAATATTTACTCTTACAGCCATGGGCCACTAGGTAAGAATCCTGACCACCTTGAGGTGGCCATGTTGTGAGGAAGCCCAAGACACAGAGAGGCCATGCACATGTGTTCTGGTTAATAGTCTCAGCTAACCTCAATCTCCAGTAGTTCAAGCCCCAGCCATTTGAATTTTCCCATCTTGTGCTCTCTATATTATGGAGCAGAGACAAGCCATTCATTCTGCGCCCTGTCTAAACACCTGATCCACAGAATCTTTAAGCATAATAAAATGATGGCTGCTTTATTCCACTAAGTTATAGAGTCATTTACTAGGCAGCAGAAGCTAACTGGAACAAATATCATATAATTTATTGTTGAAGCCAAGACACTTTGAAAGGGAAGTTGTGAATATAGGAGGACCACAGACATTGCCTAGGATTCTTTAGGGCAAACCAGATTGTATGATTTCTCTGCCAATGAACCCCAAATTTTTGACCCACTGCGTTCATTTTAGCTCTCACCCTATTTAACTCTCTGCAGTATTTGAAGTCATTAACCACCTAATCTTGAAGTTCTTTCATACAATGTTTCCTAAGGTATTACTACTTCTTTCCCTTTTTACATTTTTGAGAATTCTCTTTCAATATTTTCCTACTGACATTCTTCCTCAGACCACTGAGGACCCCAGGATCCAGGCTGTGTTCGATTTTGTCAAACAAGGAGAAGCCAAGATGGGATTAGCCATGCAAGAGATGGATTGGGGTAACAGCTGTGAAGGACAAAGCAGGAAAAGCAGGCATTGTCAGAAAGAGCTTTCAGACCATGCTGCTGGTCTGACATCTGTGCTAAAGTAGGGGGAAGGAAGGGTGATTGAATAGAAAAGGGCTCAGACTGCAAGAAAGTTTTGCCCAGGCCACTGAAAAGCCAAACTCACTCATTAAAAGAGTCCCACATCGGCTGGGGACGGTGTCTCACGCCTATCCCAGAACTCTGGGAGACCAAGGTGTGTGGATCACGAGGTCAGGAGATTAAGATCATCTTGGCCAACATAGTGAAACCTCGTCTTTACTAAAAATACAAAAAATAGCTGGGCATGGTGGTGCGTGCCTGTAAGCCCAGCTGCTAGAGAGGCTGAGGCAGGAGAATCCCTTGAACCAGGGAGTCACAGATTGCAGTGAGCCGAGATCACGCCTCTGCACTCCAGCCTGGCGACAGAGTGAGACTCCTCTCAAAAAAAAAAAAAAAAAAAAAAGAAGTCCTACATTGTGCAGGAAGGAGTCTGTACTACTTCCCCTACTATCCCCGTTAACTGGATGGGAGCAGCCTGGGTGAAAAGTGACCTTAGAATGAACATGATGATAGACCCAGAAGCTGGTACTATCAGTTGACTATCTTTCTGGCAGCAGGGATCTAACCAGGGAATTTTGATGGTGACCACAGTCTACCTGTCCACATATGCATAGGGAACAGCTACACTATGGCCTCTCTTTCTAAAAGAAATTTGGTTTGTGGGACAAGGTACTGCCCCATTGCTACAGTAGGTCTTGCAGTTAACAATACTTGACTAGATACATGTTACAGTGAGAATACTCTTGACCCTTTGTGGATGGAGGGGATCCAACATAGTTGACTTATCAACAACAGTCAGTTGATCTCTTTGAACTCTATACCACCCCCACCCTCTATACCACCCCCACTCTCAGCTTTCAGTTTGGCAGGTAATAGTGGCTTGATTGGCAGATGATGGTGGCTTCATTGGCAAGTCATGGTAGCTTATCTGGTGGTTTGATTCAAACTTGGTTTCTCAGGGAATGAGATACTTGGCAATCATACCCTTCTGAGGCTGGAGTTGCTGCATGTGTTCATTCACAGTTACAATGGTGCAGGGAGTCCCAGGAAACACCCAGGAAGATCACCTGGGTCCCCCTGCTTTTGTCCTTGTCCTCATTGGATAAAGTGGCCCTACAACCTCCTGCCAATGACACTTAATCACACTTGCCAAGTTGGTGACTTTCTTTGCATCTGCTGATTGCTGGACACAAGGAGTCCAAAGTACCTTCGTCACACTTGTAGAATGCGGTTCAGCAGGACCCTTACTGTGTCCTCTGTTAAGTATGTTCCCTTTAGGGACCAGCCGCTAGAGTCCAGGATTCCAGGAAAAGAAAATACAAAGTCCCCAGTGGGTCAATGGGAGTGATGAGAAGTGGGGAAAAGCCTACCCCTACCCCTTTGTTTCCAGGTCCATATTTTCTTCCTATATGGGGCACAGTACCATATAAAGCACTCTAATTTGATGTGTATACTGCATCCTAAAAAATGCCGCCATATCCTTGAAGACTATTGGCTACACAATGGTACTTCCCCGGTGCCTTTAGAAGTCTGTTTCTGCACTCTGTGAGGCTATTTCCTTCTGGATGATGTAGCGCATCATATTATAATAGTCGACAATCCACCCATGCCCACATTTTTATTATGATTTGGGTCCCTGGCTGGATGCTATGTGGTGTGGGTTTCCATACCTGCGGATCCAGCATTTATAAGCCTCCAGATAGGTGACTGACTGGGGCTTTCTGGGCAAGAGAAAGCAAACAATACTTGACTAGATATATATTACTGTGAGGATACCCTTTACCTTTGTGGATGGAAGAGATCCAACATAGTTGACTTATCAACAACAGTCAGTTGATCTCTTTGAAGCATAGTGCCATATTGGTAGAATATACTAGAGCCAGTTTATACCAGCTCCCAGTAGTTACTTGTGCACATCTTTTTTTTTTTTTTTTTCTTATGAGACGGAGTCTCGCTCTGTCACCAAGGCTGGAGTGCAGTGGCGTGATCTTGGCTCACTGCAAGCTCCACCTCCCGGGTTCATGCCATTCTCCTGCCTCAGCCTCCCAAGTAGCTGGGACTACAGGCACCCGCCACCATGCCAGGCTAATTTTTTTGTATTTTTAGTACAGACAGGGTTTCACCGTTTTAGCCAGGATGGTCTCGATCTCCTGATCTCATCATCCACCCACCTTGGCCTCCCAAAGTGTTGGGATTACAGGCGTGAGCCGCGACGCCCGGCCACTTGTGCACATCTTTTTGAAACTTTGTGTTCAATAACATAATGTTAAGCACTTAGAGGTTGCTATGGTAAAGTACTTACACCCTAGAAATTGGAAAATATAAGTGAGAATCCTGACTCTTCCCCAACTCTGCCAGAGAGCTGGTTGTTAAACATTTACCAGCATACCACTGCTTATAGTTTAAGCTTCTATATACATTGTAGCATCATTCCTAATCCTTAGCCTAACTGAACAATTTTGGTGGCTGAAGTCTAAATTATTGAGGGTATCTGCTTTTAGTTATAATGGCCATCTTCTATTAGAGGTATCATCTGACAAGAACAACTATGAATTCTTGACTAAATCGAAAACCAAATAAATTTTTTAAAAAACTTTGGGCCAGGCACAGTGGCTCATGCCTGTAATCCCCGCACTTTGGAATGCAAAGGCGGGCAGATCACCTGAGGTCAGGAGTTAGAGACCAGCCTGGCCAATATGGTGAAACCCCGTCTCTAGTAATAATATGAAAATTAGCCAGGTGTGGTGGTGGGCACCTGTAATCTCAGCTACTCAGGAGGCTGAGGCAGGGGAATCGCTTGAACCCGGGAGGCAGAGGTTGCAGTGAGCCGAGATTGCACCAAAGTACTTCAGTCTAGGAGACAGAGTGAGACTCCGTCTGAAAGAAAAAAAAAAAACGTTGATAGCATCAGACAATTAATGCAACCAAGTATTGAAAAGCCAAATGAGCAGTATTTTTTCTTCCTTAGGGCATTTTCTGAATCCCAACCTGAAGTCTACAGGACTAGCAGGAAGTAACAGCCCAGAGCTCTTAGAACTATCATGGGAATTGATGAAAATGAGAGTTCAGGGCTTCTGAGACTTCCATGACTGAGGGGTAAGATCCTGGAGAAAAGGAACTAAAGAGACATTCTATTCCACTCTCCCCCTCATGGACAAAAAGCTGATAAACACAGCATAAAATTGTGACTAAGGGAAAAAAAATTTATATATATATATATATATATATATATATATGCAGTATTTTTAGCAGGCTCATGGTGCCAGGAAAACAAAATTATATTTCAGAAAGAGCCAAGAAGTTGATGAAGCACTCATAGCCGCATACCAATTCAGACCCAAGCAGGAGTAAGTATAGACCCAAAACAAACAAGCTCATGTAGAAGCTTAAACCTAACCTCAAATCATTTCACTCCCTGATTGAATAAAGGCATTTATACCTATTAACCAGAGTAATTTTAAATCCTCTACAGAAGAATGGAGCATAATGCAGAACCTTACAACTTTTTATGCAAAATATCTGGCAATGAAAAAATTATCATGCGTGCCAGGAGACCTGAGAAAGTAAATGACCAAAATCTCAGGAGAAAAACTAAAACAGAAGAAAGAAACAGACCTAAAGGTGATGCAGCTATTAAGGCAAAAACTTCAAAATAACTGTGATGATATGTTTGAGAAAATAAATGGCAAGATAGAGAATTTCAACAAAATATTAGAATCTATAAAAAAAACCAAAGAGAAATTCTAGGACAAAAATAATAGGAATGGTCAAAATTAAAATTCAATAGATGGTTTAACAGTATATTAACATAGCAGAGGAAAGGAGTCATATATTGGAAGAGAGCTTAGTAGAAAAACATATAGACTTAAACACGAAGAAAAAGTGCTGAAAATTACAGAAATGAGGCTGTGGGGCATATGAGACTCGGTAAGCGGTCGTACATACTTAGATTCCTGGAAGGAGAGAAAAGAGAATGGGACAAGTAATGTTGGAAAAAATAATGGCTGAAAAATTTCTCAAACTAATAAAAGACATCAAGCCACACACACATTCGAAAATCTGTCTGGGTTCCTATCAGGACAAAAACAAAGGATGCCACATGTAGGCATATCATAATAAAACTCCTGAAAGCTAAAGAAAAACTCAAAAGCAGTCAGAGAAAAAAGACATGTTACCATCAAAGGTACGAAAAAAAAAAAGCCTAAGAGCTGTTCTTTCAGTAGAAATTATGGATCAAAAACACAAGGAAATGTGCTTTTTAAAACTTATTTCTAGGCTGGGTATGGTGGCTCATGCTTGTAATTCCAGCACTTTGGGAGGATGAAGCAGATGAATCACTTGAGGTCAGGAGTTCGAGACCAGCCTGGACAACATGGCGAAATCCCGTCTCTACTAAAATACACAAAAATTAGCCAGGCATGGTGGTGGGCACCTGTAATCCCAGCTATTCAGGAAGTTGAGGCTGGAGAATCGCTTGAACCCAGGAGGTGGAGGTTGCAGGGAGCCCAGATCATGCCACTGCTCTCCAGCCTGGGTAATAGAGCAAGACTCTGTCTCAAAAAAAAAAAAGAAAGAAAATTGTATTATTATAAAACTGTGCTTATTAGGACCATTGATATGATTACAAGGCTAGACCAACAATAGACCAATGGAATACAGTGAAACAAGCCCAGGCATACTGGCCACCTGATCTGGAATGAATGTGCTGCAGCCAAATTCTTGAGATATCATTTCACAAAAGACAGCATCCAAATGTCCAGTAATTAAGTGAAAATTGTTCAACGTCACTGGTTAACAGAGAAATGTATATTAGAACTATGAGATACCTACTCACATGGTTAAAATTAAGGGGTAAAAATTGGCAATGCTACGCATGGGTGAGAATGTGGAGCAACTGGAATTTTCAGTCTGATGATGAGAGCATTGTTTGATACAACCACTTTGGAGAATGTCCCATCAGGTATGGGGAAGAGGGAGGGCAAGGAGTAACATTGGAGATGACAATGACACTCGATCTGGTCCTGCTACTCAGCATTAAGAGCCAAGGGACTGCCCCCTCATATACCAACTGCTGTGAGAAGGAAAAACAGACTGCTCAATCTTTCTCCCCTGCTCAGACTTGGGGTTTGATAAATCCCAGTAATTAATCTTACCAAGAAATACCTGATTTCCTGGGAATAACATTTTTCTTTTTTTTTTTTCTTTTGAGACAGAATCTTGCTCTGTCACCCAGGCTGGAATGCAGCAGCATGATCTCAGCTCACTGCAACCTCTGCCTCCCGGGTTCAAGTGATTTTCCTGCCTCAGTCTCCAGAGTAGCTAGGATTATAGGCACACACCACTACACCCAGCTAATTTTCGTATTTTTAGTATAAATGGTGTGTCACCATGTTGGCCAGGCTGGTCTCGAGCCCCTGACCTCAGGTGATCCACTCGCCTTGACCTTGCAAAGTGCTGGGATTACATCACATAGAGTTTTTCAAGAGATCTCTGTATCATAGCTCACTGCAGCCTTGAACTCCTGGGCTCAAGTGATCCTCCTGCCTCAGCCTCCCAAAGAACTGGGATTGCAGGTGTGAGCCACCACAACTGGTTCTTTTTTTTTCTTGGTAGAGATGGGGTCTTGCTATGTTGCCCAAGCTGGTCTCAAATTCCTGGCCTCAAGCAATCCTCCCACTTTGCCCTCTGAAAGCACTGGAATTACCGGTATGAGCCAACACAACTGGCAAATTTATTTTTGGTTTGTAGAGATGAGGGTCTTGTTGTGTTGTTGAGGTTCGTCTCAAATTCCTGGCCTCAAGCAGTCTTACTGCCTTGGCCTCCCAAAGCACTAGGATTACAGGTGTGAGCCACTACACCTGGCAACTTTTTAAAATTTTTTGTAGGGACAGGATCCCACTATGTCGCCACAGGCCTCAAGCAATCTGCCCAACTCACCCCACTTCCCTTAAAAGCATGAGGCTGAATCTACTTGACACTGAAACAGTGGCTCACTGTAGTCAGTTCTGGTTGCTTTCAAATGCCAGGGTCCTTTTCCTGGATTCAACCTGCAGGCTCAGTTCTGGAACAATGAATGAGGAAACTGTCAGGCTCTCTTTACTAGGCTGCCTTCTGAAATTTGATCAGCTCTTCCTACCTCGTATCAGTCCTAGATGAGGATAAGTAAGGTAACGACTTCCATACTTAATCCCCGCCATGATGTCTTTGGCCCTGATTCCTGGTTTTTCTTTTCACCTGCTAAAATAGAAGCTCAACTCTAAATTCTGGCACGCTGGGCAGAATTCCTAACAATCTTGCTTAGTTTCTTCTAGCACATTTCATAGCCCCAGAAATGGACACTGCTTCTGTAATATCTAGCTATTAGTGTTATTATTATTATTGAGACGGAGTTTCATTCTTGTTGCCCGGGCTGGAGTAGAGTGATGTGGTCTCAGCTCTCTGCAACCCCGCCTCCTGGGTTCAAGCAATTCTCCTGCCTCAGCCTCCCAAGTAGCTGGGATTACAGGCAGCCGCCACCACGCCCAGCTAATTTTAGTATTTTTGGTAGAGACGGGGTTTCACCATGTTGACCAGGCTGGTCTCAATTTCCTGACCTCAAGTGATCTGCCCGCCTAGGCATCCCAAAGTGCTGGGATTACAGGCATGAGCCACTGCATCCAGCCATATCTAGCTATTATTGATTGTTTTCTAAATAAATGCTGAAAGATATTTCTGCACCACAGGTAGGTACTTCTAGAGCAGAAGACACGGATAATTCCACCTAATATCTTATCAATACACTCAAATTAGATTCTTCCACCCCACTCCCCTAAATTTGGCCATCCTACATCAGGCTAAATCTCACTATATCCCCAAGATTTTGCGCTCCCACTATCTGGTTTAATAGCCTCACTCCATTCTTAGCCTCTTCCTTACAGGGTGTTTCTAGCCTGCGATATGACTCATGGAAAATCTGTGAAAAATTCATCAAGCCAGTTGTTGGAATTCATGTGTGCTTGTCTGGCAAGAAATTTAACATTTCAGAAGCTTTAGGGAAAATTGTGTCAGGACAGAGGATACTTAGGATAATGGATTTACAACATCTCTGTTCAGTGCAGCCTTGCTTGGTTCTGTAAGTTGTTACTTAAAGATAAATTTTTCAGTTTGATTTAGTTTAAACATTGCCGCTGAGATTCATACACATTCCCAAAGGCCACCGCGCAATCAGTACAACTTAAATAAATTGGGCATGTTTGAATCGATAAATAAATGCATGTGTCTCCACCCACTTGAGCGTCATGTGCACGGAATATACCCTGGGAAAAGTCATAAGAAAGCCTTCAGAATTACCACCAAGCAGCAGAAAATATACTTCCAGGGAAAATGTAAAGTGGTACACAGGAGTTACTGTGAGATGATGAGTCAGGCTTACATCAAAGATACTGGACAGAACTGGGCATGGGTGGTGGCTCACACCTGTGATCCCAGCACTTTGGGAGGCCGAGGTGGGCAGAACACTTGAGGCCAGGAGTTAAAGACCAGCCTGGCTAACATAGTAAAACCCTGGCTCTATTAAAAACAAAAACTAGCTGGGCATGGTGGTGCACATCTATAATCCCAGTTACTCAGGAGGCTGAGGCAGAAGAATTGCTTCAACCTGGGAGACAGAGAGGTTGCAGTGAACCAAAATCGCACCATTGCACTCCAGCCTGGGCAATAGATTGAAACCCTGTCTCAAAACAAAACAAACAAACAAACAAACAAAAGATACAGGACAGGATGTATTGCTGGGATGACATTGGATTACAATGAGCAGGTTAATTTTTTTTTTTTTTTGAGACAGAGTTTTGCTCTTGTTGCCCAGGCTGGAATGCAATGGCACGATCTCTGCTCACCGCAACCTCTGCCTCCCGGGTTCAAGCGATTCTCCTGCCTCAGCATCCTGCGTAGCTGGGATTACAGGCATGCACCACCATGCCCAGCTAATTTTGTATTTTTAGTAGAGATGGGGTTTCTCCATGTTGGTCAGGCTGGTCTCAAACTCCCAATCTCAGGTGATCCACCCGCCTTGGCCTTCCGAAGTGCTGGGATTACAGGCGTGAGCCACCGCGTCCAGCTGAGCAGGCTATGTTTTATGAATTTATGACTACCAGTCACAATGGAATTTGAGCATGGTTAATTCCTCTGAAGAATTACAAATTAAGAAAATCATGAAGTCTTCTTTGTGTGTGTGTGTGTGTGTGTGTGTGTATGTGTGTGCTTTGTTTTGTTTTGTTTTTGCTGTAAAGACTGTAGTGCATAGTGGTTATCTGTAGCTGGGACGGAAATGGGAGCCACTGTCAGCTCTGTGTCAGGCTGCCTGGGCTCAAATCTTGGTTATCTTGGTTCTAAAACATAATTGCTATGCGATTTTGGACAAGCTGCTTAACTTTCTCTGCATTGGACTCTTAGCCTGTAAAAATGGGAACAAGTAAATGCGAAGCATGTAAGGACCGTATGAATATATGTAAGGCCCTTAGGACATAATCAACATTTCGTGAGGACCAAATAAACAGCAGCTGTTATTATAATGCAGAGATCCCCAGATGGCTATTTTTGGAGATGCAGGAATAAAGATATCTATCCTCATGGAAATCTTAGAACTTCATTGCAAAAGAAACCTGAAATGCAAAATACAGAAGTGACAAGAGAAAGTGATTATGGGCCACTTATGAAAACATTTTGTGGCCCTCCCAAAAGCAAGCAGAAAGTCCAGAATATGGTAAATTCTTAATGTGTTTTTAATTAATCCATCAATTATTTAATACAAGGGCTAAGCTGTGTTGTATTTAATTAAAGTGAAGGATACTTCGAAAATAGAACAGTTGGCCAGGCGCATTGGCTCATGCCTGTAATCCCAGCACTTTGGGAGGCGGAGGCAGGCAGACTACCTGAGGTCAGGAGTTCAAGACCAGCCTGACTAACATGGAGAAATGCCGTCTCTACTGAAAATACAAAATCAGCTGGGCGTGGTGGTGCATGCCTGTAATCCTAGCTACTCGGGAGGCTGAGGCAGGAGAATCCCTTGAACCCAGGAGGCGGAGGTTGCATTCAGCCAAGATGACGCTATTGCACTCCGGCCTGGGCAGTAAGAGCAAAACTCTGTCTCAAAAAAAAACAGAAAACAAAAAACAAAAAACAAAAAAACCAAACCAAAACAAAAACCGTCAAAGATGATTTCATGAATGAAGGCGGAATAGAATCAAATCTTGAGGGATTTAGTCACATTTGGATCAGTAGAAGGAGAGAGGGCCCTGCAGTTGGGTACAGCATGTTGACAAATGGCTGGAAGGGTGGAATGAGCTCAGAACATTCAGAAAACAGAGAAGAGACCAGCCTGGCTGTAGAGGAAGTGAGGTAGGGAGAGAAGAGACAGATTACTCGACAATGAATCGTGTCAGCTGCCAATTTCCAAACCAGTTTGTACACATAGAAACTATTTAATTTTTTTAATGCTAGATTTCAGCTTATAAAACAAATGTTATTTAAAAATCTTATCTAAAAAATGCTTATTGAATGCTGCTTTTAAAATAACCAGAGGTTGGCTCATACCTGCAATCCCAGCTACTCGGGAGGCTGGGGCAGGAGGATTGTCTGAGCCCAGGAGTTCAAGACCAGCCTGGGCAAGATTGGAAGACCCCAATTCATTCTTTCTTTCTTTCTTTTTTCTTTCTTCTTCTTTTTTTCTTTCTTTTCTTCCTTTTCTTCTTTCTTTCTTTCATTTTCTTTTTTCTCTATTTCTTTTTCTTCTTTCTCTCTCCCTCTTTCTTTCTTTTTTCTTTCTTTCTTTTTTCTTCCTTTCCTTCTTTCATTTTCTTTCTTTCTTTCCTTCCTTCCTTCCTTCTCTTCTTTCTTTTTTCTCTGTTTCTCTTTCCTCTTTCTTCCTTTCTTTCTTTCTCTTTCTTCTTTCTTCTTTCTTTCTTTCTTTCTTTCTTTCTTTCTTTCTTTCTTTCTTTCTTTCTTTCTTTTTCTTTCCTTCCTTCCTTCCTTCTTTCTTTCTTTGACAGAGTTTTGCTCATGTCACCCAGGCTGGAGTGCAATGGTGTGATCTGGGCTCACTGCAACCTCCTTCTCCCAGGTTTAAGCGATTCTCCTGCCTCAGTCTCCTGAGTAGCTGGGATTACAGGTGCCCACTACCACGCCTGGCTAATTTTTGTATTTTCAGTAGAGATGGATTTTGCCATGTTGCCCAGGCTGGTCTTGAACTCCTGACCTCAGATGATCCACCTGCCTCAGCCTCCTAAAGTGCTGGGATTACAGGTGTGAGCCACTGCACCTGGCCCCCATTCCTTTAAAAAAATTAATAAAAATAAATGAATATTCAGGTATTCTATTGTGCTCCCTTGGACATTCAAGACCAAACTCCCCCAGATAACTTATTTCCCCTTCTGGCACAACTGTAAGATCCATTTTTCCACCCTTGGGAGAATGCAGTATAAAGGTGTTTTGGAATTCTCTTCACATATTCAGAATCGTAGGTCATTCAGGCTTCTAGTAACGTGTTTAAGTATTTACCCCCACTAAATGTTTAACTATTGGTTAAAATTAAATTTGATATCCCACTAATTTGAAAACACACTGATGAAAACATGCATGTTTATGGAAGCTTAATTCATGGTTGCCAAAAACTAGATGCAACTAAGATTCCTTCCCTAAGTGAATGGATAAACAAATGGTGGAATACTATTCAATGAAAACATTATTCAGGCCAGGCATGGTGGCTTACACCTGTAATCCCAGCACTTTGGGAGCCTGAGGCGGGTGGATCATCTGAGGTCAGGAGTTCAAGATCAACCTGGCCAACATGACAAAACCCTGTCTCTACTAAAAATCCAAAAATTTGCCGCTCATGATGGTGGGCACCTGTAATCCCAGCTACTCAGGAGGCTGAGGCAGGAGAATTGCTTGAACCTGGGAGGTGGAGGTTGTAGTGAGCCAAGATCGCGCCACTGCACTCCAGCATGGGCAACAAGAGGGAAACTCCATCTCAACCAAACCAAACCAAATAAACAAACAAACAAAATTATTCAGCAATAAAAAGGAATATGTTATCAAGCCATGAGAAGATATGGATGATTCTGAAACGCACACTGCTAAGTGAAAGAAGCCAGCACTGAAAAGACTTAGAGACACTATATTTTTTCCATTTATATGATGTTCTGGAAAAGGCAAAACTATAGAGATTGTACACAGATCACTGGTTGCCAGAGACTTAGGGGGAAGAAGGAGAGCTGAGTGAGTAAAATGCATGCGATGTATTTGTGGGCAGAAACTATTCTGTTTGATACTGTAATGGTGGATCCTTGACACTACACATTTATTAAAACCCATAGAATTTTACAATGCAAAGAGTGAACCTTAATGTATGCAAATAGAAACAATCATTTAGAAGGTCAGGGGATCCCAGGATAGAATACAGATTATCATGAAAAAAAATTCTAAGTGAATTGCAAATGTATTAAACAACCTCATTAGAGAAGGTTGAAAGGAAATGGTGCTGACTCTAGAATTCTAGAAGAGAGCAGACACAAGGCCTAGCCTACAGCACTTGTGTGTGGGTGGCCCTTACCTTCCCAGGGCTGCTGGGTCAGTTGATCAGACCCACCTTTGGCACCCTGAGAAAAGCCTCTCCCCACACCCTCAGGAGGAGCCTTTGCCTTGTAAGTTAGCCAATTCCCCCAGGTGCCTCCAAGATCCTTTGCCTGCATGCTGGGCACGTCGTACGTACCAGTTCAGAATGTTTGCCCAGACTACAGCTACTCTAAGCTGTGCCAAAATCCTGCAATAGCTCCCTTTGGGTCCTGCAATAGTTTAGGGTGGGAAACCAAGGTCAAATTCAGCAGACGCACCCTCAGGCAGTGGTGGCTAAAGTACAGGTAGGTCAATAGACTGTGGTGCCCTTTCTAGACAGCATGTCATTTTATGCATTTAATTAGTAAGCCAAGGGTGGTGCAGAGACACATTCTCACAGGCTGTCAACTCAAACACCCTGTTCTCTGTGCCAATTGTTTTGAACTGTACTTGAGATTTGTTTTAATCAGGTAGAGTAAGATAACAAACATGGAGACATCTGCCTTGAAAGAAGTTTATTACTCACAGTCCCGAGAGGAGGGGGCACGACACACCAGGGCCACATGAGGAGCAGCAGGGACAGTCAAGATAAGGCAGGAGACCACTAGTACTCCTGCTGCCCTCCTCTCCCCACCTTGCCTAGTTCGCAAAACAGGAGGAGAAAAAAGCAAAAAGTTGGAAAAAAACAAAAGTAAGATAAACAGCCAGACAATCTTGGCACCACCACCCGGCCCTAGGAGTTAAAAAAAAGTAGTAATAATAACATCAACCCCTGACCTAAACTACTTGTGTTATCTGTAAATTCCAGACACTGTATGAAAAAAGCATTGTAAAACTTTTTGTTCTGTTAGCTGATGCATGTAGCCCCCAGTTGTATTTCTCATGCTTGCTTGATGTATCACGACCCTTTCACGTGGACCCCTTAAAGTTGAAAGCCTTTAAAAAGGCCAAGAATTTCTTTTTTGGAGAGCTCGGCTCTTAAGACGCGAGTCTGCCGACGCTCCCGGCCGAATAAAAACCTCTTCCTTCTTTAATCCGGTGTCTGAGGAGTTTTGTCTGCAGCTCGTCCTGCTACAAAGAGGCTGGAGAAGTTAGGGGAAAGCCTGGGTGAGAACCTTTATTTCTCTAATGGTGGAAAGTTGTTAGGTCAGGATGTCCATCCTCTATTGGGCAGAAAGCAAAACACAGATGTTTGGGGTTCATGGTTGAAGGGTTTGTTACACGATTTCTGTGCATCTGCAATATACAGAGATGGTAGGAATGTAAACAGCTTTGACTGCCAGTTTGGTCTATGACCACAAGATGCCAAATAATCAACTATAGGAAATAAAAAATAATTATTACAACATGATCCTGAAACAGAAAAATATTATGTAAAAACTAGGAAGAGGTGGATAAAGTATGAAATTTAGTTTATGATAATGTGTCAGTACCAATTCATCAATTGTAACAAATACACCATATTAATGTAATACAGTCACATACCACATTATGATGTTTAGGTCAATGGTGGACTGCATATACAATGGTGGTGCATCTATAAGATTATAAGAGTATAATAAGGCTGGGCACGGTGGCTCATGCCTGTAATCCCAGCACTTTGGGAGGCCGAGGCGGGTGGATCACCTGAGGTCAGGAGTTTGAGACCAGCCTGGCCAACATGGTGAAACTCCGTCTCCACTAAAAATACAAAAATTAGCAGAGTGTGATGGTGTGTGCCTGTAATCCCAGCTGCTCAGGAGGCTGGGGCATGAGCATTGCTTGAACCAGGGACGGGGAGGTTACAGTGAGCCAAGATGATGCCACTGCAATCCAGCCTGGGCAACAGAGTGAGACTCCATCTCAAAAAAAAAAAAAGAGTATAATGAAGCTGAAAAATTCCTATTTCTTAATGACATTGTAGCTGTTATAGTAGTGCCATTACTTTATTATTTTATAAATTTAACGTAACCTTAGCCTACAGTGTTTATAACATCTACAGTAGAGTACAGTAATGTCCTAGGCCTTCGCATTCAACCAACACTCACTCACTGCCTCACCCAGAGCAACCTTCAGTCCTGCATGCTCCATTCATGGTAAATGTCTTATATAGGTATATTTTCTTATTATTTATTTATTTTGAGACAGAGTCTTGCTCTCTCTCCAGGCTGGAGTGCAGTGGTGCGATCTCGGCTCAATGCAAACTCTGTCTCCCAGGTTCAAGTGATTCTCCTGCCTCAACCTCCTGAGTAGTTGGGATACAGGCACCTGACAACATGCCCAGCTAATTTTTGTATTTTTAGTAGAGACGGAGGTCTCACTCTGTTGCCCAGGCTGCTCTTGAACTCCTGACCTCAAGTGATCCACCCACCTCAGCCTCCCAAAGTGAGAGGATGACAGGTGTGAGCCACTGTGCCCGGCCTGGTCTACCATTTAAAAAAAATCATGTATAAAGTATTTTTACTGTTTCTTTTCTATGATTAGATATGTTTAGGTACATAGATACTTGTCGTTGCAGTTATCTTCGGTATTCAGTACGGTCGCATGCTGTACAGGTTTGTAGTCTGGGAGTAGTAGGCTCTACCATCTAGGTTTCTGTAAGTTCACTCTATGGTGTTCACATAATGATGAAATCGCCTACTGATACATTTCTCAGATTGTGTCTCTGTCATTAATTGGCACATGACTACATGTTAACAGTATGGAAAACGGGGGCAGGTTCAGTAGCTCATGCCTGTAATCCCAGCACTTTGGGAGGCAGAGGTGGGTGGATCACTG
Source organism: Homo sapiens (assembly GCF_000001405.40). Lineage (NCBI taxonomy): Eukaryota > Metazoa > Chordata > Mammalia > Primates > Hominidae > Homo > Homo sapiens. The sequence continues at coordinate 68,355,976 of NC_000007.14, forward strand.
CAACCTCCGCCTGGATCCACACCCAGTTTTCCCTACTTGTTTGTAGGGAAATGAGATCGCGCCACAGCACTCCAGCCTGGGACAGAGCAAGACTCTGTCTCAAAAAAAAAAAAAGCCAAAACTTATTTTACAAAATTAACTTTGAGAACAATCTATACATTTTAGTTATCTCCTCTAAGCTGTATTTACATTAGATCTGTGTGCTTTCATGGGAAGAATAAAAAGGAGGGAACAGATACTATCTCTTTCTAATGTTTATTCATTTCATTTATTGAATGCTGATTGAGCATCTGTCTATGTTCCTAGCCCTGTGCCAGGTAGGGTGTGGATAAAATAAAAGAAATATCCTAGGTTTTCTCTTAGGAAAATCCCTGACCAGGCGTGGTGGCTCATGCCTGTAATCTCAGCACTTTGGGAGGTGGAAGTGGGTGGATCACCTGAGGTCAGGAGTTTGAGATCAGCCTAAGCAACGTGGGAAAACCCTATGTCTACTAAAAATACAAAAATTGACCGGGTGTGGTGGCAGGAGCCTGTAATTCCAGCTACTTGGGAGGCTGAGGCAGGAGAATCGCTTGAACCCGTAAGGTGGAGGTTGCGGTAAGTTGATATTGCACCACTGCACTCCAGCCTGGGCGACAGAGCAAGAGTCCATCTCAAAAAATAAAATTTAAAAAAAGAAAATTCCAATTTAATGGAGGAGATTTACCCCCAAATCCCCAAATTGCCTCGCAAGGTGACGAGTGCAGTGTCAGGATTTTGTGCACAATACCTTTAGATATTCAAAGAAATGTCTGGAGGACTCCAGGAAAGCTTCTTATCAGAGCCAACATTGAAAGAGCACCTTGAAGGGTAAGGAACAATTTAAAAAGTGGAGGCCAGGAGCGGTGGCTCATGCCTGTAATCCCAGCGCTTTGGGAGGCTGAGGTGGGCAGATCATGAGGTAAGGAATTCGAGACCAGCCTGGCCAATATAGTGAAAACCCGTCTCTGCTAATAATACAAAAAGTTGCTGGACGTGGTGGCACGAGCCTGTAGTCCCAGCTACTCAGGAGGCTGAGGCAGAAGAATTGCTTGAACCTGGGAGGTGGAGGTTGCAGTGAGCTGAGATTGTGCCATTGCATTCCAGACTGGGAGGCAGAGGTTGCAGTGAGCCAAGATTGCGTCACTGCACTCCAGACTGGACAACAGAGTGAGACTCTGTCTCAAAAGAAAAAGAAAAGTGGAACAAGAGGAGAACAGGCGTGAGAACAAGGCTGGAGACAGATACGGGAACAAAGAATCATGATGTTTGAGAGACAGCATTGGACAAGAACATAGTGCTCATGGTTGGGAGTGGTAGAAGATGAAACTAGAAAAGAGTATAAGGACTCCAGCCTCTAGGAGACATTTAATGAATATCTGCTGCTTGGCTGATTGACTGAATAAATAAATAACTAGAAGCTGAAAAGCCTGGTGTGATTTGCAAGGAGTCTAGACTTTATTCTGTAGTCAACAGGGAACCATCTGAGGTTTTCAAGGCGGGGAATAACATGACGTGCTGATGGTTAGACTCTGGCTACTGAAGGTGTGGTTTACGGTTCAGTCATAGCAGTAGCAGCAGTATCACAGGAGTACTTATAGGAAACAGAGAACTCCAGGTTAGACCCAAGACTTAACTGCATTAAAATCTGCACTTGATCAAAATTCTCAGGTAATTCGTATGCATGGGCAAGTTCCAGGAGGGTGACTTTTAGAAAGATCATTTTGTTGGTAGATTTCAAAAAAAAACGTAGCTTTTTTTTAAATAAAAAAAATACCAAAAAAAGAAATAATGGGATGAAGGGAGAGAGAAAAAAGAGTGGGGAAAGAGAAGGGAGACCAAGAAAAGAGAAAGAAAAGAGAGAAAAAAATAGTGACTCACATAAACTGTATGGACAAACAGCATTGCTCTAACTGCTTTCTTCCACCTATCTCCTGGAAGCAGCATCAGTGTTTCTAATTAGAAGACTTCTGGCCTGGCGTGGTGGCTCACGCCTCTAATTCCAACACTTTGGGAGGCCAAGGTGGGTGGATCACCTGAGGTCAGGAGTTTGAGACCAGCCTGGCCAATATGATGAAACCCCATCTCTACTAAAAATACAAACAATTAGCCAGGCATGGTGGCGGGTGCCTGTAATCCCAGCTACTTGGCAGGCTGAGGCAGGAGAATTGCTTGAACCTGGGAGGCGGAGGTTGCAGTGAGCTGAGACAGTGCCACTCCACTCCAGCCTGGGCAACAAGAGCGAAACTCCGTCTCAAAAAAAAAAAAAAAAAAACCAAAAAGAAGAAGAAGAAGAAGACTTCCAGATGCTAGCCAGCCTCCAGAAGAGGGCTGTGTGGTTGCCCTTTGGAAGGGCTACCCTGGAACTGGGAGGGAGGGGAAGCCGAAATGAAACGGCTGGTGGCAGAGTGACAGGCAAACTTGTAACTCTTATTCCTGCTGCAAGCAAATGAAACATGCACTTAATTTCCAGGAAAGAGGCTGCTGGGGTGGCAGATGAGGGAAATGAAAGGCTCAGCAGGCCCCCATAATTCACACTCATTTTGTGTAGCCAGAACAGATGATGGGATGGCAGGGTAAAAATGTCCCCAGTTCTTGCTAGCACACTGCTGCGTTGAGGCCGGCCCCACCCCTCTGTCTCCCTCTGCCTACATGCCTAGGGCAGCCAAAAATCTGGGTTCGTGCAGGGAAAGAAAATGGAAATGTCCTGTTTTGCACATGCTCAGGGCTGCTCAGGCAGCTGGTGCAGACAAGTGACCCACTTCCACCACCTAAAATCTGTATTGTCTGCGCTGTTGGGTCGTCCTCCTCCGAGCGACACTCATTGTGATCTATTCTATTTACCCACAAATGCTGAATTTACTTCTGAGGAGCGATGCATGATAATGATATCACTGTGTCGAAGACTTTTATTTGAGATGAAAGACTAAACAGAGTCTGGCTTGTCTGATTAGTGCCTGAAGTTCTGAGATTATTCACAGAATAGAGGCAGGGATTTATTGGGGGATTTTGTTCTTTCCATCCCCTACATGATTGGGTTACTGAGAGCTAAGCTCATCTTCCATTGAAGCCTGGTATCTGGTAGTCAGTCATCTGCTCTGTGTCAGGCACGTTCACATACATATTTTTTTTCCTTAAAACTTCTCATGATGACCGGGCAGGGTGGTTCACGCCTGTAATCTCAGCACTTTGGGAGGCCGAGGCAGGCAGATCACTTGAGGTCAGGAGTTCGAGACCAGCCTGGCCAACATGGTGAAACCCCTTCTCTACTAAAAATACAAAAATTAGCCGGGCTTGGTGGTGCGTGCCTGTAATCCCAGCTTCTCGAGAGGCTGAGGTAGGAGAATTGCTTGAACCCGGGAGGAGGAGGTTGCAGTGAGCCGAGATCGCACCACTGCACTCCAGCCTGGGCGACAGAGTGAGAGTCTGTCTCAAAAACACACACACACACACACACACAAAAAAGAAAAACAAACAAACAAAAAAACTTCTCATGAGCTTCTCTTGCCCTCATGAGCACATTGTAAGATGGTTTTCTTTTCCCTGTTTTACAGACAGGGAAATTGAGGTTGACAGCCAACTAGGAGCCTAGTCAGAATTCTGTCTAGGACTCTGCTCTTTTCTCGGTACAATTAGTTACTATGTTAATTTAGAATCCAAATCCTTTAGCAGACACCATCCAGGTTCCCTGAAATAATATTCTCCCAACTACCAATCTTCACCCATGTGATGTTAATTTAATGTGTCAAATTGACTGAAATACGAGATGCCCAGATAGCTGGTTAAACATTATTTCTGGGTGTGTTTGTGGGGGTGTTTCCAGAAGAGATTCACATTGGAATTGGTGGACTAAGTAAAGCAGATGGCCCTCTTCAATGTGAGTGGACATCATCCAAGCCATGGAGGCCCTGAATAGAAGAAAAAGGTAGAGGAAGGTTGAATTAACTCTGTGTGACTTTGAGCAGGACATTGATCTTCTCCTGCCCCCTGTGCTCCTGGTTCTCAGGCTTTTAGACTCAGAATGAAATCTATACCTTTGGCTCTCTGGCTCTCAGGTCTTCAAACGACACCAACAACTTTCCTGGGTCTCCAGCTTGTACATGTGAGACTTTTCAGCCTCCATCATTACATGAGCCAATTCCTTTTCATGTATCTATATATATGGTCCTTGACTCATACAACCCAAAAGGGTGTCAAGTTTCTTATAATAACACTGATACATCATGTTTGTCAGAGCTTTGCACTTTTTTTCCCCCCTCTCTGTCACCAGGCTGGAGTGCAGTGGCGTGATCTTGGCTCACTGCAACCTCCGCCTCCTAGGTTCAAGCAATTCTCTCCTGTCTCCGCCTCCCCAGTAGCTGGAACTACAGGCTATAGGCACGTGCCACCATGCCTGGTTAATTTTTGTATTTTTAGTAGAGATGAGGTTTCACCATGTTGGCCATGATGGTCTTGATTTCTTGACCTCATGATCTGGCTGGGCCTCCCAAAGTGCTGGGATTACAGGCGTGAATCACTGCGCCTGGCCACTTTGCACTTTTTGAACTGTGTATCACATCTAGTCTCATTTAATAATCAAGATTGTATCATAAGGTCTACAGAGCTAGATTAGTATTCCTTTGTTTGGAGAGAGGGACTGAGAATCCCAGAGAGCATTAGAAGCATTAGAAGCAACATGATGTGGAGAGAAGAGGTTGGCTGAAGGACTCAGGAGGCATCAGGCACCTCGCCTCCCTACCTGTGTGCATTTGCACATGACCTCACTCACCAGAAATTGAAATGTGTAGCCTAGAATTAACCAGAAATTGAACTGGAAAAAAATACTTGGTGCCTTTGAAAAGCTGAAAATTGCCACAAGGAAGAAACAATTGTATATGTGTGTGCGTGCGCGTGTGTGTTCTAGAAGGCATATGACAAGTGAGAGAGTTCAGCCACTGACTAGGTTCCCAATGAATGCCAGTCACCTCCCAGCTCAAATAGAGTTGATTAAATTCAAAGATAAAAGCGCTGAGTGGAGTGTGTTAACAATTTTTTTTTTTTTTTTTTTTTGTAGAGATGGAGTCTTACTCTGTCGCCCAGGCTGGAGTGCAATGGCACAATCTCTGCTCCCTGCAACCTCTGCCTCCTGGGTTCAAGTAATTCTCCTGCCTCAGCCTCCCGAGTAGCTGGGACTACAGGTGCATGCTGCCATGTTCTTTTGTATTTTTAGTAGAGATGGGGTTTCTCCGTGTTGCCCAGGGTGGTCTTGGACTCGTGAGCTCAGGTAATCCACCCACCTCAGCCTCCCAAAGTGCTAGGATTACAGGCGTGAGCCACCAAGCCCAGCCAACAAAAACATTTTTTAAAAAGTAAAATTTTTAAAGAGATTTATTCTGAGCCAATATGAGTGACCATGACCAAGAGAACAGTTTCAAGAGGTCCTGAGAAAGTGTGCCCAGGGCTGTTGAGTTACAGTTTGGTTTCTTGGTTTGTTTTTTTTGTTTTTTGTTTTCTGGTTTTTGAGACGAGTCTCAGTCTGTCATGCAGGCTGGAGTGCAGTGGCCTGATCTCAGCTCACTGCAACCTCCACCTCCCAGGTTCAAGTGATTCTCCTGCCTCAGCCTCTCAAGTGGCTGTGATTACAGGTGAGCGTCACCACACTCAGCTAATGTTTGTATTTGTAGTAGAGACGGGGTTTCACCATGTTGGGTAGGCTGGTCTGAATCTCCTGACAGGCAATCCACCTTCCTCAGCCTCCCAAAGTGCTGTGATTACAGGCGCGAGCCACCACACCTGGCCCTATACAGCTTGGTTTTATACATTTTGTGGAGATAGAAGTTATAGGCAAAGACATAGATCAATATATGTAAGGTATACATTGGTCTGGCCCAGAAAGACAGGACATCTTAAGGCAGGCACATACCAATCATATGTAGATTCTAAGATTTTCTGATTGGCAATTGGCTGAAAAGAGTTAAGTTTTGTCTAAAGACTTGAAGTCAGTGGAAAGAAATGCTAGAGTTAGGATAAGGAAGAACTGGAAGCCAGGATTGTAGCCTTCAGACAGAATAGATGGTAAGTGTCCCTTTTTGGATCTTAAGAGGTGTCAGACTTTGAGTTAATCACTTCTAGATTCAGGAAAGGCCTGGCTGCATTAATGGAGATTCTCTACAGATACAAATATCCCCCATAAAATATGGCTTTATGGGGCCATCTTAAAATATGACAGGCGGGGCGCAGTGGCTCACGCCTGTAATCCCAGCACTTTGGGAGGCCGAGGTGGGCAGATCATGAGGTCAGGAGTTCGAGACCAGCCTGACCAACATGGTGAAACCCCATCTCTACTAAAAATACAAAAATTAGCCAGGCATGGTGGTGCGCACCTGTAATCTCAGCTACTCAGGAGGCTGAGGCAGGAGAATCACTTGAACCTGGGAGGCGGAAGTTGCAGTGAGCTGAGATTGCTCCGCTGCACTCCAGCTTGGGTGAAGGAGTGAGACTCCGTTTCAAAATAAAATAAATAAAATAAAATAAAATAAGACAAAGAAATAAATTTGGGGGTAAAATATTTGGATTTTCTTCAGGGTCTGCTATCTGTCATGTAATGCTAACCAGAGTCAGGTTAGAATTTGGTACCTTACTTCAGTAAAGTGTCTGTTTGGTCAGTCCTAGGATCTCTATTTTAATGTTACTGCTGGTGAGTTGTGCCTACATCCAAAAGGAGAGGAAGTATAAAGAGGCTTGCCAAACCTCCCTTCCCATCATGGCCTGGAATTCAGTTTTTCAGATTTCTCTGGGGTCCCTCCTTGGCCAAGTCGGGGTGTCCATCCAATTGGTTGGAACACTTAAGATTTTATTTTTTGCATGCAAGTGTATTGCAAGAACTGGGAGGACCTGACAAAGCAACCATTTATCAGGGCACTATTCGCCTGAAGATTTCATAAGCTTTGTGGGTAGAAAGCTCTTGGGACAATGGTCATCCAAGACTAAGATTCTTAAACCAGTTGGAGAGTAGAGCACCTCCCCTACACTGCTCGCCTGGACAATATAATAAAAATGCTAGTCATGGGACTCAGACCTGAGAAGATTGTTGGTTGTTGGTTAGGAGGACACATTTTCAGGCATTTGCCATCTCTTCTGAAGGGAATTGATTCAAGATCCTAAAGAGAGTGATCGTAAGACCCTAGGAAACTCAGAAAGGGTGTACAAGAAACTGGGTGAGCAGAGCTATCCATCACAGTGGCCTCTAAGGAGGTATGCACCACAGCTAGGCAGAGGGCCATTGCCTACCCCAGTGTGAACAATTGGCATGCAGAAGCTGCAAAAAGCATGTGGCAGTAACATCGACTCAGCCTACTGTGGTGAAAGGTCGCATGAGACCATGCATTGGCGAGGACAGGAAAAGAGGAAAAGGCACAGTGGGAGTGTCCAGCTGTGACCTTGGAGCAGTTGAAGAGGCAGGAGTGGCTCAGGCTAGGAGGTAGGGAAGAGCTGGGTGGGATCAGTGATAGCTAGAGAATTTCAGTGACCTCCTGAAATTCAGGAGTGTAAGCTGCTCTGCGATACCTGAAGGTGGAAGTCATAGAAGGGGCTGAGAGATCAGAAGTTTCCTCTTTCTACCTGACTATATCTTACTCAACCTTTGAAATCCAGTTCCAAGGACACTTCTCAAAGTGTTTTTTTTTATTTTTTTATTTTTTAGAACTGGGTCATCTTCTTTCAAACTCCCCAAGCTCCCAGAGCTCTTAACCTTATTGCAATATTATCTTCTGTCTTGTACTTTGGCTGTCTTTGGTCTTATTTTCCCTGTTAATTTTTCTAGACCATAAATCCCTGTGTTAGGTTCCTTTCTCCTTTTTACATTAGGTATCTCCTAGATCCTACACTTATTAAGAGAAGAGACCGTGTTTCAGAATCTTGCCCACAACCTGGCCAGAATGCTTCACAACTTAATGACATGGTGATTCTTTTCTTCTCCTCTTCCTCTTCCTCCTCCTCCTCCTTCTTCCTCCTCCTCCCTCCTCCTCCTCCCTCCTCCTCCTTCGCCCTCCTCCTTCTTCTTTTTCTCTGCTTCTTCTTTTTTTTTGAGACAGCGTCTCACTCTGTTGCCCCAGCTAGAGTGCAGTGGCACGATCTCAGCTCACTGCAACCTCCGCCTCCTGGGATCAAGCGATTCTCCTGCCTCAGCCTCCTGAGTAGCTGGGACTGCAGGCACGCACCACCACACCCAGCTAATTTTTGTATTTATAGTAGAGATGGGGTTTCACCATATTGGCCAGGCTGGTCTCGAACTCCTGACCTCGTGATCCGCCCACTTCGGCCTCCCAAAGTGCTGGCATTACAGGCGTGAGCCACCACACCTAGCTTCTTCTTCTTTCCTCTTTCTTCTTTCTTCTTCTCCTCATGACCTGTCCACCTCGGCCTCCCAAAGTGCTGGGATTACAGGCGTGAGCCACAGCACCTGGCTTCTTCTTCCTCCTCCTCCTCCTCCTCTTCTCCTTCTCCTCCCCCTCCTTCTTCTTCTCTTCTTCTTTTCTTCTTCTTCCCCTTCTTCCTCTTCTTCTTCTTCCTCTTTCTCTTCCTCTTATTTTTTATTTTTATTTTTTGGAGACAGAGTCTTGCTTTGTTCCCCAGGCTGGAGTGCAGTGATGTGATCATAGCTCACAGTAGCCTAGACCTCCTGGGCTCAAACAATCCTCCCACCTCAGCCTCTCAAGTAGCTGGGATTACAGGCACACAATGCTATGCCCAGCTAATTTATTTTATTTTATTTTTTGTAGAGATGGGGTCTCACTGTGCTGCCCAGACTGGTGTTGAGCTCCTGACCTCAAGTGATCCTCTCACTTCAGCCTTCCAAGTACTGAGATTCCAGGTGTGAACTACCATGACAAGCCATGATATTGTTTTTGAATGAATGAATGAATGCCTAATGAAGGAAGTCAGATGGAGACCAGATTAGGGAAGAGAATGGAGTGTTCTCGTTGGTTCTCCAGGAAAGAAATCACTGTGGCTTTGACTCCACTGCAGCCTTATTTTCCCAGGAGGCGTCAAGTCTCACTCCTATTGAGAGAGCCAAGAGATGGAGGGAGGGAGACAGCCAGTGCCTGTGGATCAGTCCACATCAGAGGAAATGCTCTTGACAGGGTCAACATGGTGCCTGGCAGGCATGGCCATGGGTACTTGTCATTCCCAAGGCATTCCCATGAATTAGAAGCAGAGGACGCAGGGAAAGAAACTCATCCCAGAGGCTAGGGATGGAGGGAAAAACACTCATCTGGGAGGCTAGAGGATGGAGGGAAGGGGAGGGGAGCACTGTGGCCGGAGACAGCACCTAGGCTAACTAATTAAACCCTTTGGTATCTGGGCCCTCCAGCACAAGCAGATTATCACTGCTGAATCAGCTTCCTGCCAAGACGAGACTCACACTCTTTTTTTTCCTGCTTGATTTGCTTAATGGAAGCTGACAGTGAAGTTCAACCCTGATTGTCAGATTTCAGTAGGAACCTCAAGGGGGGAGAAGAAGGCAGACATTTGAGGAATTAAAAATAGCACACATAATGAGATCCTTTATTTAGCTGAACCACTTCTTTAATATTTCACTTCTCTCTCTCTTGTACACACACACACATACAGAGTTGTGCACACAAACATCTGATTTTCACTTAGGCTGGAGGCCTTGCCAGAGTCCTGTGGGGAAGCCAGAACATTCATCTTAGATAGTAGAAATCTGCAAAAGAGGAGGTCCTTTTTTTTTTTTTTTTTGAGACAATATCTCGCTGTCACCCAAGCTGGAGTGCAGTGGCATGATCTCGGCCCCCTGCAACCTCCACCTCCTGGATTCAAGTGATTCTTGTGCCTCAGCCTCCCACGTAGCTGGGATTACAGGTGTGCACCACCACGCCTAGCTAATTTTTTTTTTGTATTTTTAGTAGAGACAGGGTTTCGCCATGTTGGCCAGGCTGGTCTTGAACTCCTGACCTCAAGTGATCCGCCCACCTCAGCCTCCCAAAGTGCTGGGATTACAGGTGTGAGCCACCAGGCTGGGCCCAGGAGCTGATTTTAACCAATTAGGTCACTGCATTCCACACAGAGTTTAGAAAGAAACAGGCTACAGGGCAGGAGGCTGTGAAATAGGCTGATTGCTCAAGTTGAGTAAAGTCCCTGGAGCCCCTCCCTGTTGGCTTACAGCACTATCAATATCTAAGGGCTTCACATGTATTAATTTGTGTAAACCTCATCACAGCCCTGTGAGATGCAGATACTCATGTCCCCACCTTACAGATGAGGCAACTGAGGCACCAAAGAATTAAGTACCTTGCTGCAAGTTGTCACAATGAATACATGCTGAACCTGCACTACACACTTTTGACACCAAACTTGTGTGGGTTTTCCACACCCAACAATTCTCCAGTTTTCTGTGGATACCAGTTGGGTGGTTCACATGGGTTTACTACATTTGTTGATTTATTATAAGAGATTTATTTTATTATTTTATTTCAGTAGTTTTTGGAGAGCAGGTGGCTTTTGGTTACATGGATAAATTCTTTTTCTTTTACTTGAGATTCTGGGATACATGTGCAGAACTTGTAGGTTTGTTACACAGGTATACATGCGCTGTGGTTGTTTGCTGCACCTATCAACCCATCATCTGGGTTTTAAGCCCCGCATGCATTAGGTATTTGTCCTAATGCTCTCCCTCCCCTAGCCCCCCACCCCACAACAGGCCCCAGCGTGTGATGTTCCCCTCCCTGTGTACATGTGTTCTCATTGTTCAACTCCCACTTATGAGTGAGAACATGCGGTATTTGGTTTTCTGGTCCTGTGTTAGTTTGCTGAGAATGATGGCTTCCAGTTTCATCAATGTCCCTGCAAAGGACATGAACTCATTCTTTTTTATGGCTGCAATGGACAAATTCTTTAGTGGTGATTTCTGAGATTTTGGTGCACCCGTCACCTGAGTAGTGAGCCAATGTGTACACTGTATCCAATGTGTAGTGTTTTATCTCTCACCCCTCTCCCACCCTTTCCTCTGAATTCCCAAAGTCCATTATATCATTCTCATGCCTTTGTGTCCTCATAGCTTATCTCTCACTTACAAGTCAGAACATACGATATTTGGTTATTTGGTTTTGCCTTCGTGAGTTACTTCACTTAGTGAATAATGGTCTCCAACTTCATCCAGGTTGCTGTGAATGTCATTATTTCATTCATTTTCATGGCTGAGTAGTATTCCATGGTGTATATATAACACATTTCCTTTATCCACTCATTGATTGATGGGCATTTAGGTTAGATCCGTATTTTTGCAACTGCGAATTGTACTGCTATAAACATACTTGTGGGAGTGTCTTTTTTATATAATGATTTCTTTTCCTTTGGATAGATATCCAGTAGTGAGATTGCTGGAACAAACGGTAGTTTTGCTTTTAGTTCTTCAAGGAATCTCCATACTGTTTTCCATAGTGGTTTTACTAGTTTACATTCCCACCAGCAGTGTAAAAGATAAAAATGAAGAGTAGATGAAGAGGTACCTAGGGCAACGTCTGGAAGGGTTCTGGGAACCGGAGCTTCTATCCTCATGTAGTTGGGATGCACCACCCTCCAAGAACATAGAACCCTTCATCAACTCAGAAGTTCTCTGGATCTCACAGTTAAGGGACCTTATGGGGGCTTTGTAACATAGGTTTGATCAATTATTATTAACTTAATCTCTAGCCTCCCTCCCTTCCCTAGAAGAGAGAAGTAGAGCTGAAAGTTCCAAGCTTCTAATCATGGGCTGGTCGTTCCCTAGTGGCCAGCCCCCATCTTAAAGCTCTCCAGGAGCCCACCAAGAGTTGACTCATTAGAATCAAAGATGCCGTTATCACCCAGGAAATTTGAAGGGATTTAGGAGCTCTGGGTAAGATGCTTCTTTCACCCCTATCACTCAGGTAATTGCAAGGGTTTAAGGAGTTCTGTGTCAGGAACCAGGGACAGAGACCATGTCTATGTTTCTTATTGTGCTATGGTGTTCACCACAGAACACTAGGTACAGGACAGGCAGGGAGGTAAAAAGAAGAAAACCCAATTAATGACTCAAGGAACTTGAACTTACTACTCTCTGTTGACCTGTTTATATGCTGCTAATGTGGCCATGTTTGGGAACCACACAGATCACCACTTGAGATGCCTGCATTTCTCACCGTGGACATCTTCATGGTTCTGTTGGTCTCTCCACCACAGATAAATCTCCACTCTTATTTTTAGGATTCTGAACTCAAAGTAGCCCTGGCAAACTCACCTACTCTCTTCCTTCCCCACTGATATAGTTTGGCTCTGTGTCGCCACCCAAATCTCATCTCCAATTGTAATCCCCATGTATCCAGGGAGGGACTTGGTGGGAGGTGATTGGATCATGAGGGTGGTTTCCCCCATGCTGTTCTTGTGATCCTGAGTGAGTTCTCACAAGATCGGATGGTTTAAAGTGTTTGACAATTCCCTCCCACCCCCTCCTGCCACCTTGTGAAGAAGGTGCTTGCTTCTCCTTCACCTTCCGCTATGATTGTAAGTTTCCTGAGGCCTCCCCAGCCATGCAAAACTGTGAGTCAATTAAACCTTTTATCTTTATAAATTACCCAGTCTTAGGTAGTTCCGTATAGCAGTGTGAAAATGAACTAATACACCCACCCTATGAAAAGGACAATTTTCATACACATTTACATTTGTGATTATTGAGAAAAAATTTGTAAATTCACCCTCTACTCATTGTTATGCAAAGCCACCAAGCCGCCCACTTTTTCAAGTGTATCTGAGTGATGTTTAATTAACACAAATATTTAACTGTATTTCCAAGAAGCAGGCATTATTTTTATTATTCATCAGTTTCCAATTGTCCATGGAGTGGTAACTTTCAAGACAGAACAAATAATAATAATCATGACAGGAAGAATTTCCCAATCTTTGCTCACTTCATGTTCCATCTGCTCCACTACCAAAGTGACTAGGAAATTGGCCAGAGGGCTGGGGATAAGACGCCAATAGCAAGAGAAGTCCCACTCAGTGAAACCAGTGGGACCCAACCAGCTCCTCACCTGTCAGTCAAGCTCACTACCTCCCTGCTTCTCCTATGCCTAGTATTCTATGGTGAGCACTATGGCACAATGAGAAACATAGATATGATCTCTGTCCCTGGTTCCTGAAACAGAACTCCAGAAATGTTTGTAGTTTCTTGAGTGATGAGGGTGATAGAAACATCTTACCCAGAGTTCCTAAATCTCTTCAAATTTTTGGGGTAATAAGAGCATCTTTGGTTCTAATGAGGCAACCCTTGGTCAACTTATGGAGAGCTTTAGGATCACGACTGGTCACTAGAAAGCCTAAGCCATGGTTAGAAGCTTGGGATTTTCAGCTTCATTCCTACCCTCCAAGGAGGGGAGAGGGGCAGGAGAGTAAGTTAACAATAATGATCAAACCTATGTGATGAAGTCTTCATAAAGTCATTCAACACCTATCACAGCTTCTACTTTCTCCCTACCATAGAATTGAACTGATCACCACCAACACTGCTACAGAGATCCCAGAGGAATGCAAATAAAATTAAGAGAATGTACATGCCCAGCTCTTAGGGAGGTGGAAGTGGTAAGATCGCATGAGCCCAGGAGTCCGAGAGCTGACTGGGTAACATAGCAAGATCCTGTTTTTCACAAAAAGGAGGAAAAAAAAAAAAGAAAAAGAAAAGAATGTACACACAAAAGAGAAAGAAAGAAGGGGCATGGATGTGGGGGGGCTGTTGTTAGTTGTTGAGGGGGTCTCAATGCATGCAAGAAGATGAACGTCAGATGAAAGTACATGGATGGATACAACAGAAACATCCCCAGCCCAGAATATGCTAAAGAAGAGATGTCATGGTGTGGGAACTTGTCTCCTGGGAAGAGCTCAGGACATACCCTAGACTAGAGGTCTGGGAGAATAGAGGTTGAGAGTGAGAGGGGGAGCCTAAGCAAAGAACTGAATTGAGCATGTATTTGTTCTCCAAACAGATACTCCACTTAGGGCTCCACTCTATGCTTTGTTCTTCATAGAGTAGAAACTAGTGAGGTTCCAGGATAGAACCCAGGAAGCAGATGGACTGAGATGGAGAAAAAAACTTGGGAGGTTCCAGGAAAGTTTTTTTCCAGTAAGCAAATTGGGGCCAGGCACCTGGCTCACACCTGTAATCCCAGCACTTTGGGAGGCCGAGGTGGGTGGATCACAAGGTCAGAAGTTCGAGACCAGCTTGGCCAATATGGTGAAACCCCATCTCTACTAAAAATAAAAAAATTAGCCGGGTGTGGTGGCAGGTGCCTGTAAATCCCAGCTACTTGGGAGGCTGAGGCAGGAGAATCGCTTGAACCTGGGAGGTGGAGGTTGCAGTGAGCTGAGATTGCGCCATTGTACTCCATCCTGGGCGACAGACTGAGACTCCATCTTAAAAAAAAAAAAAAAAAAAAGAAACTGGATGCTCCCCAATAGCTGGAATTATTGACAGACTGGATAATTTTGGAGATATGGCAAAGACGTAATAGAATTTTACTAACAAGAAAAGGGAGGAAAAAAAGGAAGGATAAAGGAAGGTAGGAAGGAACTTCAAGTTGGAGGGAAAACCAGAATACGAATCTCAGGACTAAATATAAAGCAAAATAAACCAGGAGTGTTTCTGAGCCATGAATAGTGTTTAAAAAAAAGAGCGAAATCAATTTGATATGCATGATAAGAACATTTATTCTTGAGAGGCATTAACCCTTCAAAAGGAAATGTAACCCTAGATTACTATCTGGCTCTGCAATCTGAGAAATTGACGTAGTCATGATAAGTGAATGTTTTTGTTGTTTTTCCTTTCGTTGTTTTTGTTGTTGTTGTTGTTTTGTTTTGGATAGGTTTGGTTTTCAAGATTTAGAATTAATCTATGGGAAAAATAAAGAAGTTCTCTTTTTGGTTATGAGGCACAATTGCATTTGTGTTTTCCATCTTAATAGTGTAAAAACTGTGATTTTATTTCTTAAAAGAAGTTGGAGAACAGAGAGAAGGATAGAATCAAGGAGAGAAAGGGATGTGATTGCTAAAAGCCTCAACTTTGATGGTCTGGAGTCAGCACTCCTCTAAAATTGAGACAAGAAAAAACAAAAGTTTAAATATGTTATTTAAAATTGTAAGGGGTAACCATGAAAATAACTACAAAATATAAATATAAAAAAGTAAGGCCGAGTGTGGTGGCTCACACCTGTAATCCCAGCACTTTGGGAGGCTGAGGCAGGCAGATCACCTGAGGTCAGGAGTTTGAGACCAGCCTGGTCAACATAGTGAAACCCTGTCTCTACTAAAAATACAGAAATTAGCCGGGCATGGTGGTGGGCACCTGTAGTCCCAGCTACTCAGGAGGCTGAGGCAGGAGAATAGCTTGAACCCGGGAGGTGGAGGTTGCAGTGAGCTGAGATCATGCCACTGCACTCCAGCCTGGGCAACAGAATGAGACTTCAGCTCAAAAAAAAAAAAAAAAAGTAGGACTGAAAGAGTTTTGGGGGCACAGCATGGATCTATTCCAGGGAATGTTGTTTTACTGTTGTATTCTATAGAAAGTAAAGGCAGGGACCCTGGAGGTAAGGGACCAACATTTTCCTCTTCTATATCAGAGAGTCTGCATATAATCTTTATGGTTGATAAATCACAAAATATTGGTGTTAGTATATTATTTGCAAGAGAAACAGAAACAGGAGTTAAAAGTTGTAATTTCTATCAAAGGAGAAGCCTGTTTCTTTGTTGTTAAAGACTTTTTGAACTCTGATGTTTTTATAGGTACATTTGATTTTTTCATTAAAATTTAAATTTCAAAAATTAAAAGGTCATTCTAGCAACAAAATGTAAAAGAAAATAACAATGTGAGCATTACATTCTCTCCTGGGAAACTGTGACTTAGCTGAAGATAACAGATTCATCTGCTTTAGACCAAATTTGAGAATCTTAAATTTTGCACACGACTTGGATTTTCATAAATTAATAAAAATGCACCAGTGACTCTTGCACTTTACTTTTGACCTCGGTCTCACTGCGTGGGTGACATGCTTTTGCAGAATCTTCTCATGCCTGTTCCAAGGCACCATGCAGTCAGCTTATCAAATAACCCTCCATTTGGTCTCCCTCATAAATCACACCCAGAGCCCCATCACGTAGGAGACACTCATTTTTCTGCTCCTGTTCCTTTCCCATGTAAGATCCTGACCTTCAGATATCATATAAGTTCATCTCATACAGAGGCTTCCCGTCTGATTTTAATTCCCTTCCCTCCCTGCTTCCTGCAATTATTCCCCACTGCCCACTCGCGCCTGCTACAGTCATCGGCAAGACCATCTCTGATTCTCTTTCTTTTATTTCTTCCAAGGCCAGTCAGATAGCAGCCTTCAAAGCCACAGCGATGGCAAAGAAAGAGAAACAGCTAAGAAATGCAGCTGGTGATGCAGGTATTACTTCCTTTCTATTATAGACAAGAAATCAAACTTTGTAAAAGTTAGGCACCTGCTCTGGTCACACTGCTGCTATGGAAATGCTTAGTTTGCTAGATCCAGTTTTTCTTTTTAAAGAGACAGGGTCTCACTAAGTTTCCCAGGCTGGTCTGGAGCTCCTGGGCTCAAGCAATCCTCCTGCCTCAGCCCCTCAAAGTGCTGGGATTATAGGAGAGAACCACCACGCCCAGCCCCTAGGTCCAAATTTGAAATCATGTCTATCTAACTTCTTGTGTCTTTTAAAAATATAAACCCACAGTGCAATTCCTTTGTGGCTAGCTTTTAACATAAGGTAACTGACATTGAATAACAAAATGGAGTAGAATATTGCTGTATTTTTTATGTAAATTTTTTATTTCCATAGGTTTTTGGGGAACAGGTGGTATTTGGTTACATGGATACGTTCTTTAGTGGTGATTTGTGAGATTTGGGTGCACCCATAGCCTGAGCAGTATATACTGAACCCAATTTGTAGTCTTATCCCTCATCCCCTTCCCACCCTTTCCCCCGTGTCCCCAAAGTCCATTGTATCATTCTTATGCCTTTGCATATGCATCCTCATAGCTTAGCTCCCACTTATGAATGAGAACATGCAATATTTGGTTTTCCATTCCTGAGTTACTTCACTTAGAATAGTAGTCTCCAATCCCATCCAGGTTGCTGTGAATGCCATTAATTCACTCCTTTTTATGGCTGAGTAGTATTCTGTCATATATATGCCACAGTTTCTCTATCCGCTCGTTGATTGATGGACATTTGGGTTGGTTCCACTTTTTTTTTTTTTTTTTTGAGACAGAGTCTTGCTCTGCTGCCCAGGCTGGAGTGCAGTGGCGTGATCTCGGCTCACTACAAGCTCCGTCTCCCGGGTTCAGGCCATTCTCCTGCCTCAGCCTCCCAAGTAGCTGGGACTACAGGCACCCGCCACCAAGCCCGACTAATTTTTTGTGTTTTTAGTAGAGACGGGGTTTCACCGTGTTAGTCACGATGGTCTTGATCTCCTGACCTCGTGATCCGCCCACCTCGGCCTCCCAAAGTGCTGGGATTACAGGTGTGAGCCACCGCGCCCAGCCGGTTCCACATTTTTGCCATTGCGAATTGTACTGCTATAAACATGCATGTGCAAGTATCTTTTTCATATAATGACTTGTTTTCCTCTGGGTGGATAAACAGTAGTGGGATTGCTGGATCGAATGGTAGTTCTACATTTAGTTCTTTAAGGAATCTCCGCACTGTTTTCTGTAGTGGTGGTACTAGTTTAAATTCTAACCAACTGGCTTGTAGAAAATCAGCAACTTGGAGCTGGTACCACATGTTGGGAATGAGAAAAAAATCCAGGATTCTTTTATGGATCTGGGGTCTGATCTTGGTTCTATGAGCAATTAACGCATTTTGTTTGCATTTTTCTCATTTATAAAACAAGATGGTTTACTGGATAATCATTAAGTTCTCTTCCGACCCTGAATAATTTATATTCCAGAAAGAAATAAAGCCCATTAAGGTAATTTTCAAGTTCAGATATCTTGCAAATCACTGAGGTGAATGCGGTGGAAAAGTGGATTTAACGTTAAATAGTAAGACAATAATTTAACTAAAAATAAAATCTTCATATTCTAACACAAAGCTTGATATTGTCCAGTATGAAATGGATTTAAGGTACTGTAGTGTATTCATCTGCTTGGAGTGCCATAGCAAAAAGCCACAGGCGGGGTAATGTACAAGAAACAAAAATTTATTTCTCACAGTTCTGGAGGCTGGGAAGTCCATGACCATGGTGCCAAAAATGTAGGTTTTATTCTAGGACATCTTGTCTTGGTTCCTGGGTAACCGCATCTCACTGCCCACTCACATACTTTCTGGGATAAAGACATCTCTCTGGTCTTTCTTCCTTTCTTTCCTTCCTTCCTTCCTTCCTTCCTTCCTTCCTTCCTTCCTTCCCCTTCCTTCCGTCCTTCTTTCCTTCGTTTCTTTCTTTCTTTCTCTCTCTCTCTCTTTCTCCCTCTCTCTCTCTTTCTCCTTCCTTCCTTCCTTTCTTCCCCTTCCTTCCATCCTTCTTTCCTTCCTTTCTCTCTCTCTTTCTTTCTCTTTCTTTCTCCCTCTCTCTCTCTTTCTCCTTCCTTCCTTCCTACCTTCCTTCCTTCCTTCTTTCCTTTTCTTTCCGTCTTTCTTTGAATATCGAGAGGCAAAGATGATGTGTCTTCTTATAAGTTCACTAATTCTATAGAATCAGGGCCCTACCCTTGTGATTTCACTCAACCTCAACTACTTCCTTAGAGGCCCCACCTTCAATTACAGCCATACTGGGGGTTGGAACTTCAACATATGAATGTTGAGGGCACACAAACATTCGATCCATAACACAGAGCATCAGAAGATAGTGGCATGGGCACATCAGATTTGAATTGCTAAATTATTTCTCCTAAGAAGAGTGGGGAAAAAAAAGGCTGGGCGTGGTGGCTCATGCCTATAATCCCAGCATTTTGGGAGGCTGAGGTGGGCAGAAAACTTGAGCCCAGGACTTCCAGACCAGCCTGAGCAACATGACTAAACCCAGTCTCTACAAAAAACACAGAAATTAGTTGAGCATGATGGCACACAGCTGTAATCCCAGCTACTCCTAGGGAGGCTGAGGTGGGAGAATCATCTGAGCCCAGGAAGGTTGAGTTTTCTGTGAGCTGAGATTGTGCCATTGCACTCCAGCCTGGGTGACAACAGGGAGATTCTGTCTCAAAAAAAAAAAAAGGGAAAAAAAAGTGAAGAAAATACCCTTGTATAAACTTTAAGTCCAAAATAATACAGAGCTATGCTGTCTCAGATTTTAGAATGCATAAGGAACATCTACAGAGATTGCTTAAACATATAATTTACTGTGAAATTAGCTCTCGGATTGCTTGTGACCAGAGCAAAAAAGAAAACATGCCGGTTATATACCTTCCAGTGTCCATAAGGAGGTTTTATATGGATCCTTTATGGGAACTAAATTTTTGCCATTAATTAATTCTAAAATAAATGTATCATCTTTACGTCAATGAGAAATGAATGAACGGTGCTCTTAACAAAATCCTGATAGTAACAAAGCTATTTCTCATATCATCTCTCAATAAACTATAATGTCAAAACACAATCAATAAAACCATTTTTCTGGAATGATGGATTATAGAATGTTTTTTAATACATATAATTTTGTTTCTTCCAAATGCATAGAATAATTAAAACTAGGTTAACAAAACATTGCATAACCAAAATCCACGGGCAACATACTTTTAGATAAATAAGACATTAGTGATAAGCATGACTCTCTCTCTCTCTCTTTTTTTTTTCAGAAACGATATTTCTGCAAACCTTTTTTAAAAAGTTGTTTTTCCTTTAAGCAGTTTAATCATTCTCCTGGGGCTTTGGTTTATATGAGTAATTTGCATAGAAACTCTTTGCTTTTGGAGGCCCATGGGTTGTATTTTGAAGTAGGAATGTTAATGAGAGGACAGGCTGTATCAGATTTGGAAATACTATGTTCCATATCTTTTATATTTAGTGTATGTAACTAAATGTAGTTTACAACTAAATGTACCCTGACGCTTGTCTTTGTGGTATCTACCGACACGTAGCGAAAAGTCTTATTGATAAAATATTCATGAAATTTCACCTTGAGATAACAGATTGCAATGGATGGGACATAGTTCTCTAGTCCTAAGTCTTCTTCATAATATTGGCTAAAAACATTCCCAGACAAATGTTTTTGTGTTTAGCAATTATGTTACCGGGTGATGTTGCCTGTTTTGAGCCAAGTGAGTAAGTGGCTTGGTACTGTCACCTTTCTAGGACAGATACTTGCATTTCCTAAATTTCTGCTGTGTGGCTGAATCTAGTCACTGAAACTGAAAATGTTCACAGACTATGTTTGTCTCCCATTGACATGGATTGGCCACAAAGATTTGTGATGGGTTCCAAAAGCATGCATAGACTCAAATTATCTATTTTTAGATCAGGACTGTCTCATTAGATCACATCAGTGGAAATTCAGCTCAGAATCCAGTACATACAATCACCCCTAATTGCACTAGACATTCCATAGACAAGTTCATATTTTTGATCTTTGCTATCGTACCTACCCAGCCATTTTTTCACCCAGTCATTTATTCAAAAAATGTAAACTCTGTACTGAGGGAAATATAAGACCAAACCTCACTGTGTTTGTCCTAACCCTTTATCCTACAGTATTTATATTAGGAAGGGAGAATAATTCTACTATTCAGGGATCTGGTGGACAATATCAGCAACTCTTTTCATATCCGTGAGGATTTTACAGACTTGAATTATGTTTTCTTTGCCTTTCCTATCTAATTCTAATCCTTTTTATGTTCCTCCCTGGAAGCTGTTTGAATCATCTGATACTTAACTGGCAGAAAATCATTCCAGACCCAGTGTTTCAGGGAATCAAAGAAATCCAGGAAAAAAGAGACCCAGATTCTCTAGTGTCTCCTGTCAGTCACCTTTCCTAATGCTCTCCATTTTCAGTTAGCTTCTCATTTATACATCCAGGCCAAAAAGACCCCAAGCCCCTGCTACACATATAGATGCCAATTTCATTGAATGGATCACTGAAATCCAATTATGGTGCTGTAATAATACACACCAATATTATTTGATATATTTAATTCTAATAAAAGCCGAGGTGGGAGGGTCACTTAAGGCCATGAGTTCAAGACCAGCCTGGACAATATAGCAAGACTCCATCTCTACAAAGAATTACAAAAATTAGCTGGGTACGGTAGTGCACATCTGTAATCCCAGCTACTCAGGAGGCTGAGTGGGAGGATTGCTGGAGCCCAGGAAGTCACTGGTACCATGAGCTATGATTCTGCCACTGTACTCCATCTTAGGTGACAGAGTGAGATCCTGTCTCTAAAAAACTTAAAAAAGTAAAAAAGTGAATGTATTTATCAGGCAAAATATGTAAAGCTGAAAATGTCCCAGAAAATTTGTAATGTACCAAAATGCCAGCACAGAGCAAGCATTTGACCCTTTAATAAATAGAGGTCATGTTATAGTCATAAATATGATATGCAATAGAATGGCTATACCTAATTAATTTTAATAACCTAGGTTTTACGATTATTCATCCTGGTAAGAAACTGAAGTTTATTTTAAGAAAGAGAACTCTTACCTGACTTGTCAATTCACATAAATATTCCTTGGGCATATTTAAGCAATCTCTGTGTGTATAGGTTTGAATTAAATTTGTAGGCAAAAGTAACCCTGGACCGTAGGACTCAAAATAAAAAATAACCCAGTGCTGCAAATTCTGTTAGTTCTTCTAAGATTCCCTCCCAATTTTATTGCATTAATTGACTCATGGGTGCTTGGAATGCTCCTTAGCTTGCTCGGAGAGAGTAATAAGTAGAGACTTTAATCACTTAGTTTGCAGAGCCTTGATCACCTTGGCCCCCAAATTGTTTAATTCCTGATGAATGTTCTAGAAATAAAATTGGAAGAGGCATGTTATCCTCTTTGGTCAGTCAAAATACCATATGAGTGTCAGCATTTCCACCTGTGTCCTCCTAAAGCATTGCTTCCCTCTCTCCGACAAAATTGGGCTCTAAAAGGCTCCACCTTCTCTGCAGCCACTCAGATGAAGGTGCTGCAGGCCAAGCCCCACACCAGTGTCATACACTGCTTGTATATACTCAGGTCCACCAGGCTTCTCCTTCCATGAAGAAACAACATCTTAGCATGCAACAGAGAAGCTCAAACCAAAGCCACCAGAGGTAGAATGTTCCCTTGCAATAAAAGATGCTACATCTGCTTCCTGCATGTTGCTCTTCTGTTATACACTTCCCTGTTTTCTCAAAGGCAAAGTGGACACCACTCTCTACTGCCTCTATCATTAGATTTGGTGTGTTAATGTTGGCTGAGCCCACTCTTCTTGCCAGCACTATCCTACATTCCCAGCACATTCTTCTCACCCGCAATGTGCTGAAGCAGCTTATGGAGCTCAGAATAGATCGTAATATTTCTCTGACTTGGGCATAAAAGGATGCTGATTCCAAGATGTGGCCTTTCTGAAGCCAATTCTTTGGAGGGGAGTCTGACACTAGCTCTATTTTCTAGGGTCCTTCACTTCAGTGGAAAATATAAAGAAATAATTGCTTTCTTAACTTCTGCCACTTGGTTTCCAGGTAATTGATCCTGCCACCAAAACTAACGCCATTTAATATGAATTCACTACATTCTAGGCACTATACTGCGATCTTTGCAAGATGTATGCTAGGGTTTGGATGTGGTTTGCCTCCGTCAAAATTCATATTGATATTTGATTTCCAATGTGGCAACGTTGGAAGGTGCAGCCCAATGGGAGGTGGTCTCCCACTAGGGTGAGAGTGTTCTCACTGTAGAGGACCGATTAGTTCCTGCAAGGGCAGTTGTTAAAAAGAATCTGGATTCCTCAGTCTCTCTCTTGCTTCTACTTTCACCATGTGAACTCTTCACATAAGCCCACTCACCTTCCACTTTCTGCCATGAGTTGAAGCAGCATGAGGCTCTTACCAGATGCAGCTGCCCAACCTTAGACTTTTCAGCCACCAGAATCATGAGCCAAATAAACCTCATTTTTTTTTCACAAATTACCCAGCCTCAGGTAGACTGTTATTGCTACACAAATTGGACAAAGATAATATAACTCCTTAAATTTTCTTCAATTCTCAAAACTACCCTTCAAAGTAGTTGTTGAAGTATCTTCCTCAGAATAGTACTTGTGTTCACTGAGGTTAACTAACTTAACTAAAGCTGCACAGCTAGTAAGTGACCAAGTGACCTTATGTCCAATTTTTCTCTTCTCCACTGATGCCACAGTACCTTGTTATCTTAAGAATCTCTTTCATGACAGAGTTTTCTATTTTTATAATCATTTCTATTGTTAGTATGTAATAATTCTTAATAATAGCAAACTTGATTTGAGACTTCTTAGATTGACTTTTCTAATGCCTTCGTCTTCCTGAGTTTCAAATGCACATAAATATAGGGCCTAAGACCATTAGTTACCCAGCCTCTTCTCTTAAAGGTGAAAAGCATTTAGTTAAGTGCCTACATGGCTAAATGACTATGAGTTCCATTGGCATTTAATAAACAAATCATAAATGACCTTAAATCCTTCAAGTGGACTCAATAGGACTTTCAAATCAAGAAGTTGGGAGTGCGTGCTAATCAGGTTTGAGGAAAGATACACCTGCAAAAAAAAAAAGGCACAATCTTTGCAGTAGCTATGAATGGCTTTGTAGCTTTGGGGGCTCAGCTTGGTCACTAGGCAGGAGCTGTGATGTATGAACCCGTCTAACTAGTTCAAAGGGCTGGAGGCAGGATGGATGACTTCAGATTAATAAAACTTAATTTTTCAAAAGTATTAAACACTCATATTAGGTCAAAATGGAATGTAGTCAATCCTCACAAGTGTAGAGTGATTGTGGAGAATGAAAGTTGATTCATATGATATTTCAATTGCTACGTATTTTTTAGAGAAATGTGTATTTTTGATGACTCATTCTCTTGCTAATAACAAAAAGTATGAAAATGCGAAAGTCCTACTGAGTCTGCTTGAAGGGTTTAAGGTCATTAATGATTTGTTTATTAAATGCTAACGGAACTCATAGTCATTTAGCCATGTAGGCATTTAACTAAATGTTTTTCGCTTTCAAGAGAAGAGCTTGGGTGACTAACGGTCCTGAGCCCTATATTTATGTGCGTTTGAAGCTTAGAGAGATCCAGGCAATGGAAAAGTCAACCTAAGAAGCCTCGTAGACCAAGTTTGCTATTATTGCACACAAATGATGCAATGCATTATTGCATACTAATGATAGAAATGATTATAAAAATAGAGAGCTCTTCCATAAAAGAGCTTCTTAAGATAACAAGGTGCTGTGGTATCAATGGAGAAGAGAAAAATTGGATGTAAGGTCACTTGGTCACCTACTAACTATGCAGCTTTGGTTGAGTTGGCTAACCTCAGTGAACATAAGTACTATTCTGAGGAAGATAATTCAATAGCTACTTTGAAGAGTAGTTTTGAGAATTAAATTATTGACAATTGGCACTTAGTCTGCTTTTATCCGCTGTTGCCCAACTTTCCTGTCTTTCTTTATTGGCACTTGGTTTTCAAGCTATCTGCATTCCAGTTTGAAAACTTTGTAAACTCAAAATATTCAAGTTTATTTTAATTTTTTTTGGGAGGGGAGGTTCTGAGCAAATGTGAGAAGGCATGCCCCGTACTGTATAGATCATATCTTTGCCATTTTTAGATACTTAGAATCATAGAGCAAGTGTATCATCTGGTTTCAGGGGAGATAGAACTTCTGAGCAGGGAGCAGGGTGCTAATACTGGACACATTTTTGACTTTGCTGGAGCCAGATCTCCAGATTTGGCTCTTTATTGTTGGAAAGGAATCCAACAACATCACACATGCCTAGGTCTATGGTAGAAAGAGTAAAACACATTTTAAAGCCAAGCGACTCTGAGTTTGAAATGAACCATGTCCAAACTCACTTCCAACATGATCAATAATCAGAATAGGACCCATTGTCTCTGTTGCAGTGTGGCTGAAACTGCTGCAAGTTTACCAACACCACTATCCTTTGCATAACCTTTGCTTGAGCATGAACATGGAATACAGACACGTCTATACACGGTGCTCATTTAATACTTTTTCCCAGACCTCTTTTGGTCAGTCTTCCAATTTTGCATTTTTCAATTCCTGACCATCCAGCCAGAACCTTAGGAGCTGTGCATAAATCAGGGTCAATCCAAATCACTGATCTCTTAGCCCAGGCAAAGTGGACAACCCAAAGACTGCCCCAAGTCTTGCCTTCTGGGAGGATTTCCTTTCATCAATATCTTTCAAGAATACTCCCGAACAGGGGGACTATAACACTGCATCAGTTTGTTTCAGGTTGGTCACTACACACTGTGCAGAACAATGTGTATGCCAGGCCCTGGCCTTTTCCTCTTCAGTAAGTGCCCATCTTTGAGGCTGTCGATGTGGATTGAAGGAGAGGAGTTGCCGCAGCAGAACTAGATATATTAGGAGTCTGAGCCTCCTGCTCATAGAGCATATTTATCTTTCAGACCTGCTTAAGCCTAATCTCTTTTGTTACATTTCAACTTTATGGTAGATGGATGCTGTACATATTCAAATATGGTGAGTCAGTTTAGACCTAGTGTCTTAGTTGGTAGAGAAATAGGTACTTTGGCGGCCCTGCCCAGATTTTCCCAACACTCACCATTCTAGTACATGCCAATGATCTCCTCTTGCAATCACCAGTAATTCTCTGCTTTAGGGCTTTCTGTGAGGCTGTGCACGTGGCAGGGTGGGAGTACAAAAGAGTTAACACCCCAGGGAGCATCCCTCAGCAGTGACAAACAGAAGCTGGAGAGCAAGTACACTGGCTTCCTCATCCCTCAAGTACTACGTCCCACACTATCTCCCAGGGGATTATAGTGTGACTGAGCCATTATGAGTTATTCATGGATGTACCCACATTAGCTTCTTTCTCTTTCCTGTCCCCCACACCCACTTCCCTACCAGTGCTTTCTGAGATCAACTTTCAAACAAACTACATGCACTCAAATCCTGTCTCAAGGTATGCTTTTGGGAGAACCCAGACCATGACAGATAGCTCCAATTACATGGCAACTGGATGTCAGGTACTCAGTTTCTTTTCAAGCACAAGTCAGGAACGTTTTAATCTCAAGAAAAGAATATTTATATGAAAAAGTATCCATGGCATTGCTCCAACACTTTGATCAGTTTATAGCTGGACTATATCTTTTATATCCCTTAAAGTTTAGTGTAGAAAGATCTGAATTCTAGTCAATGGAATGTTAGCAGAACCAAGAAGAGCCTTGGAAGCGGAACCTTCCAAGCCCAGCTCATACCGAAAAAATAAAAAGAAGAAAAGGAAAGGTAAGACTTTCATGAGTGCATTTGTTCATGCTCTATTTCCCCTTTCTGCTATCTGCAATGGCAACACTCAGTGATATGGTCTGGATGTTTGTCCCCTCCAAATCTCTCATTGAAATGTGATTCCCAGTGCTGCAGATGAGGCCTGGTGAGAGGTGTTGGGTCATGGGAGAGGACTCCTCATGAATGGTTTAGCACCATATCCTTGCAGATAAGTGAATCCTCACTCAGTTAGTTCATGCAAGATCTGGTTAAGAGTCTGGGACCTACCCCTGCTCTCTCTTGCTCCCTCTCTTGCCATGTGACAACTGCGGCTGTCCTTCACCTTCAACCATAATTGTAAGCTTCCTGAGGCCCTCACCAGAAGAAGATGCTGGAACCATGCTTCCTGTACAGCCTGCAGAACTGTGAGCTAACTCTTCTTCTTTTTTTCTATAAATTACCAAGCCTCAGGTATTCCCTTACAGTAATGCAAAAACGGGAAACACCCACTGTGGCACTGGGTGGTAAATGATGAAGATGGCAAAGACATGTCAACCTGGGTGCCTGAGTGACCATGTGGAACAAAGCACCCCTCTTCCCAGCTGCCCTGGAACTGCACTAGACTGTTAGGTGAATAAGAAATAAATTCCTATTTCCTTGAGTCAATTCATGTTCATGTCTTTGTCTTACTGTTGCCTAGTCTACCTTGATTGACATATGTAAACCTCCAAATTACTGTTTGAAATGGAAAAAAATGGGAAACCATAAGCAATAAAAAGAACTTCAGAGAAAATTAGATCACTAAACTATGCTTGATTTTGTTATTCTAAATCTCTATTTTTTCTACATTACAGCATAAAAACAAAATAAAACAACAAACAAATTTACAAATGTTCATCAAACTTAAACCTCACAAGAACTCACTGGTCACTCCAAAAGTTCTGCAGAATTATTCGACTCTTCCTGAGAACAACTGCTCATATATTATCTAACCTTTGCCTACTTCATTAAGAGGAAATCTTTGTTCTCACCCTCATTATTTTCTACTTAATTTGTTTTCCTGCCAGGAAACCCATCTATAGAGATTTGTTTTTCCGGCCATCTATAGAGATTTGTTCTCTTCAAACATTTCTCATAAGCCTCATTTCTTCATAGGCTGCCCATACCACCATTGACAGGTTCAAATCATAGATTGGAAGTCACTTATTAGATAAATCAATTAAAGACAGAATGAATGAGACTTTCAATTCCAGTAATTTTGAAGCAGTTCATATTTAATTAAACTGCATGCAGATAACAATGAAAAAATTGAGACCAAAAAATCCCTCAGAACAAAGATCAACCTTTCTGATGGCACTGGAGAACAATCAAAAGGCATGCAGAAGTTGGAATTAATTCAACCTTGAATAAAAGAAACTCTACTAGGTGAGATCTGTGCTTATATAGCTTTTCCCTTGAAGGCTTCTCTGGTATGCTTAGCGCAGATTGCCTAGAACTCAGGCAAAGAAATACATGGCCTTGTTTGTCTGATGTGTCAGAATTTGAGTATTCCAGACTGCTGGAAATTTTAGAAGATGATGTAAAAATGTGGGAGCCACAGAAAGGAAAATTCCCAAATCTGCATATAAATTTCCCTTAAGTCCTTGAGTGACATTTGAATTATGCATATGCAGAGGGAGATACCAAGACACTCAGCACAGTGCAATAGCTGGAAAGTTGAAAGACTTGAGCAGAGATCTTAGCTGTGACTTACTTAAGGAGAGATAGAATTTGGAGTTTGAATCCTATCAAGTTATAGGGTTTTGATAAATACCTTGGACTTTTCATTAATTTTAAAGAGAGCTATCCTTATTTGCAAAAGACTGCTTCCCAGGAATAAGGATTTAGCCTAAAACTAAAAGAAGAATAGAAATAGACCCACATTAATAAAGAATTTAAAAAAGCATCCACATGGTGAAGATAGTTATCCAGCAATTAAATCACTCACTAGAGCAAGAAACAACTCACCCAAGGATGATAATAGTATCTTGTGTTTCTGCAGCATAACATCCGCAATGTTCAGTACACAATAAACAATTATTGGACATGGAAAGGACAGCTAAATGTGATCTGTGGTCAAAATAATATCGGTCAATGGATAAAGACCAAAGACAACCTCAATGTTGTAATTAAAAAATAAGGACTTTCAAGCAGGAAGTAAATATATGATCAAGGATGTCAAGTAAAGCAGGATTATTATTAGTAAACAGAAGAGGAATATCAATAGAGAATAGAAAAACTATTAAAAAGTCAAATTTAAATCCTGGAACTTAAAAATATAATGTTTAAAATAAAAATGTTATTTGATGGGCTGAACAGCAGATTAGATACCATAAAAGAAAGTCACTGTGAACTTGAAAGAGAACAAAAGATTGAAAGAAAATTGAACAGATTTTTCAGAAACATATGAGACAATATCAAATACTTTAACATATGCATAATTGGAGTCTCAGCAGCAGAGAGTAGAGATAAAGATCCAGGGGTGTGGCAGCACGCACCTGTAGTCCCAGCTACTCAGGAGGCTAAGGCGGGAGAATGATGTGAACCCTGGAGGCAGAGCTTGCAGTGAGCCAAGATTGTGCCACTGCACTCTAGCCTGGGCGACAGAGCGAGACTCCATCAAAAAAAAAAAAAAAAAAAAAATCCAGAAAAAAAAAGTTTAAAGCAGCAACTGTGAAGTTCACAAAATTTGGTAAAAAACATCAACTTACATATCCAGAAAAACTCAGATAGCCTCAAACAAGATAAATATAAAGAAAATCATAAGTATATTCTCCTAGTTACATTGCTGGAAGCCAAAGCTAAAGAAACTGTCTTGAATGCAACTGGAGATAAATGATACATTATATATAGCACAGGGGAATAGTGATACTATTTATGACTGACTTCTCTTTTGGAACAATGAAGAAGACAAAGAAATTGTCTACCCAGAATTCTATATCTAGCAAAACTATCCTTCATATAAGAAAACAAAATAGACACTCCAGATTAATAAAATTTAAAAAAAGTCATTGCCAGCACACATGAATTAAATAAAATGCTGAAGGAATTTATTTGGGTTGAAAGTAAATGAAACCAGATAGGAACTCAGATCTATAGAAAGAAATGAAGAGCACCAGAAATAGTAAATACAGGTGACCCTTCATATCCACAGATTCTGCAGACATGAATTCAAATAACTATGTATCAAAAATATTTTTAAAAAGTTAAAAATAATAATAAAATATAATACAGTATAACAACAATTTACATAGTATTTATACGGTATCAGCTATTATAAGTAACCTAGAAACATCTTAAAGTATATGAGAGTATGTGTGCATGTTATATGCACATTTTATGCTATCCTATTTTATATGAGACTTGGTGTCTGTAGATTTTGGTATCCAAGGGGGATACTGGAATCCATTCCCCACAGATACCAAGGGATAACTGTACAGTCAATCTTCATTATTTGTAGATTCCATATTTGTGAATTTGCCTACTCGCTAAAGTTTATTTGTAACCTCAAAATCAATACTGGTGGTGCTTTTGTAGGCATTTTCGCATATAAGCAACTCAAAATATTTGAGCTGTTTCATGTACATGTTCCCAACTGAGGTTGAACAAAGCAACACTCTGCCTTCTTCTGTCAACTTTCATGCTATACAAAAGTAACCCCTTTGTGTTCTATTTAGCACCACATTTTTTACACTTTTGTGCTTCTTTTGGTAATTTTGCTGTTTAAATGGTCCCCAAACAAAACACAAAACGGCTTTCTGTGAGTGCAGATAGGCTGTGATGTGCCTTATGGAGAAAATACATGTGTTAGGTAAGCTTCATTCAGGTGTGACTTCTTGGCCATGGGATCACTGTGAATGAACCAACATAACTGAGATGTCTATAAATACAAACACACAGAAAACAAAATTAAGTACCGATCAGTTGATGAAGATTTTGTTACCAGAGTCTCATAGGAACTTAACCCTGTATTTCCTCTAGAACCAACAGTTTAGTATTTGCTAATTCAGTTTTCACAATGACCTCATAGAATGTTCCTGTGAATAATAAGAATTGAGTGTATATGGGTAAATAGAGAAGTCAATCTTTTTTTTAATTCTTTCTTTATTCTTTTTTTTTTTTTTTTTTTTTTGAGACAGAGTCTCACTCTGTTGCCCAGGCTGGAGTGCAGTGGCGTGATCTCGGCTCGCTGCAAGCTCCACCTCCTGGGTTCAAGAGATTCTCCCGCCTCAGCCTCCAGAGTAACTGGGAGTACAGGCGCCCACCACCACACCCGGCTAATTTTTTGTATTTTTAGTAGAGACGAGGTTTCACTGTGTTAGCCAGGATGGTCTCAATCTCCTGACCTCGTGATCCACCCGCCTAGGCCTCCCAAAGTGCTGGGATTATAGGTGTGAACCACCACACCTGGCCTTATTTTAAATTATTTAAAGACACATGACAATGTAGTGCAAAAATGTTAACACTCTTCTGGGTTTATAAAGTATGCAGATATAAAATATTTGCCAACAAAAATACAGAAATAAAGGAAAGGAGTAAATTAAGTTATACTGTACTGTCGCATGATTCTTACATTTCATATAAAGTGGCTGTTCTGTGTAGGAAATGCACAAGGGGAGAATAAAAGACACACACACAATACCTTTAAGGGTAAACAACCTTTATCCCATGTAAATGACAATGCAGATATAATAAGCAAATCACATAATAAGCAAATGATATAATAAGCAAATTGTAATGGGAAAGGGAGAAGGGAAAAAAAAAAAAAAATATATATATATATATATATATCCTCTGTAGTCTGGTGAGTGTGTGTGTGTGTACACATATATATATATGTACACACACACACACTCACCAGACTACAGAGGATTCATCTCTGGGAAGCTATAGCCTGGGCTCCAGTGTCGGCCACCCATCCGTGCACAGATGAGGGGAGGTCTCGAAGCTTTGGTGCGGTCTGGGGCCCTAGCTCTTTTTGTAATGAGTTGTTTGGCATAAGGCCCAGTCACGAGGGCCCTTTGTGACTGAGCTCAAGGGACACAAAAAGATCATCTTGCTTTTGCGATTGTCTATTGTTTTTCAATAACTAATGTATCAGAATAGGTTAAAATAGACATTTCATTGAAACAGTGCTGGATGAATGCCTCAAGGAGCTCACAAAACCTGTTCTGGGATTCAGTGACGACTGTTTGTGTCCATGTTCAATTGAATTCAATTTTAATATTTAACTTTTCCTCCACAGTGGCACAATATTAAATCTAAGTAGATAACAAAAATGAGACATATTATAATCCTTAGAACAACCACCAAAAATTTAATATGGAAAATAATATCTTAAAAGTCTAGTGAATGAATTAAAATAGAATCTTAAGAATATTTGATTAATTCAAAAGAATTCAGAAAGAATGAACAGAGGAACAAAAAACAAATGGAACAGATATAAAATAATTAGTAAAATGGTGGGCCTAAATACCACCATATATCAGTAAGTACATTAAATATAAATAAACACTCAGATGAAAAAGCAAAAAATGTCAGACTGAATAAAAGAAGGTTGCATGAATTAGTAAGCAAATGAATGAACACGCTATCTTGGAACAAATGAACCAAATGGCGTTAGCAAATATTTTCATCATTAAAGGAAACCAGTTAAGAAACTATTATCCCACATTCTCTGTTCATAACAGTGTATTTCTGGGTCAAGTCCCACTCCTGGCTTCAAAACTGGGCATGTAACCCAGATATGGATATTTAGAGCACAGTCTCTCCCTATCTATAGTGATTGAATAAGAAACAGTATATGACTGAAAGTGTACTAATGTGAATTATGGCAAATATTTTTGCTGGAATATTGAGAAAAAGAAGCTATTTTCTCACACGTTTCCAAGCTAATATGATGTAAACCTGAATCTGCTGGTTGCCTCTGCCTGTTTGATAATGAAGACAACACAGAAAAAAACAGAATTGGAAAACATGAACATACTTCCGATGTCATCATTTTAGCCATTGGATCCAAGCATGCCTGAAGCCATATACACTCTGTCTTTTCAGTTATTTGAGCAATCAAAAAAAAAAAGAAAACCACCATTTGTTGGTTTCTATTCTTTATAGCCAAAAGAGACAGGATGAACACAATTAGCAAATGAATTATTTTCCAAATAATCAATAATATCAATTGAATAAGATACAACTATTGAATGAGTTTGTTTCTAATTCCTGACACACTTCCTTCAACCATAAGAAATCTCTGCAAACTCATGCACCAGAAATAATATAGAGGGTTGGCTTCAATCCTATTGTTCATGAAAACATTGTGCCCTCTAATTTCCACATGACATATTAGTAGGGCCCAGAGGGTGTGCTCTCAACCAACCGAAGTCCCCCCCTTGGCTGTTGTCCTTAGAAGGATTCTTTATCTTTTTCCCAGACTATGCAATCTCTATCACTGTGGGTTTCACTCGCGTCTGTGTGAAAAGACCACTAAACAGGCTTTGTGTGAGCAGCAAGGCTGTTTATTTCACCTGGGTGCAGGCGGGCTGAGTCCAAAAAGAGAGTCAGCGAAGGGAGATAGGGGTGGGGCCGTTTTATAGGATTTTGGTAGGTAAAGGAAAATTACAGTCAAAGGGGGTTGTTCTCTGGCGGGCAAGGGCGTGGGTCACAGGGTGCTCAGTGGGGGAGTTTTTGAGCCAGGATGAGCCAGGATGATCGAGGAGAAGGAATTTCACAAGGTAATGTCATCAGTTAAGGCAGGAACAGGCCATTTTCACTTCTTTTGCGGTGGAATGTCATCAATTAAGGCAGGAACCGCCATCTGGATGTGTACGTGCAGGTCACAAGGGATATGATGGCTTAGCTTGGGCTCAGAGGCCTGGCAGTGGGTCTATGTATAAGGATATTGACCACCTCCTTCTCACATCATTGAAACACTGACTATTGATATACACAGAAACTAAAGCAGGATAGATTTCAAGTAGATCTCTGTTAATCGCTGATGTTTAAGGGAATTTGACACAATTAATAACGTGCATGACTGAAAAGGGAAATTATCTCCTAATCTTGATAAATCACCACCCAAATAATTGATTTTCTCATATCTCCTTACTCTTTGGAATGAACGTATTTTTAGAAACTTGCAAAATTAGCTGTTTTATGTCTTAGGATCTTCCATGAATCTCAGATTTTTGTGAAATGGACAGACACCAATGGCGTCTACAACTATTTACTGTCACAGATACAGAGAATGAGTACAATGCCAGCTGATTAATACATGTACACCAGTGTAGATATGATATATTGACCAGAACTGGCTCTGCACTCAATTCAAGAAAACTGTCTTGGGAGGCTTTGCAAGTAAAAGCAAAATGGCTGCAATACTCTGTGTTTATTCATAAAACATGGTACATTCTCCATAAATGCCTGATGCATTGAACTGGATATATATTAGAACACAGTTATTGTATTAGTCTGTTCTCACACTGCTAATAAAGACATATCCAAGACTGGATAATTTGTAAAGGAAAGAGGTTTGGTTGACTCGCAGTTCCACATGGCTGGGGAGGCCCCACAATTATAGTGGAAGGCAAATGAGGAGCAAAGTCACATCTTACATGGCAGCAGGCAAGAGAGCTTGTACAGGGGATCTCCTCTTTATAAAACCATCAGATCTCATGAGATTTATTCACTACCTTGAGAACAGTATGGGGGAAATCACCCCCTATGATTCACTTATCTCTACCTGGCTCTGCCTTTTAGGGATTATTACAATTCAAGGTGAGATTTGGGTGGGGACACAGACAAACCATATCAATTGTACACAGAATATGACTGGAATACATCTGAGAAAATGATTTTCTCAGATAGCTTAGAAAGCTGAAAGAGAGGGTATTACTGTCCCTGCCTTAAATCATAGAAACAGAGTCCTCAGAAGGAAGCACAAGGCTGGATTGAGAAATGAAAGGGATGAATGGGGCTGGGACTAGAGTGAGCCAATTGAGGGTCTAGGGGTACCAAATAAAGGAAGTGTGTGCTCTGTGGCACTTTCATGACCTTGGCAATGACGACCTGCTTCCATTTTGCAGTAGGTGCCTCCCTTGTCTTGCTCCAGTCCTGTCCCTGAGTGTGGGGCATGCATTGTAGGAAAAGAAGGATGGAGAAAGCATTCTACATATGAAAAGCAATGTGTGTTGAGAACCAGAGATGTGACAGAGAAGAAAGAAGAAAGTTCTTTTAACTACAGCAAACAATGCAGGAGTTGGGGGTGGGGTGTAAAAGATGAAGCTAGAGAGGTGGGCTGCTGGCAAACTGGGAAAAGTCTCATATGCTGTGATGAAGATCTTTGACTCTTCACCCTTGACAAAGGTGAACCGATGCAATCTTCAAGGTTAGGATGGTTTTTATAAAGGATAATTGTGATAAAGCAGTGTGAAAAATGGCTTAGAAGAGAAAAACTAAAGCTTGTGAATCTTAGGTAGCTGCAGTAGCTTCTTCAGAAGAGTGGGTGGATGTCCTGGAGGCATAGAGGGTGGACTTCACCTGGACTTGGTCACAGAATGTGTCTGATGAGGCCACATGTAACTCAGTGGTCTCTCGCCTGGACAAGTAGGCACTTCCACCAACTAAGCAAGACAAGAGCAAGAGCTGATGAAGAGAGCAAGCTGTTAAGTTTTAGTTTGGGACATGTTTTAAAACATTTGAGTAAGTTAGCTCAGATACCTTTTTGATTTAGTTGGCAAGAAAACTGATCCTAGTTTTCTGACACTCCATAAACAGAGAAACCAGAGTTGTCTTTAATCTGTTTTTCACATTTTTTTTTAGCTGGTCACCAGGACTTGGTGGGCAAATAAGATCTCACCAGTGACTTGAACCACTTTAGCTGAGAAAATATTTAAAAAGCAATTCCCAGTCTTACTTGGAAAAAAAAAGTAAGCAAGCTTGTTCCCAGAACCCTGAAACTTAACTCATGGCTACCACTGATAATTTCTTAGCTTTGGAAATCCATGAAAAGCATCTCCAGGGCCTTACCATTTTTCATAACCTTTATTTTAAAATCAGCTTCTTGTTGCTGATCACCTAGGCCCCTGCTGAATAAAAGTTGAACTAACTTAAAACAAAAGCATGCACGCAGAATGCATACTACTCTACCCTATTAGTGAAATGTCAAATTCTCCTGCTGCCTATTTTCAAAACGTACCTTTTATCTCTGCCCTCATCATCCTCAAATAAAATCCTCATTAAAAAAAAAATCTTTTGGCTCTCTCATGGCTCAGACTTGACATCAAAACCATAGACTAAAACGTAGGCGGGTTTTAATTTATTTTTTTAATTTCACCTTTTGTTAGCAGAAAACACACACAAACAGAAACTCCATTCTCAGCTGTGATCATAACAACAGTTCACTTTTTACCTGGTGAAGTGGTGTCTTTGTCTGGGGTAAATACCCAGGGTTCATTGTCCCACACCAGGGAAATTTAGTACGTAGACACACAAGAGGTGGGTTTAGGAGTGGTCATTTAATAGGCAAAAGAAAGAGAAAAGGCCAGGTGTGGTGGCTCACGCCTGTAATCCCTGAACTTTGGGAGGCTGAGGGAGGGTGGATCACCTGAGGTCAGGAGTTCAACACCAGCCTCACCAACATGATGAAACCCCGTCTCTACTAAAAATACAAAAAATTAGCCAGGCCACTGGTGGCCGGAGCCAGCTGCTCAGGAAGCTGAGGCAGGAGAATCCCTTGAATCCAGGTGGCAGAGCTTGCAGTGAGCTGAGGTAGCACCACTGCACTCCAGCCTGGGCAACAAGAGTGAAACTCCATCTCAAAAAAAAAAAAAAAAAGAAAAGAGAATAGCTCTCTCTCTTGCTGGAAAGAGAGGCCCAGTGGGACTCCCTGCCCGCAGCAGAGTGCACCGGATTTTATAAACAGGCTTGAGGAGGTGATGTCTGAATTACATAGGGCCCACAGATTATTTGGACCAGGTGTGATGTTTACATAGTGCAGAGGAAGCTGGCCACCTGCCCTAATCTTATTTTGCAAATGCAGTCTTTGCCTGCTGGGCGCCATGTTGTCTGCTTCCGACTGCACCCGTGGTTGGCAAGGAGACGGGAAGATGGAGCCGCCATGTTGGACATGCCTACTCCCCAGGTAGCCCCTTTCCTATTGGCATAGCTGCTAGGATTCACCCTTGCAAGCTTCTAGCTTGCCTTTCTATGTCCGCAGCTCGATTTTACAGGCTGCTCTTTGTTAGAAAAGAAAATGATTTGGGGGCTGCTTTTAATTGAAAGGAAGACCCTGCCAAGGACTCCCTTACCCTCACTAGCTGCCTAAATCATTTCTTTTTAACTCCGATATCACTTGTATAGCACCTTCTCTGTGGAGTTTCTCCAGCTTTCACATTGTGGGCAGAGCCTGACCTCACAGCCCTTGTGCATTTTGCAGCTCTTAGCACACTTTGTGGTGATTAATCTGTTCCCTCCCCTGGCTTCTCCATGAGAATGCGGAGACCTGAACTCTTTTACCTCCAGGATGTAGGTAAATATTCCATAAATGAATGAGTGACTGATGAATAGGCACTAATGGGATGGAAAAATTGTCCTGTCTCTGAAAAGTGGTGTCATAGCAGGACTTCTTTCCTTTGCCGCTGTCATTGGCAACAACAAAGGCTCTGCCCTCCCTGGTCCTTATCACCTTCCATGTTGACAGGCTTGCAGGACAGCAGGTGGGGGTAAGGGCTGCCTTTTGAGGCCCACGCAGAGCCAGGTAATAGGTTTGCTGGTGGAGGAACACACTGCCCTGACCTCATTAGCTCTGAGCTCTGGCTGCAGGAAGTCATCCTTGCCTCACCTAATGGCCTTCCCTCATCTTCCTCTCAATGCACTCCCAGGGAGACCCTCCAAAGCCTGTGACATAAGCAATGAGAAGGGCACTGTGCCTTCACAGCTGCCATATGATTTACTTTGAAGCCCATAAGCTCCAGGATTGCAAATTCCAATTCAAAAACAGCAGGAAAAATGATTAGAAAAGGACGCGCTGATGCTCCAGTTTAGAAAAGACATGTTCTCTCCTGATGCTCTGAGACATGCTAGTTCCTCTGTCTGCTGTCGTTGGCCCCACTTTTCTAGCTGATGAAAATCTGTTCTGCGTGGGCCCTTCAGGTGCTCGTGCATTCAGTCAATGAACACTGCCAAGCCCTGTAATGGGGCCAAGTCTATCTCATACATCACTCCTTTGAGGAAGCCTTCCCCAACTTCCTCAGTCTAAGTTGATTCAGGCATAGTACATTTCATATTTGTTTTAATATGCATTTGCTGCTTTGACTCTCCTGCCTCCATTGGGAAATGGTTGGGGAAACAACCATGAATGTCTGTATTTCCAGCACTGAGAATGTCATTCGGTGCACAGTAGAAATGTAGCAAATGAGAAAGTGGTGTTCAGAATCCCACATTAGCTGTAGAATCCCACTTTTCAAAACCAGAGATTTTTCAGAGATAAATATATTTTTTCGCTATGGGTTTTGAAGAAAATGCACATATTTCCTACTGTTTGTTCTTGACACTAATAATTGGGTTTTTTTATGAAGATCCCTGTCTTGCATCGATATTTAAGGTGCATCTCAAACTATCATCAGTGTTACTGGAGAATAACCCTGAGCAGATATCTACAAGTATTGGGTCCTAGAAAAGCAATAAAAACACAAACAACAAAAGAAACATCACTTCCTGAGAATACTTAAGGTTCAAATCTGGAGTACACAAGAATTTCAGATAAAAGTCTACAAATTGGATGTAGCATATAGTGCTCGGGTGATGGGTGCACCAAAATCTCACAAATCACCACTAAAGAACTTACTCATGTAACCAAGAATTTCAAGAATTTCAAGACACTAAAGACAAACCAATAGTTCTAAATTTGTGGTCAATTCATAGCTGATTGTTATGCTGGAATATCTTGTGTCCCAAGTTTATAAAAAGGACCATGGCGTTATTAGCCAAATGTCATAAGGCATTTGCACACATTATTAATTAACCTATGAGATGTAGCATGCCTAAGAAGGCCCGCCATAGGACATCAGCATCCTAAAATAGAGCAAAGAATTGGTAGCATCTTAGTTTATAAAGTCTCTTGTAGAAATAGGTATGTGCTCACCTATAAAATAAGCGGTTAGTAGGTCCCTTTATAAGTGGCAGCACTTTGTTGGTGATTCTATGGGGTAAATAGATGGGTTTTCCAAGGATATGGGGTTGAGGAAAAGAGAGAAGGATAGATGGATAGAGACAGAGAGGCAGAGAAAGAGGAGAGATAAGGAGAGAGACAGAGGAGAGAAGAGATTAAAATGTTTCTCCTCTTAGCTATAATCTTAAGGTTAACAAGAAGGACAAATAAGGTACATTGGTACCCACAAAATGCAAAATAAGCATTGGATGATGCTGAAGGGCTTGCCTCACGTCTCCTACCTAGTTATAAACTTGCTATCTTTTGTTGGCGTAGATTCGGTGAGCAGGGAACACTTCTACACTGCTGGTGGGAATGTACACTAGTACAACCAGTATGGAAAACAGTGTAGAGATTCCTTAAAGAACTAAAGGTAGAACTGCCATTCAATCCAGCAATCCAGCTACTGAGTATCTACCCAGAGAAAAAGAAGTCATTATACAAAAAAGATACTTGCATACACATGTTTATAGCAGCACAATTCGCGATTGCAAATATGTGGAACCAACCCAAATGCCCATAAATCAATGAGTGGATAAAGAAAGTGTGAGAGAGCTATATATATACACACACACACACACACACATTATATATACACATATATATACATATACACACATATACACATATACACACATATACACATATATACACATATACACACATACATACACACACATATACACATATATGTATATATACACACATATACATATATGTATATATACACACACATATACATATATATGTATATATACACACACATATACATATATATGTATATATACACACACATATACATATATATGTATATATACACACACATATACATATATGTATATATACACACACATATACATATATATGTATGTATACACACACATATACATAAATGTGCATATACACACACACATAAATGTGTATATACACACATACATATATGTGTATATACACACATACATATATGTGTATATACACACACATACATATATGTGTATATACACACACACATACATATATGTGTATATACACACATACATACATATATGTGTATACACACATACATATATGTGCATATACACACACATACATATATGTGTATATACACACACATATATGTGTATATATACACACAAACATATATGTGTATATATACACACAAACATATATGTGTATATACACACAAACATATATGTGTATATACACACACATACATATATGTGTATACACACACATACATATATGTGTATACACACACATACATATATGTGTATATACACACACATATACATATATATGTATGTGTATATACACACACATATACATATATATGTGTGTGTATATATATGATGGAATACTACTGAACCATAAAAAGGAATGAATTAATGGCATTTACAGCAACCTGGATGAGATTGGAGACTATTATTCTAAGTGAAGTAACTCAGGAATGGAAAATCAGACATCATACATTCTCACTCATAAGTGGGAGCTAAGCTATGAGGATGCAAAGGCATACGAATGACACAATAGACTTTGGGGACTCAGGGGGAAAGGATGGGAAAGGTGTGAAGGATAAAAGTGAATAATTGGTTGTAGTGTATACTGCTCAAAATCTCACAAATCACCACTCAAGAACTTACTCATGTAACCAAACACCACCTGTTCCACAATAACCTATGGAAATAAAAAATTTTAACTTAAAAAAAAAAAGCGAATAAAACACCACCACTTCAGCCATGTTCTTTTTTTTTCTCTCTCTCTTTTCTTTTTTGAGACAGAGTCTCATTCCGTCGCCCAGGCTGGAGTGCAGTGGCGTGATCTCAGCTCACTGCAACCGCCACCTCCTGGGTTCAAGCAATTCTCCTGCCTCAGCCTTCCAAGTAGCTGGGATTACAGGCATGCACCACCACACCTGGCTAATTTTTGTATTTTCGGTAGAGACAGCGTTTCTCCATGTTGGCCAGCCTGGTCTCAAACTCCTGACCTCAGGTGATCCTCCCGCCTAGGCCTCCCAGAGTGCTGGGATTACAGGCATGAGCCACTGCACCTGGCCAGCCATGTCTTATTTCATACCCAGACAGTTTTTGGTAACAATCCAAAAGTTGAATAAAGTTAAGTTTTTCAGTACAGAAAATCAAAATAGAAATAAAATTGCCATCTTTGCCACTTGGTTGCTGCGAATAGCTCACCCCCATTGTAAGCGGAGTTGGGACAAGTTCCCCAAACCTCTTTAAGGAAGAAGGGTATTTTGAGAGTGGAGCATTATTGCATTGAGAATTCAAAAAATACAAAATCCAGTCTTCATGGCCAGGGGTTGTGACTCATTAGGAATGAAGTGGGGGGCAGCAAACTGTAGTTTATTTATTTATTTTTTAATTTTTTTTTGAGACGGAGTCTCACTCTGTCACCCAGGCTGGAGTGCAGTGGCGCAATCTCGGCTCACTGCAAGCTCTGCCTCCCGGGTTCACGCCATTCTCCTGCCTCAGCCTCCAGAGTAGCTGGGACTACAGGCACCCGCCACCACGCCCGGCTAATTTTTTGTATTTTCAGTAGAGACGGGGTTTCACCCGTGTTAGCCAGGATGGTCTCGATCTCCTGACCTCTTGATCCGCCCGCCTCGGCCTCCCAAAGTGCTGGGATTACAGGCAACTGTAGTTTTAAAACTCCAAAAGACAGCTCTTGCTTATAGGGGAATGCCAAGGGGTCAGCCAGCCAACGTGGAAGGAATGCAGGAACAAGAAAATCACTATTTTATTACCTCCATAGTAAAGATAGGACCAGGCAAAAATCATCAATGGGTATTATATCTGGTGGTGGCTGAATGGGGAGTTCTGATGAGAAGCATATTTACAGGATGTTAGAGTGTCTCTTCACAGGCTGCTTAGTAGAGACAAGGGCAGCAAAAAGATATCACTTATATAGTAGAGGAATCGGATCATGTGTAATGTACATTTGAAGGATAATATGCAAGATTCAATGGTAACATGTGGAAATTAACTAGCCCTGGGCTGATACATAGTAGATGCTCAGGAAATGTAGAGATCATTAATGGCAACTGCATTAGTCAGGGTGTAGTTCGCAAAACAGAAGCCTCTTCAGGTAATAACAACAGAGAGGGCTGGGTGTGATGGCTCATGCCTGTAGTCTCAGCACTTTGAGAGGCCAAGGCAGGAAGATTGCTTGAGCTTAAGAGTTAGAGACCAGGCTGGGCAACATAGCGAAATTTGTCTCTATGAAATAAAAAGAATTAACGAGGTGTAGCCCAGAGTTGGCACAGCAGCCTGTACCCTTGACCAAGCTCCACCAAACCAAGGGCTATGCATACAGAGGACAAGTAATTGAACTCTTTTTTTTTTTTTTTGAGCTGACGTCTCGATCTTGTCATCCAGGCAGGAGTGCAATGGTGTGATTTTGGCTCACTGGAACCTCCGCCTCCCAGGTTCCAGCAATTCTCCTGCCTCAGCCTCCCGAGTAGCTGGGATTACAGCCATGTACCACCACACCCAGCTAATTTTTGTATTTTTAGTAGAGACTGGGTTTCACCATGTTGGCCAGGCTGGTCTCGAACTCCTGACCTCAAGTGATTGACCTGCCTTTGCCTCCCAAAGTGCTAGGATTACAGGCGTGAGCCACCGCATCTGGCCTTGAACCTTCTTTTTAAAGGAGCCACTGCTGGCAATAAATGCCTTGAAGATATGCATTCGTCTCTGTCTGAGTAGAAGTGAGCACGGTGTCTTGCAATTCCTCTTTACCCGCATGAGCAAATGGGTATTCAGCCCAGAAATGCAGCCCTCGCCTTGGGAAGCAGCCTGGGCTCATCTGGGACCTCAGGGACTCTTAAAAGTCTGAAGCATCAAACGACCCTATGAAGGGAACCTGCTGAGCCGGGGCTAGCACATACTCTTCCCTACTGGGCTCATTAGAGTGCCAGTTAGATGGAATATATTAGCACCTCTGAGAACCCTCTTCCTGTGCAATGACACAGTGAGAAAAATGTCTTGTCTCCTACTCCCAACATGTGTGCTAGTGTGGCAGGGGCAGGAAGGGAAGGAGGGGCTTTTGCTTCTGTTCATGGAAAAGATGAAGGATGCTTTCCATGCCCTTCTTTCTAGCAGTGCAAGAGAGTAAGAGACCACCAGGAAGGGTGGACAGCAGGTGCATACAAAGCTACCCAGCCCTGCCCCTAGCTCAGGACTCACCTCACCCCCAGAGAATATCATCACAGGAGCAAGAGGGTAAAGTTGTGAGATTTAAGGTTTTTAGGCCCAGAGGAGCACCAACTATTAGTCTTGCTTGATTTAGGAAACTTGGCTGGAAATCTTGGCTCTATCCATTTTTTTTTTTTTGGTTGTTGTTGTTGTTAAATAACTTTGAGGCCCATAAGCTGAATCTTTTTGAGTCTCCATGTTCTTCTCTGCAAAATGCCATTCCTTGCACCATCATTGGGAAGACTGAATAAATAGGACACCAGAAATGTGTAAGTGCTACATAGGATCCTATATGCCTTCTTGTTAACTTTCAAAAGATGGGGTTGTGTGGCTATTGTTGACTTGACTCAGACCGATGATGATGATGCTGATTTCTTTTTTTCTTTCTTTCTTTCTTTCTTTCTTTCTTTTTCTTTTATGAGATGGAGGTTTGCTCTTGTTGCCCAGGCTGGAGTGCAATGGCGCGATCTCGGCTCACCGCAACCTCTGCCTCCCAGGTTCAAGCTATTCTCCTGCTTCAGCCTTCCGAGTAGCTGGGATTACAGGCATGCACCACCATGCCAGGCTAATTTTGTGTTTTTAGTAGAGATGGGGTTTCTCCATGTTGGTCAGGCTGGTCTCAAACTCCTGACCTCAGGTGATCTGCCTGCCTCGGCCTCCCAAAGTGCTGGGATTACAGGCGTGAGCCACCATGCCGGGCGACAATGATGCTGATTTCTATAGTCATTTTGGAAAAGGCAAAGGAAATACCTCCTGCACTTTAATTCTATAAATGGAGGCATCTGAGCATGAGAAAATGGGTGGACAGTGCTCTTGGGATGTCATTGGAATGACAGGTTCCCCCTGCCTCTCTTCTTCTCACTCAGCAAAACATTGCTTTGTTTACAGTAAAAGTCTGGGGAGTGGACACTTTATTTGTCCAGCATGCGGTGACTGAGAATGAAGCCCTCCTGCCCTGGAGGGATGTTGACTGACAGCTGCATCCTCCAGCCAGATTTATCTCCCTGCCCCTGTCTGCCTGTCTGGCTAGTCCCTGCCCCTCTGTCCCTGCAACACAGCCCTCTGTCCACCAGTCTCCATGACAGCAGCTTCTGAGAGTAA
The DNA here is from genome assembly GCF_000001405.40 of Homo sapiens. Taxonomy (NCBI): domain Eukaryota; kingdom Metazoa; phylum Chordata; class Mammalia; order Primates; family Hominidae; genus Homo; species Homo sapiens. The sequence goes on from NC_000007.14 coordinate 68,399,966, forward strand.
TGGGAGGTGCCATAGGGAGATGAGGGTCACATAATATGTTGAGACCCCTTTTAAGGCTGCCGATTTATCACTTTTGGAGAAGCAATGCGATAATTGCTGAGCCATAGCCAGACATTTCTAGTGGGTGGGTGGAGAGCCCTCTCCTGCTCCGCTCATGCCAATCTACCTATAACACAAAGACCTGGGTGGATCTTAGAATCTAAAGTACTAACTCAAGGGGTGTGAAACAGAGAACTGGGTTTTCATCCCTTCAACCAGGCTGGCCTGTCCAACCACAAGGACTCTCATAGGAACTTTCTCATAGCAACTCTGAGGCCAGTTTATATTCTTAATTATGCAGCTTGAAGGCCAACCCTGACCACATTCACTGGGCGTTGGGAGTAGAAACATCCTTCTTTGCCAGCAAAGGTCTATTTGAATTTTCAACCTATGACACTTCAACCCTTGTGTGTGCTTGTTTTGTTTTACAGCAATTTTGGAGCTCCAAGAACAGATGCTCAAGATGACATCTCTACTCGGAATGGTGGCTTTGCAAACTGATGTGAATGTACTTGGTAGTCATCTTGAGATGCTGACGTTACAAATCTGCCCTTCCAATCATCTGAACTCAATGTGATACCTTTTGGCCCAGTTCAGCAAACACTGTGAATGCATATGCTTGTAGAGCAAAGAGTCTACCCAGCTTAAGTCAAAAGTAGATCAAAAGAACAAGAGGTTTGTATTAAGAGTTGGACCCAGATTTATTTTCTGAACATGATTATTCTCAATTTCTAACCTTGTCTAATGCTATTGGAATCTACATTTCTACATGGCATTCTCTCTGCTTTCATAGACTAATTTATCCTAGGAATCTTTTTAATCATGTTGCCCACAAGAAATATGTGCAATTCTCTTTTCATTAAAAATAATTGAGATCTACCTTTGTGTGAATGCTCATGTTCCATCCTTTGGTATAGAAATAGTGTTATCTATTTCTGTCTCATTTTTTGGTAGAAGAGACAGAAAAAGCAAATAAATGATGACTGTGCATTATGATACATACGATATGGGAACAAGCAAAGGGCCATGAGCACCCCAAAAAAGGGAGATTTAAAATCTGCATGGGTAATCGGGGCAGCCTTCAGAGAGGTGGTGGCATTTGAACTGGGTCTCGTGTGAAGAATACAGAGAAGAACATTAGGTAAGGAAGAAATCAAATACAAGAGAAAAAGGAGCAAAGGATATAAATAAAAAATTGACAGAAGAAATGTAAAAAGCCAAGGAGCATATGATGTTCAAAATAATGGTAATTAATTCCCCTCGGAATGGAAAATTTAGAAAGCTGGATATTGCCAAGTGTTTCTGAAATGTGAAGATATAGATGTTGGTGCAGCCATTCTGGAGAGCAATCTGTCGATATTTAGCCAAATTAGGTACACCCATGCTCTCTGCCCCACATTTAAGCTTCTGAGCGTCTATCTTCCAGGGAAATTCTCATAGAGCTCAATGCTGCATTATTCAAGGTGGCTGGGGAGTTGAAGGTAACCTCTGGCACAGATGATAGTGTGCAATGAACTGAAACTGAGATTAACATAACTCTAAGACTAAGACTATAAAAAGAGAGAGAGAAAATAGAGACTGAAATGGGCAGAGACATTGAAAAGGCAGTGAAGCTTGGGAGAGAAGATGTATGCTTTTCTGAATATCAGAAATGTTCATACTTCTGTTTCATTGGATGTTTTGGAAAGCAATGGAAAGACCTGGGTAGGTAGGTTGGGGAGAGAATATAAAGGGCCTTATAAGTCATGTTAAAGGGATTGATGCTTTATTTATAGTTAGGGGGCAGCCAACCAGAGTTTACAGAGTGGACAGTGACATGACTGTGTTTGGGTTTTTAAGTAAATCACTCAAGCAGCAGCTTGAATTAAGGACTGGAAAAAGATGCTACATATAATGGCACCAAGGGCTACAGGAATCCTAGTAACAGTAGGGAAGTGTTCATCTTTAGCTGTATTTTCTCTTCCATGGATAAGTAAAATGGAGCATGAACAGTGTCCCCAAGGTGCCTAAGGCTCCATTTCTATCAGTTTTCCAGGGGCATCTCTTATCCCTTCTCTAAGAGCCATGGAACTATCCCTGAAGCTTTCTCTAAACTCTGGCCAAGCTCCATTTCATCAACTTCTTTGAATTGGATCCATGCAGGCAGGGTCCAGAGGGTGACCCACTAATGAGGCTTGGTTTCTCCCTTTCAGACTTAAAAGATTCTTCCTCCAATTCGCATTTGCTCTGGTTCACATCCTAATTCTTTCCCTAGGAAGTAGAAGGCAAACAATGATGACTTATCTTGGTAGCATCTAAATGATGACTTACCTTGGTAGCATCTAAAGGCTTCTAAGGAAAGTCTTGGGGTTTAATGTTAGAAAATTAATCAATGTGATTCACCATATTAAACACTTAAAAAGAAAAGCCATACAAATATTTCAGTGGATACAGGAGAAACGATTGTTAAAGTCCAACATCTGTTACCCAGTATAAAGCCTACATGACCTACCTGACTTTCTCCCCTACCTTAACCCTGCTTATCTTTAAGAAACAGAATGCCGGCATCTTAAGGTCAGGAGTTCTCCCTCATGACCAAACTGGCTGAAACTGGTAGCACCCAAGATGGCAGCTCACTTGCCCTCTGAAGAATTTCTAACTTCACTATAAGATTTCCATGCTTAATGGCACTCACTCCAGTGCCATGACAGTCACCATAACAATGATTAGAAGAAATCATAAAAAGATAAAAAGGAAGGCAGCACTCCAATTCCAAGTTCTCCATCCATTCCCAGAAAATACATGACTAATCTTCCCCTTGCTTTTTATGTCCAACCCTTTCATTAAAGATGCCTTATATCTACAGCTTCTTGGTTGTCACAAACCGAGAAGTTGATTTGTGAGCCACACTCCTCAATTCCACAGCCATTGAATAAAACCTGCAACCCTTGATGCTTACTTCATTTCCATATATTGGCTTCATGACATCAAACAGGGAAAGACCCCGTCTTCTGGGGGACAGGCTTTGTTGATAACACATCCATTGCAGATAAGAACTCTCAGCAACTTGGGAATGAAAGGGAACCTCCTCAGTCTGATAAAGGCATCTGAACTACCATGGCTTGAACGCGTACCCTCCAAAATTTAGTTGTTAAACCTTAATGGCCACTGTGATGGTATTAAGAGGCGGAGCTGTAAGAGGTGGTTAGGTATAAAGGCACCCCTGTCATGATTGGGATTAAGGTCCCATAAACGAGAATTAATGGAGCATTTGGGTTCTCTTGCCCTTCCTCCTTGCATCATATGAGGACACAGTGTTTCTTCCCTATGGAGGATGCATTGTTCAAAGCACAATCTTGGAAGCATAGACCAGACCCACACTAGACAAACGAATCTATCAGCATCTTGATCTTGGACTTCCTAGTCTCCAGAACTGTGCAAAATCAATTTCTGCTCTTTATAAATTACCCAGTCCATGGTATTTTGTTGTAGCTGCACAAATGGACTGAGACAGAAATAAAACCTGTGCCTAACATAATTCTTAACAGTGAAAGGTTGAATGCTTTTCCCATAACACTAGTAGCAAGACAGAGATAGCAACTCTCATTAGAAGTTCCAGCAGTGCAATCAGGTTAAAAAAGAAAAAAGAAAAGAAACAAACAAAAAGAAGTACAATTGTCTTTATTACAGATGACATGATTGATTATGTAGAAAGTAAGATGAAATCTCCACAAACCTACTAGAACTAATAATAAGTGGGTTTAGCTTGGTTGCAGGAAACAAAAACAATATACAAAAAGCAATCATAATTTTATATACTATAATCAAATAGTGGAAACAAAATTAATTTTTAAAAACTGTTTACTAAGCATCAAAAAAATGAAATACTTAGAGAAAATATGACCAAGAAAGATCCGTATGCCAAACAAAACAAAACATTATTGAGAGAAAACAAAGGCTTAAATGTATAGAGAAATATGTTGTGTTGATGGATCAGAAGACTAAATACTGTTAAGATGTTAATTCTCCCCAAATTGATCTAAACATTCAATAAAATCTTAATGGAATCCCTGTGAGCTTTTTTGTAGAAATTCACAAACTGATTCTAAAATTTATATGAAAATGTGAAGCACTTGAAGAAGCCAAACAACTTTGAAAAAGAACAACAAAGCTGGAAGACTAATGTTATTTTATTTAAATACTTATTTTAAAACTACAGCAAACCAAACAGTGTAGTACGGTTAGCAGTGAAGCGTATCCAAGTCATGCAGCACCAAAGGATGTTACCGGTGGCAAATCCATCCAGGTCTGCAGCAACCTAAATTCTTGCTGTCTCAGAAGAAAGAATTTGACTGAGGGACGTAAGGTAGAAGGAGAGACCAAGGCAAGTCTTAAAGCAGGAGTGAACATGTATTAAAAAGCTCTAGGCTGGGTGCAGTGGCTCACGCCTGTAATCCCAGCGATTGGAGAGGCCAAGGCAGGCGAATTACCTGAGGTCAGGAGTTTGAGAACAGCCTGGCCAACATGGTGAAACCCTGTCTCTACTAAAAATACCAAAAATTAGCTGGACATAGTGGTGGGTGCCTATAATCCCAGCTACTCAGCAGGCTGAGACAGGAGAATTGCTTGAACCCAGGAGGCGGAGGTTGCAGTGAGCTGAGATCGTGCCATTGCACTCCAGCCTGGGCAACAAGAGTGAAACTCTGTCTCAAAAAAAAAAAAAAAATATGCTCTAGAGCAGGAACAAAAGGAAGAAAAGGATAGTTGGAAGAAGGCCAAGGGGTAACTTGAAAGCCAAATGCCAGTTTGACCTTTTGACTTGGGGTTTTATATGTTGGCACACTTCCAGGGTCTAGAATCCCTTCTCCAGTAATTCTTCCCTTGGGGTAGGCTGATCCCATGAGCAGGGGCCTGCCAGCACGTGGGAAGTGAGCTTGTGCAGTGTTCTTACTGGAGTTGTGCGCATGCTCACCATGCTCACTGGAGGCATTTTTCCCTTACCAGTCCAGTGTTCCCAAAGGAAGGCCATCCGTCATTTTGTCTCTCAGTATGCATGCCTGAGCCGACTGGCCCAGCTCGTGAGATCTTATCAGGAAGATGCTGATGACCAGATTCAGGTGTTTGTATCTATTGGGAGCTGCCTTTCCCTGGCACCAGCTGCAGCCAATTATTATTTTAGCAAGAGAGCGTAACAACCACCTGACCATCACCTGATGGTCGCCTGACATGCCTGGTAGCGGCTGGAACTTCTCCTCTTCTGCCCTGCTCATGCCTGACTAGCTACCTACTCAAACAGTCTTGATGTCAAATTAGACAAATAGACCAACACAATAGGGCTTCCAAAAATAGACCCACACATACATGGACAACACATTTTATTTAAAAAAGTGAAATTCAACTCAAAGGAGGAGTGATAGCCTTTTCAAGAACTGATGCCAGAACAAGTCAACATTCACACACACACACACACACACACACACACACGAGCTTCTATCCATACCTCGCACCCTATAGAAAAATTAACTGAAAATAAATTGTAAAATTGACTGTCAAATCTACAACCATAAAACACCTCAAATAAAATATAGAAGAAAATCATTGTGTATGTGGATTGCCCAGAAAATTATGAACTATGATATTAGGTTGGTGCACAAGTTATTGCAGTTTTTGCCATTTGCTTTTAATGGCAAAAGCCACAATTACTTGTGCACCAACTTAATACCACAAGCACTACCATAAAAGAATGCATTCATAAATTAGGGATCATCATATTGCCTAATTATGTGCTGCCTCAAACCAGTGACAGAAAGCAGAAAAGTAGTTGCCTGGGGTAGGGCGGATGGGGAGAAAATACAAAGGAACATACCAAAAAAAATCTTAGGGATGATGGATGATCTTGCTTCTGATTATTATTTCACAGGAGTATTCCTATGTCAAAACTGATGAAATTGTACACTTCAAACATTGGAAAGTTACTATATGTTAGTTGTACCTCAATAAAGATGTTCAAAATAAATACTAAAAATTTTAAAAATGGAAAAGTAACAGAGACTTCAGGGAAAAAGCAGGGGATGCTGGGTAATAAAAACCAAAGAGAAACTAGTATCTCAGCAGGGAGAGAGGGGTCAGGAGTTGGCACGCTGAGGTTGTGTCACATGAGGAAAGACAAGGTCCACATGTGTAAAATTGAAACAGTCCCCACAGAGTTAATAAAAATTACATGCCAAGGCTGGGTGCAGTGGCTCATGCCTGTAATCCCAATACTTTGGGAAGCCAAGGGAGGTGGATCACCTGAGGTCAGGAGTTCGACACCAGCCTGGCCAACATGGCAAAACCCCATCTCTACTAAAAACCATAAATCAGCTGGGCGTGGTGGCGGACACCTGTAGTCCCAGCTACTCAGGAGGCTGAGGCAGGAGAATCACTTGAACCTGGGAGGCGGAGGTTGTAGTGAGCAGAGACCATACCATTGCACTCCAGCCTGGGTGACAGAGTGAAACTCCATCTCAAAAAAAAAAAAAATTACATACCAGGTTCTGGACAAAAATAGAGTTATGATTAAGCATTAATTGTGCTGCACTTTGGCCCACTTCCTTCTTGCTAAAAGTCTCATTTCACTCAATACTGACTGTGCACTTCCATGGTTTCTACAGACAAGATAACTGATGTTAAAATCATAAGGCTTTTGTTTAAGGGTCACTGAAGATGTTTTACAGACCTGGAATTCCAGCAACCAGTTCTAAGACCCCCATGGAGGAAATGGATCAGCATGAGAATGCAGCTTCTTCCCCTCCCTGTCGCATGACTTCACCTTGAACTCTTCCATCTGTCAACGATCTCCACACTTCGAAGTACACTCCAAAAACCTAACCCCAAACTTGTCGGAGAATCAGATTTAAGGTTTCCTCCCATTTCCTTGTTTGGTGACCCTCCAATTAAACCTCTCTCTCTGCTGCAATAAGGTGTCTTGTGGATTGACCTGCTTTGCACATTAGGCAATGAACCTGTTATGGTGACAAAAGGAAGCCAATGAGCGTATCTCTCTCATAGGGCTGTTGTGAGAATTAACTTGGTCTCTATGTAAAATGCAATGATTGTAATAAGCAAGAAAAAAATGTTAGTTACTAGGATTGAGAAGAGAGAAATCGCCCAGAGTATTATGAGCCAGGTGAGGTATGCAAAATTTACCAGGTCCAGAGAGACAAGAGTATGAAATTTCGGTCATTCCCCGTGCCTGAGGGCAATTGTTTAAAGTGATTTTGTTCCTAACTAGCTGACTGACCTGTTATCTTCCTGTTTCTGAAATTTGTGATACAAAGAACAATGTTATAGCTTATGTATTTTAAATGTAAATTATTGGTAAACAATGTAGAAATTGCCTCTTCTTTTTCTTTAAAAATTCACTTGCAACAGTTGCTAATCAGAGTGTATAATTCAGGTCAACTTGAATCTATGTTCCCCAGTTGCAATCCTCAAGCTTGCCCCAAATAAACTCTCTACTTATATTAATTTTGCCTCAGTTTTTTTTTTTCCTTTAAGGTTGACAATTTAAATGAAAGGTCTAGGTTAATTCCATAGTAGTATGGGACACAGAATTACTTTCAGCTGGGAAGAAGGTGGAAATCAAGGCTGGCTTCCTGGGGGTGGTGCTGTCCAAGGTGTTTGAACCAGAGCAACTCCATCTTGAATAGGGGCTGGTAGAAATAAGGCTGAGACCTACTGGGCTGCATTCCTAGGAGGTTAGGCATTCTAGTCACAGAATGAGATAGGAGGTCAGCACAAAATACAGGTCACAAAGACCTTACTGATGAAACAGGATGCAATAAAAAAAGCTACCCAAAGTCCACCAAAACCAAGATGGTGATGAGAGTGACATCTGGTCATCCTCACTGCTCATTAAATATGAATCATAATACATTATACATTAGCATTATATATATAATATATAATTGTGTATAATTATATTATGTACAATATATTATATATACAATTATATATAATTATATCGTATATTAATATAACTGTATTATATATTAATTATATATACAATTATATATAATTATATTATATATTAATATAATTGTATTATATATTAATTATATATACAATTATATATAATTGCATATATATAATATATATTACATATATTATGTAATTTATATTATATATATATTTTATATTATATTATTATTACATATATATAATTATATATGTATAACATATATATAATATGTAATTATATATACAATTATATATAATTATATTATATATTAATATATAATATAATTATATATGCAATTATATATAATTATATTATATTAATATATAATATAATTATATATACAATTATATATAATTATATTATATTATATATATAATATTATATATAATATTATATTATAATTATATAATATAATTATATATACAATTATATATGATATATTTTATTATATATATAATATTATATATAATATTATATTATGATTATATAATATAATTATATATAATTATATTATATTACCGTATAATATAATTATATATACAATTATATATAATTATATTATATTACTATATAATATAATTATATATACAATTATATATAATTATATAGTAATATATAATATAATTATATATACAATTATATATAATTATATTATATAGTGATATATAATATAATTATATATACAATTATATATAATTATATTATATAGTATTATATAATATAATTATATATACAATTATATATAATTACATATTATATAATACTATATAATGTAATTATATATAATTATATTATATACAATATATAAATATATATAATATAATTATATTATATATAATATGAAATATATATTATATGTAACATAATTACATTATACATAACATATTATATATTATATATTATATCATTACATATATTATATATAACATATTATATCATTACATATATTATATATAATATATTATATCATTACATATATTATATATAATATATTATATCATTACATATATCATATATAATATACTATATATGTAATGCTAATATATAATGTATTATGATTCACATTTAATGAGCAGTGAGGATGACCAGACGTCACTCTCATCACCATCTTGGTTTTGGTGGGCTTTGGGTAGCTTTTTTAAATAATATATATTATATTATATATTATATAACATGTATATTATATATATAATATATAATATAATATATAATATATTACATATAATATATGTAATATATTATTTATATTATATATAATATATAAAATATAATATATAATATATTATATTATAAAATATATAGTATATTATTATATTATATATCATATATAATATTATTTATATTATATATCATATATAATATTATTTATATTATATATCATATATAATATTATTTATATTATATATATTATTTATATTATATATATTGTATATAATATTATTTATATTATATATATATGGCACAAAGTCAGCTCACTGCAACCTCCGCCTCCCCAGTTCAAGCGATTCTTCTGCCTCAGCCTCCCGAGTAGCTGGGACTACAGGCGTGTGCCACCATGCCAGGCTAATTTTTGTATTTTGTACTTTGTATTTTGTATTTTTAGTAGAGACAGGGTTTCACCATCTTGGCCAGGCTGATCTCAAACTCCTGACCACAAAAGACCCACGCACCTCGGCCTCCCAAAGTGTTGGGATTACAGGCATGAGCCACTGCACCTGACCTATTCCTTTACTTTTTTAATAAACTTGCTTTCATTTTATTCTATGGACTTGCCCTGAATTCTTTCTGGTGAAAGATCCAAGAACCCTCTCTTGCAGGTCTGGATCAGAGCTCTTTCCAGTTAACAGTGCCATTCGATTGAAACCATGAAGGATACAATACACTGTTATTTAAATGTGTACTTCTCTATGGCATGGACAGTATATTCTCTTTTCACTCCTTCCCTCACCATTACAATGCCAGCCCCCAGCATAGGGGTTTTAGCCTTTGGTAAAAAAATCCCTTTGGTAAAGTCACAAAGTCATGGAATTTTACATTTGAAAGAGACCTCAGATAGCAGCTAGTTCAACTTCTTTGTTTTACAAGCAATTAGATTGTACTTCATTTTAAAGGAATTCAAGCATAAAGGAAAGAAGGCAGATTTTTGACCTAGAGGTGTCTTCAGGCAATCCTGTCAACCTTTGTGGGCCTCAGGTGTTTTATATGTAAAACAAGGGCACAGTTACTGCCTGAGGACAGTGGGTAAACCTGGGAGCCACCCCTTTTAGGTGACAACGTGGATTCTTGTATCATTCTCCTTTTAAAGTCTGAAGAACATTGGAAGTTTGGACAAAGCTTGCTTAATCTTATAAGTTATCCAAAAAAAAAAAAAAAAGGTAGAAAAGAGGGAAGGAAGGAAGGAAGGAAGAAGGAAGGGAAGGAGGGAGGGGGGAGGGAGGGAAGGAAGGAAGCTTGTGCGTTATGAGAAAAAGTGCACAAACTTGGAGAAACTATGCAAGAGCAAGCTTGTCCAACCCACGGCCCAGGGTCTGCATGCAGCCTAGGATGGCTTTGAATGTGGCCCAACGCAAATTCATAAACTTTCTTAAAACATTATTGTTACAGGAAAGGAGTCCTGATCCAGACCCCAAGAGAGGGTTCTTGGATCCCACACAAGAAAGAATTCAGGGCAAGTCCATAGAGTAAAGTGAAAACAAGTTTATTAGGAAAGTAAAGGAATGAAAGACTGGTTACTCCATAGCCAGAGCAGCCCCGAGGGCCGCTGGTGGCTGATTTTTGTGGTTATTTCTTGATGGTATGCTACACAAGGAGTGGATTATTCATGCTTCTCCTTCTTAGACCATATAGGGTACCTTCCTGACGTTGCCATGGCATTTGTAAACTGTCATGGCGCTGATGGGAGCGTAGCAGTGAGGACGACCAGAGGTCACTTTCGTCGCCATCTTGGTTTTGGTGGGTTTTGGCCAGCTTCTTTACTGCAGCCTGTTTTATCAGCAAGGTCTTTATGACCTATATCTTGTGCCAACCTCCTATCTCATCCTGTGACTAAGAATGCCTTAACCATCTGGAAACGCAGCGCGGTAGGTTTCAGCCTCATTTTACCCAGCTGTTATTCACGATGGAGTTGCTCTGGTTCAAATGCTTCTGACATTATGAGATTTATTTGCGATTTTTTCTTTTTTAGCTCATTAGCTATTGTTAGTGTCAGTTTATTTTATGTGTAATCTAAGACAACTCTTCTTTCAACGTGGCACAGAAAAGCCAAAAGATTGGACACCCCTGTTCTAGAGTCTTCATTTCAAAACCAGCTCCTGCATGTGAATCTGGGGTGATTCTGAGTATGTCAATGTCAGCTGAATCACTTCACTTTTTCACTAGACATCCTCACAAGGAGATCTTGTTATCATTGGATGAGGATCTTGGCTTCACCACCACAGAGAAAATAATCACAAGCTCAGAAATTTATTAAAAATTCATTTGTAGCACTTGTGCTCGTGCACTGAATATTACAGTTGATTCTTGTTATTCACAGTGGTTATTGTCTGTAAAATCAACATGAACACTGAATGAATAAGTGGATACTGAACCATTGCGCCTACAGGAAATACAGGTACTTATTCCTGTGGGTCTTTGATTATGATATTTTCATAAACCAATTAATATAGGAGTTAAGGAGAAATGATTTAGGCAGATAGTGATGGTAAGGAAGTCCTTAGTAGGGTTTTCCTTTTAATGAAAAGCAGCCCTCAAATCATTTCCTTTTCTAACAAAGAGCAGCCTGTAAACTCGAGCTGCAGACATAGAAAGGCAGGCCAGAAGCTTGCACAGGTGAATGCCAGCAGCTGTACTAGTAGGAAAGGGGCTACCTGGGACCAGGCAGGTCCAACATGGCGGCTTCATCTTCCCTTCTCTTTGCCAACCGCGTGTACAGTAAGGAGCAGACAACATGGCAGCAGGCCAAGCAAAGACCCTATTTGCATAATAAGATTAGGATGGGGCAGCCAGCTTCCCCACACATTATGTAAACGTCACACCTGGTCCAACCAATCTGTGGGCCCTATGTAAATCAGACACCACCTCCTCAAGCCTGTCTATAAAATCTGGTGCCCTTCCCCGCAGGCCAGCTTTTCCCTTTTGGATGCCCCTCTCTTTCATAAGAGAGAGAGCTGTTCTCCTTTCTCTTTCTTTTGCCTATTATACCTCTGTTCCTAAACTCACTCCTTGTGTGTGTCTGTATTCTTGATTTTTTTAGTACAAGATGATGAACCCCAGGTATTTACCCCAGGCAACAATGCTGCTTCACAATCAGTAAATAGCCTTGTTTTATGTATCCTTCTGTTTCAAAACACCTTATTGACTATATTTGTGGATTCATTAACAGCATACCCATGGCCAACAGCACTGTGGCTCATGCCTGAATGAAGCTTATCTAACACACATATTTTCTCCATAAGACTGTCAACAGAAGAAAAACAAGGTTTGTAAATTTGAAAAGGAGGGCTTTATTTCTTATAAAGGGTTGCAGCCTGTAGGCTGGGAAGTGTAGCCTTTGGCACAAGCTGAAAGCAAGCATTTCAAGGGAGGGATACATTTAGGGAATAGGAATCTATGTTGAGCAGGGTGGCCAAATATGCATATTCAATAAGCTAGAGGAAGAGTCATGAATATTTATAAAAGGAGAAATATGCACATGTGTGATGGAGCTTTGTGCCTCTTCATGGCTTGCATGTTAAAAAACTGGCAGCATTAGTGCCTGCAATCCCAGCACATTGGAAGGCCGAGGCAGGTGGATCACCTGAGGTCAGGAGTTCAAGACCAGCCTGGCCAACATGGCAAAACCCCATCTCTACTAAAAATACAAAAATTAGCCAGGCATGGTGGCTCATTCCTGTAATCCGAGCTACTCGGGAGGCTGAAGCAGGAGAATTGCTTGAACCCGGGAGGCAGAGATTGCAGTGAGTCGAGTTTGCACCACTGCACTCCAGCCTGGGTAACAGAGCAAGAATCCGTCTCAAAAAACAAAGTGAGGGGCAGCATTAGCATGATCTGAGGGTAGAGTTTTCAGCTCTCTGACATCAAAGGTGAAACACAGGATAGGAAAAACCTCACTGTGCATTACCCGTGAGCTGGCCAGACTTGGTCAGATTATACAAAGGGATGAATTGTGAAACTGGTGAGCTTCACATCAAAACTGTTAAGAGAGAGAAGGGGGTGGTGGTCTCAACATGGTCTGAGATAATCAGCTAAAGGCCATGAAAGAATGAGTTGTCCCTATCTTCATTTCTTCTTTTCTTTTTTTTTTTTTTTGAGATGGAGTCTCCCTCTGTAGCCCAGGCTGGAGTGCACTGGTGCAATCTCAGCTCACTGCAACCTCTGCCTCCCGGGTCCCAGTTCAAGAAATTCTCCTGCCTCAGCCTCCCGAGTAACTAGGATTACAGGCACGTGCCACCATGCCCAGCTAATTTTTGTATTTTTAGTAGAGATGGGATTTCACCATGTTGGCCGGGCTCATCTTGAACTCCTGACCTGGTGATCCTCCCACCTCAGCCTCCCAAAGTGCTGGGATTACAGGTGCGACCCACCGCACCCAGCTTCATTTCTAAAGCTGGCATCTGCTTACTCTTTAGGGAAAAAAAGAATCTTGATTAAAGGTTAATAAGGAAGGAGTACACTGAGGTAATCCTGGCTTCTGTCCCATTATGGGTAGGAACTCAGTTTTTAAGGTGTCTCTGAGGTCCCCTTGGCCAAGAGGAGTCTGTTTAGTCAGATGGGGAGCTTAGAAGTTTTTTGTTTTTTTTTTTTTGAGACAGAGTCTCACTCTATCGCCCAGGCTAGAGGGTAATGGCACGATCTCAGCTCACTGCAGCCTCCACCTCCTCAGTTCAAGTGATTCTCCTGCCTTGGCCTCCCGAATAGCTGGGATTACAGGCACCCACCACCTTGCCTGGCTAATTTTTGTATTTTTAGTAGGGACGGGATTTCACCATGTGGGTCAGGCTGGTCTTGAACTCCGACCTTAGGTGATCTGCCCGCCTCGGCCTCCCAAAATGCTGGGATTACAGGCGTGAGCCACAGTGCCTGGCCTAGAATTTTATTTTAATTTCTCAAGGCACATCACAGCTTTCTTGTGCTTTGAGACACTAGACAGCCCTTCAACAATGCATTCTGGGAGCCATTTTTAAATAAACAAAATCACCCACAAAAATGCAGAAAATGGAGCACTCAGTAGACCTGGAAAAGGACACTTGTTTACAGTATGAGAGCTGAAACAAAATAAGGCAGAGCATCTCTTTGTTTAATCTCAGCTGGAAACGTGTTACATTATCAGGTGACCTAAATTTTCCTGCTCAGTACATGTGCACAAATGACCAAAAAATTATCTTGAATATTACTTTTGCTTACAAATAAATGTTAGTCCAGTCTGAGCAACATAATGAGATCCCTTCTCTACAAAAAAATTAGAAAAAAATTAGCTAGGCATGGTGGTGCACACTTGTAGTCCCAGCTACTTGGGAGGCTGAGGCAGGAGGATCACTTGAGCCTAGGAGTTTGAGGCTGCAGTGAGCTATGATTGCGTCACTACATTCCAGCCTGGATGGCAGATCTTGATCCTTTCTCTAGAAAATAAATTAAAAAACAAAATAGTGAGTAGGCAAATTCACAAACATAAAAAATCTGTAAATACTGATGATCATCTGTAACTCTTGGTACTCCCCACCCTTCCAAGTTCTCCCTGAATTGCAGCTGCTAAGAGCCTGAAGACTACATGTCTGAGGCCTCCTTGTCAGTTGGAGTTTTATTTAGATTCTGACAATGACAGAAACTTACATCAGATCAGGAAGGTGGGAGAAAAGTAAGAGCAATTATAGTCCCTGAACATAGGTGTGTGGGTGCATAAGCTTCAGCAGAAGGCTATGTCATGTTCTGTGCTATTTTCTAGACATACTCTTGTGAATCACCAACTGCCTGGATTCCTGGGATCATTGATGATTTTGCTACCTGAAAAAAACTGGGTTTCATTTGCCTGGCCAGTAACAAACGATTCTCTGGGAGAATGCAAGTTTTTGATCAATAGGAAGTTTATTACTTGTTACCCTCCCCTCTCTTAAGCTCCTCTCCTCTCTTAAGCCCCTCCTCTCTCTTAAGCCCCACCTGTCTCTTAGGTTCCTCCCCTCTCTTAAGCCCCTCCCCTCTCTTAAGCTCCCCCCCTCTCTTAAGCTCCCCCTTAGCTCCTCCCCTCACTTAAGCTCCTCTTCTAAGCCCTCCCTCTCTATTAAGCCCCTCCCCTCTCCTAAGCTCCTCCCTCTCTTAAGCTTCTTCCCTCTTAAATGCATGAAAAGGGCATTGTTATGGACTCCCAGTAAGAAGAGCACTGGGAGTATTCTCCAAAGCAATGTCTCCCAAGGGAAAGTGACAGGAAGGTTTTAAAAGACGATGGAGAGGGAAGAGGGTGCATCGTTGCATGTAGAGGAGGGTTCCCATTGGCACACACCCAGTGAGTCATCATGCTAGTGAGGTAGGAGATGGAACTTGACTTCAGAGGTGGGGCTTGGACCAAACTGAGGTCTAGCTAAAACAGGGACTGACAGGGTGGAAGCAGCTATCCATAAGACACAACCACCAGTGTGTGCCATGTCAGTGTACTGTTGCCATGGCAACACCTGGATGATACCACCCTTTCCCATGGCAACAACCCAACCAGCCTGTAATTAAAAGTGGGTATAAGTGGCCAGGTGTGGTGGCTCATGCCTGTAATCCCAGCACTTTAGGAGGCCGAGGTAGGCAGATAACCTGATGTCGGGCATTCGAGACCAGACTGACCAACATGGAGAAACCCCATCTCTACTAAAAATACAAAATTAGCCAGGCATGGTGCTGCATGCCTGTAACCCCAGCTACTTGGGAGGCTGAGGCAGGAGAATTGCTTGAACCTGGGAGGTGGAGGTTGCGGTGAGCTGAGATCATGCCATTGCACTCCAGCCTGGGCAACAAGAGTGAAACTCCAAGTCAAAAAAAAAAAAAAAAAAAACAGTGGGTATAAGTATGACTGCAGCCCTGCCTTTGAGCTGCTACTCTGGGCACACTGTCTGTGGGGTAGCCCTGCTCCGCAAGGAGCAGGACCTCAGCTGCTGCTGTGCTCCTCTATAAAAGTTGCTAACACCACTGGGTCTTCCTTGAATTATTTCCTGGGTGAAGCCAAGAACCCTCCTGGGCTAAGCCCCAGTTTGGGGGCTCACCTGCTCTGCATCATCAGCAATAGGTCACATGTGATGACAATGCAGCTATAGTGCAGTCTGGAGACTTTAGCACAGTAATAAGGAAAGTTCACTCAGGTTCATTTATATGTGGCTGGGTTCTGTCAGGAGCTTCTTCTGGCCAACAAGGTGACTGCATTCCACACAGCGTTTGGAAAAAAAAAAACAGGTTGCAAAGCAGGAGGCTGTAAAACAGGCTTATTGCTCAAGTTGATTAAATTCCTGTAGTCCCTGGAGACCCTCCTTGTCTACTTACAATTTCCTCTGAAGTTTGCACTCCCAGCTTTGCCAAAAATTCTATGAACACCTAATTCTCTGCTTTATATCCCCTCCTGATGATAACAGCATTTAGAGTGGTTTCTGTGTTTCTGGCTAAAAATCACAAAAGCAAATATATATCTGACTGTATTACTTAGATAGACTGAAACATACTGATTTATTTCCAAATAATATATTTTGGGACCAATGTTCTAAGTGATCATCTAACAAATTGCCCTCCCAGCATCCCTGTTTGTACTACCTGGATGTCCATGTTCTGAAAAGTGTGTCAAATGATTGGTGTTATTGTACATACAGATAGATCTAAAATTTGTGTGCTGCTTATTAAGTTCTAGGTGCTGGGGGAAAATGAGCTGATCCTTACCACAGCCTGGGGGGGGAAGGCAATATTGATTTTTACAAAATGAATCTCATAGATGTTTAATTCCTCGACCAGGGTCATGAAAGTAGTAAATGATGGAACAGTAATTTAATAGAAAGTTTCCCACAACACCCACACTTCTGTTTCCTACAGCTGAATCCTTCCAGATAATTTCATTTCTCCTTGTTTCCTCCCACAGCCTCAATCTTTCATTAGCTTTTAACAATCTTCAGGGGGGTGGTGGAGGTGGGGGAGAAACTTGAATGAAGTCAGGGTTTGATCCTAGGAAAGACTATATTTTATATTTTAATTTTATTTAATGCTAGCAATTAATGGCAGATGACTCATTTTCTCGATCACTGATGCAAGTATGACATCCACATGCACTGGAGACTATACTTGTACATCCCACCTAGATTAGTCAGAAAAACACTGTCCCTTTTTCCAACTTCCAAAGTGTAGGTGAGGATTGGAGTGCCTCCACTCCACCACGTAAACCTTTAAAAGGTGTAAGATTTGAAACACTTTTCTATTGCATCTCCAGCCTCTGCAAGCTCCAAGGGTATTTCAGGACATGGATCTCATTTACCATTTCATTTGAGCCTTAATAGTTTGAGCAATTTTACAGGCTGAATGCCACATCTTCGTTTAATAAACATTTATTAGCCTCTACTATATGTCAGGCACAATACTTACTACTAGATGTGTTCTTAAGTGGGGAAGGGGGCCTTTTTCATGAACAAGCATGAACAGCTTCTCTATGCTACCTGATGTGAACTTTTATGAAACTCACAGTCCTTTAAGAGAGAGATGGTGAATGACGTTTTAAGCTCCTGCCTTCTCTTAAGCCCTTCTCCTCTCCTAAGCTCCTCCCCTCTCTTAAGTCCCTCCCCTCTCTTAAGCTCCTCCCCCTCTTAAACTCCTCTGTCTCTTAAGCTCCCCTTAAGCTCTTCCCCTCTCCTAAGCCCCTCCCCTCTGTAAAGCTCTCCACTTAAGCTCCTGTTGTCTCTTAAGCTCCTCCCCTCTCTTAAGCACCTCCCCTCTCAAGCTTCTTCTCTCTCCTAAGCTCCTCCCCTCTCTTAAGCTCCTTCCCTCTTAAATGCATGAAGAGGCCATTGTTATGGACTGAATATTTGTGTCCCTCTAAAATTGTTAATATGCTTAAGTCCCAACTTGTGGTGTGGCTGTATTTGGAGATGGGGATTCTGATGAAGTAATTAAGTGAGTTGATAAGGGTGGATCCCTCATCTGGTAGTATTAATATTCTTGTAAGAAGCGACACCTGAGAGCTCATTCCTTTCTCTTTCTTTCTCTCCCTCCCTCATTTCTCTCTCTCCATCTCTCCCATCCTCCCTCTCCTCATATACACATCAAGAAAAGGACATATGGGGACACAGAGAGGAGGCGACCATTTGCAACCCAAGGGGAAATCCTTTGCCAGACATCAATTCTGCTGGCATCTTGATCTCGAACTTCCGGCCTCTAAAACTATGAGAAAATAAGTTTCTGTTGTTTAAGACACCGAGTCTGTAGTATTTTGTTATGGCAGCCCAAGCTGACTAATACAGCTTTCAATGCTGGAAATGAGCCTGGCCCAACCAGGTAAACTTCCACAGCTTTAAATAGGTTTGGTATTCTTGGTCTACCATGTGCACATTGGTCTCCTATTTCCCCATTTAAGAATACGTCTAGTTATAAGCATTGTGCCTGACATCGTGGAGCACAGAGGACACCTTTGTACTCTTCCCGTCCCAGGGAAATGCCAGCCTTCCTGAGAGTAGAGAGATGAGAACTTCATTAGGAATGCCACTCAGACTGGGCACAGTGGCTCACATCTGTAATCTCGGCACTTTGGGAGGCCGAGGCGGGCGGATCTCCTGAGGTCAGAAGTTCGAGACCAGCTTGGCCAACATGGTAAAACCCTGTCTCTACTAAAAATACAAAAATTAGTTGTGCATGGTGGCACATGCCTGTAGTCCCAGCTATTGGGGAGGTTGAGGCAGGAGAATCTTTGAACCCAGGAGGCAGAGGCTGCAGTGAGACGAAATCTTGCCACTGCACTCCAGCCTGGGTGATAGAAGGAGACTCTGTCTAAAAAAAAAAAAAGAAAAGAAAAAAAAATGCCAACTCAGAGCCCTAAGGGATACATACAGGAGAAAACAGCTAGGATGCTCAAGACAGGAAAAGGTCTAGGTAACCTTTTTTAACTTCCTCAGCTGAGTGCATGCGGTTGGGGTAAACTGGAAGGTGAGAAAATGATTGCCAGTTTCTCCCCAGTCCCCAGTATTTCTGTACCTTCAGCCCTGCCTAGGCAAAATCTGCACATTCTGCAGGACAGGCTAACCTGTATATCCCCAGTTCTCCTCACCTACTGAGATGCTTTGCCCACCTCACAGGTTTATCTTGAGAATGAAACGCAGTCCTGTATGAGAGGTGCTTTGGAACTGGGGTCTTTCCCTCCCCTATCTCCCTGTTCTATCACCATCCTCCCCCTTCCCCACCTCTTGACAAGATTATTTCACCCCGACAAAGACATCAAGGCTGCTTTTTCATCAGAGCACTTAGTGTAGATCATGACTTTATATTGATTTGCACAAGTTTTTTCAATCTCTGCATCTGCAACTAAGTAAGTACTCTGATGACAAATACACCAACTCTTGTTTAATACTTTTGCAAATACTGTTGGTGTATTTAATGTCATCCTCCTTTCTTCCTTGCCAACAGAAGCCTCATCGAGCATGACAGATCAAAGCCAGTCATGACAGCCCTGTCCTCTACCCAAGTTCTCTTGCACTTCATGAATGACCAGTAACTTCATCCTGACCGATGATATATAAGGGGACATTTTCTCAAAGTGAGGGATGTGGGGTAAGCTTATGCTTTCTTGATAGAGACATGCTAACCCAGCTGACTCAGACTTTCCTTCTTCCTGCTTGGAAGTGGAAGTTATGGCTGGAGCTGCTGCAGCCATCTTGAGGACATGAGGCAGAGTCTCAGAGAATGCTGGAAATATAATCCCAGACATCATTTAGTCTATTAGCTAATACCAACAATTACCTGACACCAGGCTTCTCGATACAGAAGAGAAAGAAAAAAGAAATGTTATTTACTTAACCATCCTGGTTAGGTTTTCTGTTACTTGAAACCAAATACAACCTTAATTGATGTACTGTTGTTTTAGCTCCAGCACTGGATGCCATTGGTCCATACTCGGTACTTAGAAATGCCTATTGAGTAAATAACTAGAAGGATGAATGAATGACTAAATGGATCATCAATCTTTATGCCCTCTGTGGCACTTAGCTCAGAACCTGACATCTACTGGGAGCATGATAGATATTTGTTGAATTAAACGGAAGTGCCAAAAGTTATCATTTAGCACATTGAAGAGAGCGGCCAGAAATAATTCTCCAAAAAAACTCAACTGCCCATTGAAATAACATAGCAAAAACTGCCAGATATCTGAGTTGAGGAAAATAAGGAATTGAGAACATCTAGTACCCAAAAGCTGTGCTCCAATTTAGAAGGCTTAAAATAATACCACTCATCACTCATGTCTCCTAGCAAAGTACAAATTAGTGGCTTGGAAAATTCCTCTAAGCTCCAGGGTGAGACAGACATTAGCCTCAATAGGAAAAGCCCTTGTGGCCTGCTAGGCCTACTTCCCAGGGAGGGTTTGCCCAGGCTCAACAGAGTCCAGAAAATCACAGGGCACCTAATTTAAAACAATCATTGCAAAAGGTCGGATAAAATAGGCTCAGCGGCAGAGAAATGTTCCCAGCGCCAACAGAGGCAACTGCCTGGCAGCTCCCCAGCTACCGGCACAGAGCGTGAGGGACTCCCTAAGTGAGAGGTTGGTCTCGCCTTATAATCCATCCCCCAGTCTTCATCCCCACTTTCAGCAGGAAGGAGTCAGGCCCACTAAGTCCTCCGTGTTGACAGCTCTGCAGATGGCCTGGCCTTCCCTCCAGGGAAGAAGCATCATCTCTGGTCCACTTTGTCCCGCAGCAAGAAATGAGGATGAGAAAAACACAAGGCAGATTACTGAACATAAATTACTAATTCTTATTAGCATATGAAATGCTTTCAGTGACAAGTACTGCTGAAATGTTGCTCATGGCAGCTAGACCCATGTGCGTGGAAACTAGCATATGTTCAAATACAACAGCGACGATTATGGACTGGCCACTCTGCTCCCAACATAGAATTTGATAATGTGGTTATAGAGACAGCAGGATACAATTGGGAAAACACAAGCTTTTGAGTCAGAGGGGCAGAATTCTGATACCAGCTAAACCATCCATTAACTAAGTTCTTTCTATGGGCCTCAGTTTTTTCATTTATAAAATAGGCTTGGCCGGGCACAGTGGCTCACACCTATAATACCAGCACATTGGGAGGCCGAGGCAGGCAGATCACTTGAGGTCAGGAGTTCAAGACCAGCCTGGCCAACACGGTGAAACCCCGTCTCTACAAAAATACAAAAATTAGCCAGACATGATGGTGGGTGCCTGTAATTCCAGCTACTCGGCAGTCTGAGGTGGGAGAATCATTGAACTTGGGAAGCGGAGGTTGCAGTGAGCTGAGATCGCACCATTGCACTCCAGCCTGGGTGACAGTGCAAACTCTGTCTCAAAAAAACATATAAAATAAAATAAAATAAAATAAAATAAAATAAAATAAATAAAATAAATTAGCCTTAATAATATTTAAGCCCAAAAGTTACAAGTGGATATTAAATAAAATCATGTAGATAAAACGCTTTGCAGAATGCCTAACTACTTGCATGAATGATAAATATGCATGCATGTGCACACCCATACTTATTTAGACACTGTTCTTCTTTTCATTTTAACATTTTTAGAGACAGAGTCTCCCTCTGTTACCTGGGTTGGAGGGAAGAGGCAAGATCATGGCTCACTGCAGCCTCAAACTCCCGGGTTCGAGCGATTCTCCTGCTCAGCCTCCCGAGTAGCTGTGACCACCGGTGCATACCTGGCTAATTGTTTGTATTTATTTATTTATTTATTTATTTATTTATTTATTTATTTATGTTTTGTAGAGACAGGGTCTCACTGTGTTGCCCAGGCCGGTCTTGAACTCCTAGACTCAAGCCATCCTCCCACCTCAGCTTCCCAAAATGTTGAGATGACAGGCATGAGCCACTGTGCCCGGCCTCAGACACTATTCTTTATGATACTGTACAGAAGAGGAAACTGGGACTTGGGGGTGAAATAACAAGGGACGGATCTTGAAACCACCAGAACTGAACCTGGAGCCAAGGCTTCCCGAAGTCACAGACTGTGCTCCCTCCCCAGTCCTGCTCTCAAGAGGTTGGAGTTCAGCACACACACACACACACACACACACACACACACACACACACACACACACACACACACACACGGGAAAGGTCTTAGAAATCCAGCCCTGCTGCTCATAGAAGCAATAGGTGAGCTCTCTCCAGTTCTTCCACTCTCCTTCCTCATCTTTTTTAGCCTGAGCCTTTAGTTCTGGTTCTGACACCCGAGACCAAGAATTGCTCAGCTCTCCAGAGGATTCCACTGAGTAAGGAGCTGGCTAAGCCGGATCAAGTGGAAATTAAAAAGGACCTCGGGGACTGCAGACCCAAGCTTCATTAAGACCTAATGAAAACCTGCCAGGAGGCTGAACACAGGTGCTCATGAGCATTTTTTTTTTTTTTTCCCCTTTGCAGCTTTTTATATGATTCTATGTCTGGAAAGTCAATAGTGAACTTAGCCAGAAATAGAGGCTGGATCCAGCAGCCTGGGGTGCCTGTAGCCATACCTTCCAAACTGAAAATGGGGCTGTGTAGTCTGATGCAGGTGCCTGAGATGGGGAAGGCCCTTAAAAGGCAGGGGAGGCCAGGCGTGGTGGCTCATGCCTATAATCCCAGCACTTTGGGAGGCCGAGGCAGGCAGATCATGAGGTCAGGAGTTCGAGACCAGCATGGCCAACATGGTGAAACACTGTATCTACTAAAAATACAAAAAAAAAAAAATTACCCATGTGTGGTGGCGCACACCTGTAATCCCAGTTACTCAGGAGGCTGAAAATCACTTGAACCCAGGAGGTGGAGGTTGCAGTGAGCCGAGATTGCACCACTGCACTCCAGCCTAGGCAACAGAGTGAGACTCTGTCTCAAAAAAAAAAAAAAAAAAAAGTCAGGGCACAGGTCCACGGGACAAAGTCATCTCTGAGACGAATGAGGGTGCTTATCACATAGCAGCTAAGGCTGTGGATAGGTAAGCAAATGGGGGAGAAGAGAGAGGTGGGTGGTAGGAAGGATCTAACATTTCTTATGCCCTGACTAACTCTAAGTTCAAGAGTAATGTTCACTTCCTCCCACCCCTGCCATGCAACAACCACTTCCATGTTTACCAGGAGACTTCTGAACATCTTGGGTGTGTTTACACTGAAGAGTCCAGTGCAGTAGATATTTATAGGGTTTTGAGCCATTCAGTGTCCATTTCACCTTTGAGAGCAGCATTTTTATTTTCATTTGGGAAATTCTCTCCCTCAAGAAATAGCCTGGCATAGCCAAGTAGTAGAGATATGGCATCCGGGCAGCATTGATTGGCTAATCCTCATTAGAACGTGAATCCTTTTGTTGCTTTGTTTGTTTGAGAGACAGTCTCGCTCTGTTGCCCAGGCTGCAGTGCAATGGTGTAATCATAGCTCACTGCAGCTTTGACTTCCTGGGCTCAAATAACCCTCCTGCTTCACTCTCCTGATTAGCAATGACAATAGGCATGGGCCACCATGCCTAGCTAATTTTTAAATTTTTTTTCTATTTCGTAGAGATGAGGTCTTATGATATTGCTCAAGCTGGTCTTAAACTCCTGGGCTCGAGAAATCCTGCCACCTCAGCCTCCTGATCAACAATGACAACAGACACACGCCACCACACCTGGCTAATTTAATTTTTGTAGAGATGAGGGGCTCACTACGTTGCCCAGACTAGTCTTGAACTCCTGGCTTCAAGTGATCCTCCCACCTCAGTCTCCCAAAGTTCTGGAGTTACAGGTGTGAGCCACAACGCCTGGCTAAGAACATGAATCTTATGTGGGGGCAATGAACCCGAAGATGGCAGATGCTCATTTATTCCAGTAGCAGTGCTCTGGCGGGACTATCAAAATGCATGCTACTTTGACCCCTGTATTTCCTTTAGTTCTTGTTCCCTCTGTGCCTGTTCCTCAGCATTCCTATCACTTTCGGGGGCTCCTCCCATTCTCCAAAACATAGACAATGGCAAAAGCAGCTAATCACGTTGTTGCTTGTGATTACTGTAGAACCAAACTGGGGTCCATTCATGCTGGGCACAGTAAAACCAGATACTCACACTGAGCTTTTGCAGTGGCAGAAAAGAAGGCGTTTAGTTGCAGGGCGCCAAGCAAAAGAATACGGGCAGCTCTTGCTAAAGAACTGACCTCCCCCGTGGCTTGCAGGGAAAGGTTTTTAAAGGCAGGGGTGCATTTCAGGAATGCAGAAGTTACAGACAGTATGTGGAGGTTACACATTGGTTTTGGGTTAGGAGTGGGATATCTTGAAGTGGGGGCTTATAGGTCATAGGTGGATTCAAAGATTTTCTGACTTGCAATTGGTTGAGGAAAGGAAGCTTTGCTTAAAAATTTGGATTTAGCAGAAAAAAAATTGTTAATTAGCTCAGGAATGCGATGCTCTCCAAGCCCCTCAGGAAGAAATTTAGATCAAAGAAAGGTGGTTGGAGATCAGCCTTCAATTTCCCCTATCTGAGGTCTCTGGGCCAGCAGATCTATTCGATGAGGTTCCTCGGTGGGGCTCTGGGTTTCTGAAAGACAAATCAGTGACATATGTTAAGATGTCATCTTTAGTTTTTATAGGAAAACCAAACACCCCTGGACTCTAACTTTCCCAGCTATGGTTTTAAGCTCCTATTACCTTCTTGTTTACCAAGTTGCTCATTAACTTCTCAGGGCTAGCTAGGTGCCTGGAATTTTCCTTGATGCAACTGGAAATTTTCCTTTATTTTCATGCCTGAAAGAGCTCACAGGCCACTAAAAGAGGGTCCCTGTTCTGTCTCATGATCACCCAGAATTCTGCAATCACTGTCTGGAACTAGCTGGACATGGTGCTCCATGCCTGTTGTCATTGCTAATTGGGAGACTGAGACAGGAGGGTTGCTTGGGCCCAGGAAGCCAAGGCTGCCATGAGCTATGATGGCACCACTGCACTCCAGCCTGGGCAACAGAGCAAGACCAACTCTCAAACAAACAAAGCAACAAAAGTATTCATGTTCTAGTGAGGAGTAGCCAATCAACGCTGCTTGGATCTCTGCTACTTGGTCATTCCAGATCAATCAGGGTGCTGCGAATACAGACACTGTAAATCAGGGGGCCCCAAACCCTGGGCCATGGATCAGTCTGATACTGGCCCACAGCCTGTTAGGAACTGGGCCACACAGCAGGAGGTGAGCAGCGAGTGTGTGAGCGAAGCTTCATCTGTATTTACGGCCACTCCGCATTGCTGGCATGACCACCTGAGCTCAGCCTCCTGTCAGATCAGTGGCGGCATTAGATTCTCATAGGTGTGCAAACCCTACTGTGAACTGCGCATACGAGGGATCTAGGTTGCGAGCTGCTTATGACAATCTATTGTCTGATGATCTGTCACTGTCTCCCATCACCCCCAGATGGAGCTGTCTCATAGCAGGCAAACAAGCTCAGGACTCCCACTGATTCTACATGATGGTGAGTTGTATAATTATTTTATTATATGCTGCAATGTAATAATAATAGCAATAAAGCAATAAAGTGCATGATAAATGTAATGCATTTGGATCACTGCAAAACCATACCCCCATCCCCAGGTCCATGAAAAATTGTCTTCCATGAAACCAGTCCCTGGTGCCAAAAAGGTTGGGGGCTGCTGCTATAAAACACATGAAGAAATCTGTGACAGTAGGCAAGGGTGGCTAGTGTGGACAGGAACTTGGAAGAAGCAAGACCAGGATGTTAATGACAAGGCAGTTTAGTGAAGAATTATACTGGATAGAACCTTGACATTGGACCAGAGTACGGGAATATTTGACTCCAGTGTAAATAGTCACCAAAAGGCCCCATCGTTAAGGAACCTCTTAATAGTCAGGTAGTTAGATTGACCCTTTTTTCCGTACTAGTCACCCTGCTCTACAAATACCCAAGTACTTATGTTAGAATCCAGTGGAAAACATGGCAACTCCGGTACTATGTTTGGAGGTTCAGAATAGGCCCAGCAACATGGACTTCCTCTCACCAAGGCCCTCCTGTCACCTGTTGTCACTGTAGATTGACCAGTAGGCTGACATCAGCAGCCAACCTTGGATATGAGCAGGGCTGCTATCATAACACGCCTCCAGGAGGTCATCCAGCTACCTGGTGGCAGGTGAATGACACTGGGTCCTTCCTGTTATGGAGGGCTCTGCAATTTGTCCTTGTTGGAGCAGACCTTTATTCTGGATTTCATTTTCCTTCTGCTTCCTGGCCTGTCAGACCTCTGCTAGCACTGTCATCCGTCAAGTTACTGAATGCATTATTCACTGTCTCATACAACATTGCTTCTGACCAAAGAATGTACTCCCCAGGCAGAGAAGAAAGGCAATGAGCTGAGGCCCATGAAATCCACTCTGATCATGAATCCTATCACCCAGAAGCATCTGACTTTACAGATTGGCAGAACGGCTCACTGATGGCTCAATTACAGTGCCAGCTGGAAGGCGATACCTCCAAGATTGGGTGCTATCTTGCAGGAGGCTGTGTGCTGGGGTCCCGGGGAGGGTCTTTGTCCCCCCTTAACTAGAACACATGGATCTAATACCAAGGATAGGGGAGTGGAGTGAGAAGGGCATTGCTTGTCAACTTTCCTAAAGACCTGCTTATAAATGGTTTATCTCCTATACCCATGATTCTGACTCTTGCAGGAGAGGGAGTGGAGTTGGAAGCTGAGACCTCCACCCAGATATTTCCTGCTGTTCATTTTACTAAGAAAAGAGAGGTTACTATGTTGGTTGGGATGATTACCTAAATTATCACAGGGAAATTAGGCTGCTATTACACAATAGGGAGTAGGAAAAATACAGACGGAACTCAGGGGATCCCTGGAATAGTCATACCACTATGACTTGATATAAAGGTTAACGGAAGACCACAGAAACCCTGCACTGGCAGGCAGGTGCACTGAGAGGTCAGCACCCTCCAGATGAAGACTGGGCTTTCCTAACCTGCCTGGGAGCTCCGCCATTCCATCAGCTGACATCCTGGGGAAAAGGCAAGGGAAAGCTGGAAGAGAGGTGTCGCCAACACCAGCTATGGCCTCTTGGATACTTCATTCATTCATTCGTTTGACAAGTATTTATTGAGTATCTCCTATATGCCTAGCACTGTCTTGGCACAAAGGACAAAGCAATGAATGAAACAGACCAAGTTCCCTTTTTTTGTGGAGTTTGTGTTTTAATGGAGAGGCAGATCCTAGACCATATCAATACATAAAGTATCTATTTTGCTAGAAGGCGATGACAGGTTCAGGGGAAAATAAAGGGAGAGAAGGAGAATCAGGTGTCAGAGGATGCTTGTGATATTAAACTGTGTGGTCAGGGAGGCCTCCCTGAGAGGTGACATTTGAATGAAGATATAAAAGATGTGAGGGAGCAGGCTGTGTGGGTGTTTCCAAGCAGAGGGACAGCCAGTGCATACATCCTGCGGTGGGGAAATGCCAGCCTCTTGTGTTTGAGGATTAATACAGAGGCCAGGCTAGCTGGTGAAGAGTGAGTGAGGGGGATACAGCTGGGGACACCAGATCAGTAAGTCATGGGCACCACTTCCCAGGGACTCTGCTTTCATGGGAAGGAGTTTGATTTCTAGTGGCAGAGTGCTGGGGTTAGGGCAGGATGGTGTGTATTGATCTGACAACACTATATCAGTTTCACTCTGGCTGCAGTGTTGAAACAGACAGTAGTGGGGCAGGAAAAGCAGAAGGCATGAATTAGCAGGCTACATCGGCAACCCCAGATCAGCCAGCAGTGTTTGCATCAGGGCTGTAACGGTAAAGAGGTGTAGAGCTGTTGGATCCTGGATTTATTTTGAAAGTAAAACCCAGCACTTTGGGAGGCTGAGGCGGGCGGATCACGAGGTCAAGAGATTGAGACCATCCTGGCCAACATGGCGAAACACTGTCTCTACTAAAAAAACAAACAAACAAACAAATTAGCTGGGCATGGTCGCATGCGCCTGTGATCCCAGCTACTCATGAGGCTGAGGCAGGAGAATCTCTTGAACCTGGGAGGCGGAGGTTGCAGTGAGCCGAGATCGCTGGAGATAGAGTGAGGCTCCGTCTCAAAAAAAAAAAAAAAAAAAAAAAAAAAGTTAAACCAATGATACTTGCTGAAAAAATTTGACATACCATGAGAACAAGAGGGGTCGGGGTGTCCCCAGGGTTTCTGGACTAAGCCACAGTGATGGGGGAGAGGGTGCAGGTTTTAGGGGGAGACTAGGAACGCATGTTGGGTATGTGAAAAGGTAGACATACAGGTAGAGACAGAGAGGGGCTGGTGGTTATAAACAAGGTGTGTGGTTTATGTCAGGTATGCATTTTTGGATTTTAATGATCCCTTTGTCTCACACTAGGCTGGATGGGTCATAGTTAAATTAGCCATTTACTTCAGAAACTGCAGAATATCCAGGTGAGCTCACGCAAAAAGTGGAGGGGAAGGAAGAGATTCTGGATGTGGAGTGGGAGGCGTGATTGATAATTTAATTTGCTCTTTTTGGTGAAGAGGTGGGAGTATTTTCAGTAGTACCTGGAATATTGCATTATGTTAAGTGGAGGTATTCTGGGAGAAACACATGCAGGAGAAGAAGTATGACTGTAGACCGGATGGAGTGGCTCATGCCTGTAATCTCAGCACTTTGGGAGGCAGAGGCGGTTGGATCACCTGAGGTCAGGAGTTCGAGACCAGCCTGGCCAACATGGCGAAACCCTGTCTCTACTAAAAATACAAAAAAATTAGCCGGGCATCGTGGCAGGTGCCTGTAATCCCAGCTACTTGGGAGGCTGAGGCAGGAGAATTGCTTTAGCCCGGGAGGCGGTGGCTGCAGTGAGCCGAGATCGCGCCATTGTACTCCAGCCTGGGCAACAAGAGCGAAACTTTGTCTCAAAAGGAAAAAAGAAATCTGACTGTAAGTGTTGCATTGCAGTGGACAATTCCTGGCTTCTCAGCACCCATTCCGCTTTCCTTTGTGCTTCCTTCTCAGGGACTGCCTTGATAAGTTACGAACCTCAGGTTTCTCTTCTGTGTAATGAGGATAACGATTGTGCCGGGTGCCACACCCCAGATCTGCTAACTCCAGCTCTGGGACCCTTGAACTAGCTTCTCAATCTGCCTCTTGAACATGGGGATTGCGATCCTCGGGTAAGATTCAGTCTGCAGCCCACCCAACCATGGTCTAGGCATGGAGCATTTATCTGGCTTCCCATTTGCCCTGGACCTAATTCATCCTTTAGATCTCCCAAAGGACAAAGCTCTCCATCCTGAACAGACTCTAGTTGACTGTGATCTTGCCCTTTCATCCTAGTTCCAATTAAGCATTTCCACCCAACTGACATAGTACGAAACCCTGGCTCTGCTATCCTTTGTTGGAATTCACTCGCTTGGAAGGGTCTCAAAGGATTAGGGTGAATGGAAACAGGGAGACAAAAGTGTATGCCAGGAAAGAGTCAGGCTTGGCAGAGAAATCCGGGTCTATCATGAACACAAAGTAAGCCTGAACTGGTTGTCAGGAGCCATTGGATGGCCAAAGGGATCAGAGATCGGGGGACAGTGGATTTGGAGATCCCCAGGATAACAGGTTCCTGGGAAAGCGATGAGGATGTATGCCAGAAGCAGAGGGAGGAGAGACTGCTCCTGGCTGGCCTTCTTGTTGCTCTCTAATGGTGAGTTTCATGCTGTGTCAAGGCCTGGAAGCCACACAGCCCCTGCTCAGCTATTTCAGATACTGTCACCTCGACTGTAATTAGCCACAGTCTTTGTACATGGAACTTTGGAATCTTGGCACCTGCTGCCAATGGGACCAGTTTCTCCCTGTCCCAGTGTTATTCTGGCCATAGCTCAGTGCCACATTTACTGTCCCCTCCCTTCCCACCTTGGAAATGAACCATTGCTGTCAATTTCCTGTCCAGAGTGACTTTCAGAGACGCACCGAGGAGCATTTTATTGAAGTTGGGAAATTGGAAAGCATCTCAATTTCTCTTGCACCAAGATTTTATTATTTCCTTTGAAGTGAAATTTCAAATACACCAGAGAAGTCTACGCTCAAATGGAGGTATGAAAATGCATGTAAAAATCAAAGAGAAGAGGATTTTGGTTGTCTCCTATTTTGTATCCTGCCTGTCCTTGCTTGCCTACCTTGCATTTATTAATGAAGAGATCACCTCTGCACATCCACAAGCAGATAACCACACACTGCTTCAAAATCCCAGGGGAAAAAAAAATATTCTAAGATGTTTAAAGTCTTATTTCAGACACTCATTTTTGCTATTTTTACTTTGGAGACAGTCATCACCCTAATAAAAATACTGCTTATTTCTGTATGTTCTATGAAAGTATGTGTTACATTAATAATATAGTTTGACATGTCCCCACCCAAATCTCATCTTGACTTGTAGTTCCCATAATCCCCACATGTGGTGGGAGGGACCTGGTGGGAGGTAACCGAACCCTGGGGGTGGCTACCTCCATGCTGTTCTCATGATAGTGAGTTCTCATGAGAGCTGATGGTTTTATATGGGCCTTTCCATCAGCTTCACTCTGCATTTCTCCTTCCTGCCGCCATGTGGAGGATATGTTGGCTTCCCCTTCCACCATGATTATAAGTTTCCTGAGGCCTCCCAGCCCTGTGGAACCGTGAGTCAATTAAATCTCTTTCCTTTATAAATTACCCAGTCTTGGGTATGACTTCATAGCAGTGTGAGAATGAACTAATACAATTAATAATCCAATATAACAACGTATTTTAATCACATATTACAGGCTTCAGATACATAGAATTAAATAAGTTTTTTTTTTTTTTTTTTTTTTTGAGACGGAGTCTCACTCTGTCGCCAGGCTGTAGTACAGTGGCACTATCTTGGCTCACTGCAACCTCCGCCTCCTGGGTTCAAGTGATTCTTCTGTCTCAGCCTCCCGAGAAGCTGCGACTACAGGCATGCGCCACCACACCCAACTAATTTTTGTGTTTTTAGTAGAGACGGGGTTTCATCATGTTGGCCAGGATGGTCTCAATCTCTTGACCTCATGATCTGCCCACCTCGGCCTCCCAAAGTGCTGGGATTACAGGTGTGAGCCACTGTGCCTGGCCAAAATAAATATTTTTTTAAAAAATGACCTTGGACTTGGACTTGGAAGTGACATTATAGGTTATCAAATTTTACCTTCTACCTAAGAATCCTTCTGTGGCTCTTGTGACAAATGTGGATCCTTTTGAGGGAAAAACTAGTGGTCAGATAGAGCCTTCATTTGCCCTTATCAACCTTCTGGATCTAGATACAGGTCCCATCTGTAAAAAAAAATTATTAGAGATTAGGTCTTATTCTGTCACCCAGGCTGGAGCACAATGGCATGATCATAGCTCACTATAGCCTTGGCCTCTTAGGCTCAAGTAATCCTTCTGCCTCAGTCTCCTGAGTAGCTGGGACCACAGGTGCATGCCACCTCTCCAGCTATTTTTTTTTTTAATTATTTTTGTAGAGACAAGGGTCTCACTATGTTGCCCAAGCTACTCTTGAACTCTTGGTCTTAATTGATCCCCTGGCTCAGCCTCCCCTGGAGTTACAAATGTGAGCCGCCACATCCAGCCAGTAAATGTCTTTTTCACTGGGTAAACACAAAGGCATTCCCTTGCATTGGTCTTCTCTAGCCCTTTACTGCCTGCTACACAGGGGAGTCAAGGTCGATCCAAGTCTGATCAAGATAGAATGTCACTCAACAGCCTCTGTCTCAATGTTCAGTGGGACTTGGGACAAAATCCCCTGAACTTCAACCTAGGATGAAGTGAGTTCTTGTTACCTGAATAGCCTGGAAGCCATGGCTGCTTCTACCCACCTGCCCTGCCCAGCAATAGCTGGCCAAAGCTCCTGCCTCTGCCTTGAATCGCACTCTATTCCCCCAGTTTCCCTACCTTGTGCCTCCATCTTTGCCTGGGGTTCACGCCTTCCCCTGAATTCCAACCCACTGACACGAGATCTTGATACCTACTTGGCGCTTAGAGTCTTTGTATTGCCCAATCCTGGTCCATTCCTGGAAGTTTGCTGAATCTTGCAGTAAACGGGGAGAACTCACCTAATTTAGAACAACTCCACGGTTGTTCAATGAACATTATGCCTTCCTCTCCTGGACGCTGCTACAGATGTTTCTGGTGCAGGTATTTTTGTCAGCCATACCTGAACCTACAATCACCTTCAAATACCATGTCTCAAACATCTACCACTGAATCAGTCTCTGCAACCTCTCCTCTGCAGTCTAGTGATCAGTGTGAACTGGGTCCTCCTGTCTATGGACCCTCTGTGGTCCTCTGTGCCAAGTCTGCCTTGCACAAACATGATGCTTTTCAGATATTTGGAGGCAAAATTCCAACCCAACCTCATCAGTAACTATCTAGTACTTGCCCCAGATATCGGCATTAAATATATCTCATGTTCCATCAACATACACCCAGACAGTCATCACTTGACGATCACATGAAGGGCTCACTCCTAGCTCTTTCCAGGACTAATCCCAGCCTTTGCTCTGATGGAGTGGGAACTATTCATTCTCCAGCAGAGACATTGCAAGCAAGTGCTTATTTGAGGCCTTTGGCAAGGATAACTGGCCCTCTTTCTAGCTCATTTGTTGCTATCAAATTCCTGACTCAGCCCACTTGTCATCGCCTCTTGACAAGTCAGCATTTCAGAGCTGGGTTTGTTTCTCTTCCCTCGCAAGCAGTAAACACCATCCTATGCAAGAAATGAAGCTACCCTTCAATGCAAGAACCAGGTGTGATGGTGACTATTGAGTGTCAACTTGATTGGATTAAAGATGAAAAGTATTGTTCCTGGGTGTGTCTGTGAGGGAGTTGCCAAAGGAAGTTAACATTTGAGTCGGTGGACTGGGAGAGGCAGATCTCCCCTCAATCTGGGTGGGCACCATCTAATCAGCTTCCAGCATGGCTAGAATAAAGGAGGCAGAAGAACGTGGAAAGACTTGACTTGCTGAGTCTTCTGACCCTCATCTTCCCTTGTGCTGGATGCTTCCTGTCCTTGAACATTAGACTCCAAGTTCTTCAGCTTTTGGACTCTTGGACTGACACCAGTGGTTTGCCAGGGGCTCTTGGGCCTTTGGCCACAGACTGAAGTCTGCACTGTCAGCTTCCCTACTTTTGAGATTTTGGGACTTGGACTGGCTTCCTTGTTCCTCAGCTTGCAGATAGCCTATTGTGGGACCTCGTCTTGTGATCAGGTGAGTCAATACTTTTTAGTAAACTCTCCTTTGTATACACATCTGTCCTATTAGTTCTGTCCCTTTAGAGAACCCTGGCTAATACACTAGGGTTCTTTGGTCCCCTAGTAAGTACATCCAGCTCAAATAAAATTAGTGAAAAAATGGCAGGGGAAAACTTCAAAATCCTTAGTCACTGAAAATGATGCAAATAATGCTTTTCCTTTAGATAAAGCAGTTTAGGTGGCAAAATGTCAGGAAATTGCACAAGGTCTTCTCCAACTCTAATGCTAGAGGAATTATGATGTTCTTGGGGGAGGTGAAGAGTTTATGTTCATTTTTTTAAAAGAAAACTACAATTAAAGTCCTCAGGGAGTCAACATTTTTCACATTCTCCGCAGCAGGCATATTTTACTAAAAGAGAACTAGAACTCGGCTGTCAGCTGAATTAATATACAGGCTGAGAAGCTCAGGTTCACTAAGCTATATGTGATAAACTGGTCCTGTGGGGTCCGGAGACCAACAGGGTATATTTCAGGGAAATAGAAGCCATTAAACACCATCATCTCAGTGTCTTGTACGTCTTATGTACAAAGGCACTCATAATTAAAATTAGCCATTAGCTTGTAAATAAAATGCTTTCAAAGCAAAAGTGTTATGTTATTATCTCTATCCTACCCGGTTTATCTGCCTGGCCTCTATTTGTGATAATATTTCCATCTTTATTTCCATCTAATAGGTCTCCTTTAATCTAATCAGCACTGGTTTGATTTAATGGAGAGCTATGGAAAAGCCAGGTAAAATGATAGAATGAAAAACATCTACTCAAAACTCTCCAGGGCTAAATGTTGTCTCCAGCACAAAGATCATACTTGAAGGCTAGTATTTAACATGCTCCATGACCTGGATCTAACCAGGATTTCCAACCCCTTTCCATGACTTGTACTTTGAGGCATTTATCATTTTATCAGCCTGCACTCTTCTTCCTTTCCGATGGGAAACTGGCTCCAAATTTTATCTCACCACCCCTCCCATTACTTCCAACAAATGTCCCTTCCCCAAGACCAAACATGTGGTTTTAGAATTGACATTCATGTTCTTGCGAGTTCCATGTTTTTACAGGTTCCCTCCTCTCTGCTCATAGCTGGTGGTCTGAGATGGGCTACCAGTCTGGACAGGATTGCAGAACCGAAACCAGCATTCAAGTTCCTCCTTGGTGGCAAATCTGGAAGATATGCTAACAGGAGAGCCAGTGCCTTGTTTCCTGCCAGGAAGCGATAGACACTCTTAAGACAGCGGCCCCCAACCTTTTTGGCACCAGGTACCGGTTTCATGGAAGACAATTTTTCCACGGACTGGGGGTTGGGGGTGGTTTTGGGATGATTCAAGCACATTACATTCATTACGCACTTTACTTCTATACTACTACATCGTAATATATAATAAAATAATTCTACAACTCACCATTATGTAGAATCAGTGGGAGCCCTGAGCTTGCTTTCTTGCAACAAGAAAGTCCCATCTGAAGGTGATGGGAGACATGACAGATTATGATGCGTTAGATTCTCACAAGGAGCGCACAACCTAGATCCCTCGCATGCGCAGTTCACAATAGGGTTCGTGCTCCTATGTGACTCTAACGCCGCCGCTGATCTGACAGGAGGCGGAGTCCAGGCGGGAATGTGGGTGACGAGTAGCAGCTGTAAATACAGAGGAAGCTTTGCTCCCTGACCTGTCACTCACCTCTTGCTGCATGGCACACACTTCCTAACAGACCACAGACGGATACAGGCCCGTGGCCCAAGGGTTGGGGACTCCTGGTCTAAGAGACTGAAAATAACAAACTGAGAAAATCAAAGATAAGGGGTGGTGAGACTGAGTCCTGGAGATTTTCAAGCCACTTGTCTCATTTGTCATTGGAACTAGCTATGCCTGTCACAATTTTGTGAGCCTTCCTATTAATTTCCATTTTTACCTAAGCTATGGCAAGATGATGTTTCTGTCACTGGCATTCAGAGTAATTTCAGTGAACACATACGGTATGTGCTCTTTCACCCATCGGCTTGCTTTTGTAGATGCTATTTCCTTTCTGGGAATTCATTTCCTCATCTCTGATCCGCCTTCTTTTCAACATTGAGTTTACATGCCAAAGCCTTCATTAAAAATGGTAACCAGTATTCCCAGCTAAAGTGGCTATGCTGTCTTCTGTTCTATAGCACACACTTTTAAAGTGTTAATTATTTATATTCATTCATTCATTCATTCATTTTTTTGAGATGGAGTCTCTCTCTGTCGCCCAGGCTGGAGTGCAGTGGCACCATCTTGGCTCACTGTAACCTCCACCTCCTGGGTTCAAGTGATTCTCCTGCCTCAGCTTCCTGAGTAGCTGGAATTACAGGGATGCGCCACCACCCCCAGCTAATTTTGTATTTTTGGTAGCGACGGGGTTTCACCATGTTGGCCAGGCTGGTCTTAAACTCCTGACCTCAAGTGATCTGCCTGCCTCGGCCTCCCAAAGTACTGGGATTACAGGCGTGAGCCACTGTGACTGGCCAATTTTTATTTATTTATTTATTTATTTATTTATTTATTTATTTATTTATTTTAAGACAGAGTCTCGCTCTGTCACCCAGGCTGGAGTGCAGTGGTGCAGTCTCAGCTCACTGAAACCTCTCCCTCTCAGGTTTAGCAATTATCCTGCCTCAGCCTCCAGAGTAGCTGGAATTACAGGCATGTGCCACCACACCCAGCTGATTTCTGTATTTTTTCAGTAGAGATGGGGTTTCACCATGTTGCCCAGGCTGGTCTCCAACTCCTGGACTTGAATGATCTTTTCACCTTGGCCTCCCAAAGTGCTGGGATTACAAGCATGAGCCACTGCACCCGGCCCACACTGCTTCTTGATGGCAGTCATATTTTCCCTTCTGGTAAAGCTATATATGTACTTGTCTGATCTTATCTCTGATCTCCCAGTAATGGTAGGGTTTCATAAGGACAGGGATTGTGTGATCATTGGTTTACTTCATCTCCCGTATGGGACTGTCATGTGAAAAGGAACATTCACTTCACTTTCTTTTGAGTTTCTCCTAGTTCCTCTGAGCACTGGGAGCAGAGTTCTGGAAGTAGTTACATATCTTAATCAGCAAATTTTATCTAACAATGCTGTCCCCTCCCCTCCCCTTTCCTCCCCTCCCCTCCTCTTCCGTCCCCTCCCCTCCCCTCCTCTCCCCTCCTTTCTTCTCCTCTCTTCTCTCCTCTTCTCTCCTCTCCTCTCCTCTCCTCTCCTCTTCTCTTTTTGAGACAAGATCTTGCTCTGATGCCCAGGCTGAAAGGCAGTGGCTCAATCATAGCTGACTGAAGCCTTGACTTCCTGGACTCAAAGAATTCTTCCACTTCAGTCTCCCAGGTAGCTGGGACTACAGGCATGCGTCACCATGCCCAGCTGATTTTTGCTTTAATTTTTTTGTAGAGATGAGGGTCTCACTATGTTGCCCAGGATGGTCTCAAACTCCTGGCTTCACGTCATCCTCCCACCTCACCCTTTCAACACATTGGGATTACAGGCATGACAGACTACACCTGGCCACAACAGTCCTGTAAGCCTGAGTTTAGAGTTTAGTTTGGGCCCTTGGGATAGGCACTTTTACCCACATCGAGGTTGCTTGATAGACAACCTCTCTTTTCAGGGATGTAAATACATCATTTCTCAACATGATGCAAAAACATCATTTCTGCAAAGGGGCAATACCCTTGGGGACTTCCCTTTAGTTTGAGCCACTGTGAGGTCATGGAATGATGTTGCTGGAAAGCCAGGAAAATGGTACTCCTCACTGAATTTTGAGCCAGAATCAGAACACATCAGCCTCAGGATATGGAAACTAATGAAACCAATATCCTGCAACTTACAGAAGGTGCTACCTTAAGGGATCATCAGCACTCCACAGCCTGAAAGATCAGTGGTGCAAATTAAACAACTTCCATAGTTCTACTCATACGATTACTTCCTCTTGGAATAGCCCATTACTTCTCTTTTTCCTTGATGTGGTTTGGCTGTGTCCCCACTCAAAAGTCATCTTGAATTGTAGCTCCCATAATTCCTATGTGTTGTGGGAGGGACCTGGTGGAAGATAATTGAATTGTGGGGGTATTTCCCCCACAATATGGGTTTTTCCCATATTGTTCTCATGGTAATGAATAAGTCTCATGAGATGTGGCGGTTATATAAGGGGAAACCCCTTTTGCTTTGTTCTCATTCTCTCTTGTCTGCCACCATGTAAGACGTGCCTTTTGCCTGCTGCCATTATTGTGAGGCCTCCCAGCCACGTGGAACTGTGAGTCCATTAAACTTCTTTTTCTTTATAAATTACCCAGTCTCAGGTATGTCTTTATTAGCAGCATGAAAACGGATTCATACACTCCCTGACTATTGAATCTTTCTTATCTTTCAGGGTATTCCTCAAAACCCAAGTCTCTCTTAAGCATTGCCTCTGCCCACACCATTGGAATTATTTCCACCCTCTTCCACCCCTCTGCTATAGTTCCTCTGATCCTCTCTTGTAGCTCTCCACATATTGTTTTGTTTTATAATTGTCCTACCCAAGTCTGTCTTCCCAATCAATGCACAGGCTGGAGTTGGTTCTTTTTGGTGTCCTATTTCCCTGAATAGAGCCTGGCACAGATTAGGTGCTCAGTCAATATTTACTGTAAGCATCATCCCATAATTAGATAGTGACAACAGGAAATATTTATCTTCTTGCATCTAGGTGAGACTGAACCTGATTAAGCAAAGCAGATCAGTGTCCAGGAAACTCCTGTGGCATTCCAACGGAGGAAAAATTCATAACTTATCTCAGCAAACACTTATAACACTGCTGTGGTTTGTTCAGTGATGATAAATATCTTTGCCTTGTCATTTCATCTTTCATCTGCTGTTTGTTCCACTTTCCTGGAACAAAATCCTTGAGCATGAAGATACTGTTACCTTTCTTTATAACCTTCACCGAGGGTAGCATAAGATAATGAAGATAGTGGACAAGTCATAAATGATTGATTAATTGATTGACTCAGTTAATAAACATTTTCTCAGCTTTATGTATCTGCCTGCTGCAGGTATATAAGCCACAATACTTTTAAGGGCTCTCAGTTCAGTTGGAGAGACATTGCATTTCATTATAGTGTGTTATTGATGAATCTGAGTTACCAAGCCAATAGGAGAACAAAACAAGAGGTATGAAAATGTGCTCGACATCATTGATCATCAGAGAAATGCAAATCAAAACTACAGTAAGATACCATCTCTACCACAGTTAAAATGGCTTTTATCCAAAAGACAGGCAATGACAAATGTTGGTTAGGATGGGGAGAAAAGGGAACCCTCATACACTGTTAGAATGTAAATTAGTACAGCCACTTCGGAGAAGAGTTTGAAGGTTCCTAAAAAAACCAAAAGTCAAGCTACAGTATGATCCTGCAATCCTACTCCTAGATATATACCAAAAAGAAAGAAAATCAGTATAGTAAAGAGATATCTGCACTCCCTTGTTTATTGCAACACTGTTCACAATAACCAAGATTAGGAAGCAACCTAAGTGCCCATCAACAGATAAATGCATAAAGAAAATGTGGTACATATAGGCAATGGAGCACTATTCAGCCATGAAAAAGAATGAGATCCTGTCATTTGCAACAACATGGATGGAACTGAAGGTCACTATGTTAAGTGAAAATAGTCAGGCACAAAAAGACAAACTTTGCATGTTCTCACTTATTTGTGGGATCCAAAAATTAAAACAATTGAACTCATGGAGATAGAGTAGCAGGATGGTTACCAGTGGCTGGAAAGTGGGGGATGGCAGGTGGGGAGGGAATGGAGATGGCTAATAGGTACAGCAAAATAGTTAGAAAGAATAAATAGGCCAGGCGCGGTGGCTGATGCCTGTAATCCCAGCACTTTGGGAAGCCGAGGCGGACAGATCACAAGGTCAGGACATGGAGACCATCCTGGCTAACAGGGTGAAACCCCATCTCTACTAAAAATACAAAAAATTAGCTGGGCGTGGTGGCCAGCGCCTGTAGTCCCAGCTACTCTGGAGGCTGAGGCAGGAGAACGGCATGAACCTGGGAGGGAGGAGCTTGCAGTGAGCCGAGATGGCGCCACTGCACTCCAGCCTGGGTGACAGAGTGAGACTCCATATAAAAATAAATAAATAAATAAATAAGACCTCATATTTGCTAGCACAAAAGTGTGACTGTAGTCAAAAATAATTTATACATCTAAAAATAGCTAAAGGAGTATAATTGGATTTTTTGTTACACAAATGATAAATGCTTGAGGGGATAGATACCCCATATACCCTGGTGCAATTATTATGCATTGCATGCCTCTATAAAAATATCTCATGTACCCCATTAGTATATAAGTGTAACCCACTGGGCATGGTGGCTCATGCCTGTAATCCGAGCACTTTGGGATGCTGAAGCAGGAGGATCCCTTAAGCCTGGGAATTTCAGGCAAGCCTATGCAACATGGTGAAACCCAGTCTCTACAAAAAAAACAAAAATTAGCTGGATGTGGTGATATACATCTGTAGTCCCAGCTACTCGGGAGGTGGAGACAGGAGGATTGCTTCAGCCCAGTAAGTTATAGCTGCAGTGAACTGTGATCATGCCACTGCACTTCAGCCTGGGCAGCAGAGTGAGATCATGCCTCAAAAATATATATGTTATTTATATTAATTAATATATATTTATATTATTTATAATATTTATATATATAATATATAATATAATTATATTATATAATATATTATATATTATATAATATATTATATAATTATATATTATATTATATAATTATTAATTAATATAAATTATTATTTATCATGTATACATTATATGTAATATCATTTATATAATATACATGTATTATTTATAACATATAAATATATATTATTATATTATAAAAATATACACAAATATGTTTATATATAAATATATAATATTTTATATATATTGTGTAAAATATTTTATATATTATATATATAATATTTTATATAATATATATAAAATATTTTATATATTATATATAATATTTTATATATTATATTATAATTTTATATATTTATATATAAATTTATATATTTATAATTTTATATATTTATATATTATATTATATTATATATAATATATATATAATATATAAAATATTTTTTATATATAATATTTTATATTTATATATAATATATAAAATATATAAAAATATATATAATATATAAAATATATAAAAATATATATAATATATATTATATATAAAAATATATATAATATATATTATTTATATATGTAAATATAGATTATGAATCATATTATTTTTATATTTTTATATAATATATAAAACATATATATTATGTTACATATTTATATATATCTCATAAATATATACACCGAATATGCACCCACAAAAGCTTAAAATAAAAAACTATTTTAAAAAAGCAAGAGGTAACAAATTCTTCCCCAGAAAAGGCTTCACAAAAGAGAGGATGTTTGAGATTCATTTTGCAGACACTTTGGCCAGCCAGAGAAGACAAGGCTTTAGGCTGATGGGCTCCTATGCAGATGCCATAATGTTATGCCCATCTGCATCATGGCTGTGTTTTCCTGGCAAAAGCCACTCATATAATTCCTTATGTGCTGCTGAACGGGTCTCGCTGACACAATACAGCCTGACAGAGTGGAGACAGCCAGCTACAAAGCATCAGAATGCTGGCTTCTAGCCCCAGGAGTACAACTGCGAGCATGTCTTTTTTTTTTTTTTTTTTTTTTTTTAACGGTGTCTCACTCTGTCGCCCAGGCTGGAATGCAGTAGCGTGATCTCTGCTCACTGCAGCCTCCACCTCCCGGGTTCAAGCGATTCTCCTGCCTCAGCCTCCCAAGTAGCTGGGAATACAGGCATCCGCCACCATGCCCAGCTAATTTTTTTTGTTTGTTTTTTGTTTTGAGACGGAGTCTTGCTCTGTCACCCAGGCTGGAGTGCAGTGGCGCGATCTCGGCTCACTGCAAGCTCCGCCTCCCAGGTTCACGCCATTCTCCTGCCTCAGCCTCCCAAGTAGCTGGGACTACAGGCGCCCGCCACCACGCCCGGCTACTTTTTTGTATTTTTAGTAGAGACGGGGTTTCACCCTGTTAGCCAGGATGGTCTCGATCTCCTGACCTAGTGATCCGCCCGCCTCGGCCTCCCAAAGTGCTGGGATTACATCAGCCACCGTGCCCAGCCGCGAGTATATCTTATCCTCTTTCCGAGCCTTAATTACTCCGTCTGTAAAACAGGCACGATGATCCCATTCAAATGAAAATTCGAGTATGACAGTATGACAGTATTTTGAAACTCTATTGTAGTCCCTCTACCAGGGTTTTTCTTTTCTTGGCTCTGGTCCAAATTCTCTACTGTTACTTAAGGTTTATCGTGATCTATTGCTTGAGTCCCTCTTTCTCTCCTTCAAAGAGATTATTGCTTTCATGTTGAAAGAAAAACTGCAACCCCACTGCTAACCCAAAGGGGAGTGGACAGAGCCATGTGTGGGAGAAGCAGTTAAATCATAAAATAATAGCAGGGGGCTGAAATTGCCCCTGACTGCCCATTGCTGCTCTCATTTTTATAGTCCATTAAAACCTACAATCACTGTAATGTTTATGCATTATTGGGGAGATAAATTGCATAATTTTCATTTTGCAATTTAAATGTAATTATGATCTTACTAATGACTAAAACCTGAATTTGCTAGGCTATCAGTTTTTCTAACCCTTGCCAAAATTATAGGTAATTACTTAAGGCTTACAATAATTATAAGTCCATCTCTTAAATAATTAATGTGCACTTTCATGGTACAAAACAGCTAGTAATCAAACGACCTCTGCTTACACTGCAAACTCAAGCAATTAAGCCTATTGTGTAGAACTATGGAAATATACCCATTTGCAAGAGTCCTTCCATTGGCAAGCTAAAACATGAGGTTGCTGTGTTTTATAGTATCAAATAAGGACGAATTCCCCTGCTGCCAAAAGGCCAGAAAAAGAAAGTGATCCACAAAATTGTAGGAAATGTAATCTGAATCTACACAACACTATTGTAGCTGGTGGGAGACAGGCTGAGGAGCAGGAGGAAAACAGAGAATGCTTCCGGCTATGGACTTGAAATAAATGTGAAATGGATCTAGTTTTCACAAAAGAGCTAAGAGTGGGGTGTGACTAGAACTTATCACCTGCCTTTTCGTCTTTATTTTCTTCTTGAGGGGACATGCAATTCCTTCCCTAACAAACATATAGCATGGAGCTGAACTTCTGTGACACAGGGATAAATAAGGTCGAGTTTTTGCCCTTGAGAAATTAACCTACTAGTGTATGTTATGAGATAGGCAAGCAGAAAATCAGAATAAACCCTGATAAGTGCTGCAATTTCCCACAGAGGGGTGGTGGCAGATATGCAAGCACTGAGCCACAAATAGTGTTTCTTAATATTTGTTATTCTGCTCACAAAGAGTCTCTAAAGGTTCCTGAGAGTGGAACTGGCCAGTAAGGGATATTCCAAGGACCTGAGCTGCTCCTGCCCTGGGGTTTTGGCTCACAGTGACTTAGCACAATGAGTATCACATCCAGATCAGAACACCAGATATTCTTGATGTAGGAAACGTTCCAAAATGAATTCCTGGAGTCATCTCCTTCTCACTGCTTTGTGTTCATTTTTTGCCTGCTCAGCTCTTTCTATCCTGATCACACCCATTAGCCAAGATTCAGCACCACTACCTTCTCCTCCAAGAAGCCTGCTCCAATACTACAGAGCTCTTCAAAAGTTCCCCTCTTTATACATAAACTTATCTGAAGGGTGTTGTGATGAGTCACTTTATATCGCACCGTGGCAGGCTCACAGTGCCCAGATATATGGTCAGACATTATTCTGGATGTCTCTGTGAGGGTGTTTGTGGATGAGATTAACATTTAAACAGTGGACTTTTGAGTGAAGTTGATTACATGCCATAATGTGGGTGGGCCTCATCCAATCAGTTGAAGGCACTCATAGAACAAAGGTTGATTGCTCTCAAGCAAGAAGGACTTCTGCTAGCAGGTAGATATTGATCAAGCCAAATTGTTGATATTGCTTGGATTTGTGTCCCTGCCCAAATCTCATGTCGAATTGTAATCCCGTGCTAGAGGTGAGGCCTGATGGGAGGTGATTCGATCATGGGGGTGAAGTTCTCCTGAATGGTTTCACACCATTCCCCTTTGGTACTGTACAGTGAGTAAATTCCAATGAGCTCTAATTGTTTA
The DNA here is from genome assembly GCF_000001405.40 of Homo sapiens. Classification (NCBI taxonomy): domain Eukaryota; kingdom Metazoa; phylum Chordata; class Mammalia; order Primates; family Hominidae; genus Homo; species Homo sapiens. The sequence goes on from NC_000007.14 coordinate 68,443,705, forward strand.
AAAGTGTGTAACACCTCCTTCTGCCGTCTCTTGGTCCAGTTCCTTGGTCTAGCTCCTGCCATGTAAGACACCTGCTCCTACTTTGCCTTCCTCCATGAATAAAAGCTTCCTAAGCCCTCCCTGGAAGCAGATACTGCCATGCTTTCTTTACAGCCTGCAGAACCATGAGCCAATTTAACCTCTTTTCTCTGTAAATTACCGCGTCTCAGGTATTTCTTTATAGCCCTGAAAGAACAGACTAATGCAAATATCCTTCTCTGGGTCTCCAGCCCACCAGCCCACTCTTCAGATTTTGGGCTTGCCAGCCTCCATAATCACATGACCAATCCCTTAAAATCTCTCCTGTCTCTCTTGATAGATGATAGATAGATAGATAGATAGATAGATAGATAGATAGATAGATAGATAGATATAGTAGAGATGATACAGACAGATATGTAGGTAGATAGGTAGAGATCGATAGGTGATTGAGATAGGTAGGTAGAGAGGATAGAGATAGTAGGTCGATAGATAGATAGATGGATAGATAGATAGATAGATAGATAGATAGATAGATAGATAATATAGATAGATAATTGATAGAGACAGATGGGTAGATACTAGGTATGTAGATATAGATAAATATGTAAATAGAGATAGGTAGATAGATAGATAGATAGACATAGCTAGATGATAGCTTGCTAGCTAGCTAGATAATTGATAGAGGTAAGTAGGTAGGTAGAGATAGATAGATGATAGATAGATAGATAGATAGATAGATAGATAGATAGATATACATAGATGGATAATAGCTTGTTAGCTAGCTAGCTAGATAATTGATAGAGATAAGTAGGTAGGTAGATAGATAGATAATTGATATAGATAGATGATAGATAAATGGATAGTAGGTAGTACATAGATATTGATAATTTAGATACATAGATGATAGATAAATACATGATAGACAGATACATATTGACAGAGATAGATGATGATCAATAAATATAGATAGATGATAGGTGATAGTAAAGAGAGAGAGATAGATAGTAGATATATATAGATAGATTAGATAGATACATACATACATATAGAGAGATAAATAGATAGAGAGATGGATGGATAGACAGACGCAAACACACATACACATCCTATTAGTCATGTTTCTCTAGGGAACCCTGACTACACTACACAGGTGTCTTGGTTTAATGTTACCTGACTTAACTGTAGTCTCCCATGCTCCAAGAAGAATTTGGACCCTGCAGCCCTAAGATCTTGTCCTTATCCATCTGAATCCTTGTCCCTTCAGTAATAATTCTAATATGGGCTTAAAATAATCTCATCCCAGGGGTGTACACTCTGGAAAACCAAAATACCTTTAGGATTCAAAGCTTGGGTAGAAGTTATTTGAGAAAATAGTGGACAAACACCGAAGCAGAAATCCCTGCCAAATTCCTTGTCTCCATGAGGTCAGGCTTCATGGACATGTGCTCTTGCAGAACTATATTTTCTTGTTGAAGCACTTATCTCAATGAATTGATTTTTAAATGTAATATTTGTCTTTTATGTGCCTCCCCGTGAGACTGCAAAACTCCAAGTGCATAGGGACCAACCGTATCTGCAGTAAGCTCAATGGTTCAATAAATATATGCTGTCTAAATGACTAATCAATGCAGGCAAAATGGTTATGCTGAACGCTCCTGACAATATTTCTTTTTTTTTTTTTTTTTTTTGAGAAGGAGTCTTGCTCTGTTGCCCAGGCTGGAGTGCAGTGGCACTATCTTGGCTCACTGCAACCTCCACCTCCTGGGTTCAAGCGATTCTCCTGCCTCAGCCTCCCGAGTAGCTAGGATTACAGGTGTGCGTCACGATGCCCAGCTAATTTTTTGTATTTTTAGTAGAGACGGGATTTCACCATGTTAGCCAGCATGGTCTCGATCTCCTGACCTTGTGATCTGCCCTCGTTGGCCTCCCAAAGTGCTGGGATTATAGGCGTGAGCCACTGGGCCTAGCCAACATTTCTTTTTAATGACCTGATTCAAGCCATCAACCTCTCCACCACCACCACCACCGTTTCTCTCCACACAAACCATTAAAATTACAGCCAATCTAGAATTATAAAGAAACTCCCAGAATTTCGTATTAGAAAGGGACCACCCTCTTCACAAAGCCCATCTTCTCTGCCTTATCATCTGCTCATCCCACTCCCATCTCTCACCAATGGGCCACGTGGATTCCACTCCACGGAAGATTTATTCGTCGGGCAGCTGTAATCTGGGTCACTGACCCAATAGGTGGAGGATACTCTTGCTGAACCATTGCAGCTCAGATCGTCCCCACAGAATGTGGACTTCCTTACAAAGAAGCAGCAGGAGGAACTCTCCAGTGAGTTGAGATTTAAGGATCTGGATCCAGTTATTTCTCCTTTACCTCCATGACAAAAAAGTTTCCAGATGCATCTCTTCTACCTGCCAGAGTGGAAAGGAAGACTATCTGCTCATTTCCTCTTTTTAGAACTTTCTATCTTTCCATCTATGCCTCTAGTCGCATCGTATGTGCCAAAGGGTTTTCTGGTGTATTATTAGTTCTCCCTGCCTTTGGATTTCTGTTAGAATTTGTTCTTTTAAGTCCCGTACTTATCTGATTCCAGAGCAGAGTGTGGTCAACAAAGGGCAGCTGTAAAAGGAGTGCTATTTCCTGCTGTTTCTTGTGATCCCCGCGATGCTTTCTCCAAGGACAAGAAAGGCATCTGTTCAGAAAGCGAACGCGGTCAAGAGCAGGCAGGGTCAATCCGTAGGAGTCCTCTCCTCAGGCGCTTGGACTTGACTTTGGCCTGACATTTAAGAGGAGCCTGTGCTTAGCTCTGGGAGGTAAAGGATAAAACCAAGAAGCCTCTGTCTTGAGATGTCTGAGTGAAGAGGCAACCATTTCATCTTGAAGCAAAGACAATAAAACCTAGGACTGTGGATAGGAGTAACCCATTGTGGGACCCTTGAAAATGGACTTCATGCCCTTGTTTCAGCTTTCTCCCTTGGTGAATTTATAGAGTTCCTGATGGAATGCATTGTGATATGGTAGACCCTATCTTTTTTTAAATTTTTTTTTTCAGAATGGGGTCTCACTGTGTTGCCCAGGCTGGTCTCAAGCTCCTGGGCTCAAGTAATTCTCCCATCTTGGCCTCCCAAAGTGCCGGGATTACAGCCCATGGCTGGCCTGACCCCATCTTTTCTGCAGAGATACTCAGGCAGTTAAGAGATTGAATTCCAACCCCAACTCCTCCACCTACTGCTGTATCCTTTTAAGGGAAGTCACTTTTCCTCTCTAGGCCTCACTTTTGCAAAGATAAGTGTTAAAAGGCTCTATTTCTGGCAAACTTTGATTCAAAGATCTGACTTCTCCCACCAGGACCTCCAGTAAATGGCAAGAGACTTACATTTCTTAATTATAATCAGCAGGCTATCGAAAATGGTATATTTTTGCAGCAAAGAGAGATTGTATTGTCCCCACCCTTCCATGTGAAAGATTCGTTGGATGTCAGCATGTAGGATTGCCTGAAATCTGAAGTTTCTGAAGAAGCCATCCAATAATTTCTCAAAATCCCCCAAAGCACCTTTGGTTGTATCCCCAGTCTCTTCTTCACAGATGGGAGCCCTATGCCAGTTCTCAAAGTGGTGCTTGACAGATTCCACCTCTTCTGACGATCAGACTGTGCGTTGGCCTCATGGAAGCTTGGGAGTCTGTGGTTAGACACCGTATCCAAGCCGTTAGCTTCACACCTCCTCACCCTTAAGCAGAGGATCTGACTCAAAGGATAGTGCAGACTCTGTTGCCATTTGGCAAGATATTGTCTTCCAAGACAAGCTGAAATTCTCATTCTGCAGCATGGGATGGGAATCATCCCTCACGAATCCAAAAGATCAAAACTCGTGGAGCTTCTCCTTCCCAAGTTAGAGGCATGCAACCAATCAGTTCCTGGTTGCCCCAGCCCCACCCAAATTCATACCAAAGACTTGAAAATCCACTAGTTTGGTCCACATGATTCTTGAGCCAATGGGAATCTGTCTTGAGATTAAGCAGGTGGGGTCTGGGAACAGATAGTAGACCCTAAGCTGCAGAAGGCCTTGCCAGTGCTTACTGCTTTCTTATGTCCCAATTTCTGGTATAGATGATTATCTTGCATTGTCAAAACTGGAGCATCACTCTTGACTGTGGGCAGGGCCACAGACTTCTACATGAAGAGAAAATATGACCATAAGCAATAAACTTCAGAATCCAATGGATTTGGTTCCAATTCCACCTGTAGGCTGGATGCGGTGGCTTACATCTAGAATCCCAGCGCTTTGGGAGGCCAAGGCAGGTCGATTACTTGAGGTCAGGAATTCAAGACCAGCCTGGTCAACACAGTGAAACCCCATCTCTACTAAAAATACAAATATTAGCTGAGTGTGGTGGTGTGTGCCTGTAATCCCAGCTACTTGGGAGGCTGAGGCAGGAGAATTGCTTGAACTGGGAGGCGGAGATTGCAGTGAGCCAGGATTGTGCCACTACACTCCAGCCTGGGCAACAAGAGCGACACTCCATCTCAAAAAAAAAAAAAAAAAAAGGTGCAGGTGCAGTGTCTAGCACATGGTAGGTACTTAATACATGAGAGGTATTATAACAATTACTATTAGGTACTGGCACTTTAGGGACTGTTTTCAAGTTCTACTTCCTATCCACCAAACGGAGATCCCATGCCCGTCTTGATTTCCTCTGAGGAATTTGCCATTGCTTTCTACATAACATTACTTCTCCCTAACCAACGCTTTGGTTAACTTAGTCTTATTGCATCTCAACTCCAGGTTCACCCTTCAACTTTTCCCTGACTCCAGCTCTAAAACTGGCAGGCCAAGTGCTCTCACCTTCCCAGGCATGGCTTCCAGAGCCCCAAGTCATCAAGAAACTGGCCCCCAGTCAGGTTCCCTCTTCCTGGCTGGGTTTTGTAGCAGTCCCCTGACTAAGATGAGCCCAGATCTGAACCTCAGTCCTCTGCTTGGATTTGGTCATACTACCTTTTACCAAGCCTTTTCTCTAGGAGAGTCTATTGTCTCTACTCTCAGCCATGTCTCTTGGCCCAAACTAGATACTGCCTGTTGCCTCTCAGCTATCTGTAAGGCCAGGAGGACTGTCTCAAAGGCTCACTGACTACAGCAGAGCTGATGCCAACATGGACACTATTTAGTACCAAGCCTACACTGACCATAGTTCTTCAAACACTGATATGGACCATTGGTCTCTCTCTCCTTTCTCTCTACCTCTCTCTCTTTCTCTCTATACTCTTTCTTTCCTTCTTTCTTTCTTTTTCTTCCTTCCTTCCTTTCTTTTCTTTTCTTTCTTTCTTCTTTCTCTTTCGTCCTTTCTTTTTTCTTTCTCTTCTTTCTTTTCTTTTCTTTCTTTCTTTCTTCTTTCTCTTTCATCCTTTCTCTCTCTTTCTTTCTTTCTCCCTCTCTTCCTGTTTCTCTGTCTCTCTTTTGTTCTTTCTTCCTTCCTTTCTTTTCTTTCTTTCTTCTTTCTCTTTCCTCCTTTCTTTCTTTCTCCCTCTCTCCTCTTCTTTCTCTGTCTCTCTTTCTCTTCCTTCCTTTCTTTCTTTTCTCTTTCTTTCTTTCCTCTTTCTCTTTCTTCCTTTCATCCTATCTTTCTTTCTTTCTTTCTTTCTCCCTCTCTGTTCCTCTTTTTCTGTCGCTCTCTTTTTTCTCTTTCTTTCTTTCTTTCTTTCTTCTTTCTTTCTTTTTCGCTCTTTGTTGCTCTCTCTTCCTCTTTCTTTTCCTCCTCTCCATTTTTCTGTCTCTTTCTCTCTCTCCTTGTCCCCCTGCCTTCTCTCACCCTTTCTTTCTCTCTTTGTTGCTTTCTCTTTCTCTCTCTTTCCTTCCCTCTTTCTTTTTCTGTTTATCTCTTTCTCAGGGACCCTCTGACCAGGTTTGCCTCTGTCTTTCTCCCCTTTCCTCAAACCCAGAGCTCTGGATTTGTTATTTACAAGCCCAACAGAAAAAGGGCATCTCTAGGCTGTATAACTTTCCCAGTGTAGTAGCACAAGAAGGCAGCCATGATTTCTTACCAAGGAGAGACCAATTTTAAATCTCCGCTGGGTTTTGCATGAAGGAGCTGATGATTTCATGATACACTTCTATTTATTTTATAAAAGAAGACATAGTGGACCGACTGGGGAAATCTCATGGAATAGAATACTATTCATTGATATAAATGGATGAGATTATTCTCGTGCATAAGGCTGGAAAACATGTCTCTTCTGTTCTCTGGGTCTGTTACAAAAATTGTAATCCAAGTCACAACATTCCCTGACAAATCCTGGCGTGGGTATTCATAGAATAAGGAAACATTTCCAGGGACATTTAACTCCAGAGCCTGTGCAAGTGAACCAATCATTTTAAAGAGTGTCTTTGGCTAGCAAAAATAAAGAAATCGCTTCTTCTGTCACCCAGCCTCCTTTTTCTTCTCACGGATAGTGGTGCAAAGAGAATCAAAAACCCCTTTTACTCTTAATTAAAGGTAACTGGGCCACTTAAGATCATATACAGAGTACCTTTTAAAAATAAATGTATTATCTGCATTGAAGAAATCTTCTTTTTCCCGCCTTAGCCCAGTTGTTTCTGGAGTGCAGTCCACAGACCTATGCTGATATGGTTTGGCTGTGTCCCCACCCAAATCTCATCTTGAATTATGCCTCCCATAGTTCCCGGGTGTTGTGGGAGGGACCCAGTGGGAGACAATTGAATCACAGAAGCAGTTTCCCCTACACTGCTCTCATGGTAGTGAAAAAGTCTCATGAGATCCGATGGTTTTATAAGGAGTTTCCCTTTTCACTTGGCTCTCATTTTCTCTCTAGTCTGCCGCCATGTAAGACATACCATTCATCTTCCGCCATAATTGTGAGGCCTCCCCAGTCATGTGGAACTGTGAGTCCATGTAACCTCTTTTTCTTTATAAATAAATTACCCTGTCTTGGGTATGTCTTTTTGGTTTGTTTGTTTTGTTGTTGGTTTTGTTTGTTTGTTTGTTTTGTTTTTTGTTTTTTTGGGGGGCAGATTCTTGCTCTGTCACACAGGCTTGAATGCAGTGGTACAATCTCGGCTCACTGCAAGCTCCATCTCCTGGGTTCAAGCCATTCTCCTGCCTCAGCCTCACGAGTAGCTGGGACCACAGGCACATGCCGCCATGTCCAGTTAATTTTTTTTTTCTTTGTATTTTTAGTAGAGACAGGGTTTCACCGTGTTGCCCAGGCTGGTTTTGAACTCCGGAGCTCAGCCAATCCACCCACCTTGGCCTCCCAAAGTGCTAAGATTACAGGTGTGAGCCACTGTGCCCGGCCTTAGGTATGTCTTTATCAGCAGCGTGAAAACAGATTAATCCAGATGCTAACAGGCCTGCAACCTGCATTTTTGCCTCACTGTGATAACGTCTGGTGACCTTGGCCAAGTCAAACACCTCCAGCACCAGTTTTCCTTTTGTGGGGCTAAAAAAGCAATCCCTATTCCACTTTTCCAGAAGAAAAATCTTTAGGCCCATGATGGTTACCCTAATGGACTCCCCAAGAATGCTGACTGTCAGTAGCAGGTGCAGAGACTCCCAGAGTTCCTAGAAGACCAAAAGATGGTTTCCAAAGAGCTGGCTGTAGTAACACCTGTACAGTTGCCCCCCACTTATTCGTACAGAATACTTTCTAAAACCGCCCAGGGGATTTCTCAAACCATAGATAGTACTGAACCCCATCTATACAGTCATGCATCACTTAACCACGGGGATGCATTATGAGAAATGTGTCATTTGGTGAATTGGTTACTGTGTGAACATCATGGAGTGTACTTACACAAGCCTTGATTGTACAGCCCACCATACACCTAGGCTATATGGTCTCACCTATTGTTCCTAGGCTACAAACCTGTAAAGCATGTTACTGTATTTAATACTGTAGGCAATTGTAACACGATGGTAAGTATTTGTGTATCTAAACTTATCTAACATAGGAAAGCTACAGTAACAATACAGTATCATAATCTTTTGAGACTGTCATTGATTAAAATTCTGTTATTCAGCACATAACTGTTCTATGTTTTTTCTATGCAGACATACCTATGATAAAGTTTAATTTATAAATTAAGCACAGTAAGAGATGAACAACAATAACTAATAAGAAAATCAAACAATTATAGCAATATACTGCAATACAACATACAAAATACTGTCATATTGGCCAGGCATGGTGGCTCACGCCTGTAATTCCAGCACTTTGGGAGGCCGAGGCAGGCGGATCACAAGGTCAGGAGTTCGAGACCAGCCTGACCAACATGGTGAAACCCTGTCTCTACTACAAATACAAAAATTAGCCAGGCATGGTGGCACATGCCTGTAATCCCAGCTACTCAGGAGGCCAAGGCAAGAGAATCACTTGAAACCAGGAGGCAGAGGTTGCAGTGAGCCAAGATTGCGCCACTGCACTCCAGCCTGGGTGACAGAGTGAGACTCCATCTCAAAAAACAAAACAAAAAAAATACTGTCATATTTTCAGACTGTGAGTAACTGCTGGTAACTGAAACTGCAAAAAGCGAATAAATAAATAAATGTATTTCACCACAAATAAAGCTGGGCTACAATACTGAGTTTCGTGTTGGTGTTGCCCTGAACCAAGCCATTTCACAAGCACCTTTCCCTTCCTTCTTCTGCGCAAGAATTTCCATCTTCCTGCCTACTGTCCAATGAGTAGCTCTTTATCCAGTGAAAACGAGCATTCCTTCATAGACATTTAATAATGATTAGATTGGCTTGGATTAGCAAACCAAGCCATTCATTTCCATTTATGAATGTGACTGACAGTCTTTATGTCTTCCAAAGTTGAAATGTAGCTACTGCTTGATGAATATAGTCTACCATTTCAGCCCACACTGTGTTCTCACACTAAGGAGTGGAAGGCTGGGGGGTGTGGGGCGGCGGGCGTGGGGGGCGGGATGGGCAGTGGTGATTAAGGATCAATTGTTTTATCTTTTTTTCTTCTTTTTGAGATGGAATCTCACTCTGTCGCTCAGGCTGGAGTGCAGTGGCATGATCTTGACTCACTGCAACATCCACCTCCTGGGTTCAAGCAATTCTCCTGTCTCAGCCTGCCGGATAGCTGAGATTACAGGCACCCGCCACCATGCCCAGCTAATTTTTGTATTTTTAGTAGAGATGAGGTTTCACCATATTGGTCAGGCTAGTCTCGAACTCCTGATCTCAGGTGATCCACCCACCTCGGCCTCCCAAAGTGCTGGGATTACAGTCATGAGCCACCGCACCCAGCCTATTCTATCTATTTTTATTGTGCTCTCTGATGTGGGGTATGCATTGTGTACAGAGGGTGAGGGGAGAGTGTCATTCACACAGGCTCCATGTTGACCACTGCCATCACCCAAGGGGTTCTTCCTGCCAGCTGCTTAAAGACCACCTCATTGTACTAGAGAAAGAGTTAATAGACACGAGGCTGGCCATGCCACACTGGGAGATGGAATTGGTACTCTAATCATCTCTTTCAAAGCTCCTAGGTTAGGGGTGTTTCAAAGGCCGTTTGGGGGAAGAGGTGGGGGTGGCCAGGTAACGGGTGCCTGCTGCTCATTGCTTGGGGCAGAAATGAAATCATAGTGGGTAGAAGCTGTTCTTCTGAGGACTGAATCACTTCTGGATGACGCCACAGCAGCAGGATTGGTGGTCCAGTTGGAGCCATTAGGTTTAGGTAGAACCATGGATATCAGACATGCAAAAAAAGGAAAGAGGTCCTGATTCAGACCCCAAGAGAGGGTTCTTGGATCTCACACAAGAAAGAAATCAGGGCAAGACCACAGATGCAAAGCAAAATATATCTCAAAAGACCAGTCTACCATAGTGGTATTATTTGCAGGAGCAATTGGGGAAGCTGTGTCTGATAACCTCCAGAATCACGGCTGACAATCATTCATTTCTGAGCCTTAGCAGGACTCAGGTTCCTCTTCTCTGACTAGCCTGATGGGCTGCAATTAGCTTTCCAAAAGCAGTTGAGTTCTGGACAAGGCCTATTATCCTTTAAGCTATAGCCTAATAGTCTTTCAAAGTTAGCCTGACCGGATAGCCCAGGGATAATTAAGACAAAGGCAAGATGTGGGGGTGGGTTAACTTAGCTTTCTCTTATACTTTTTCTCATCTACGGAATTTTTGCAAAGGTGGTTTTTTGTCAGAGGTGTTCGAACCAGAGTGACTCCATCTTGAGTGAGGGCTAGGAAAATGAGGCTGAGACTTGCTGGGCTGAATTCCCAAGAAGTGAGGTATTCCTAGTCTCTAGATGTTTACAGTTAAGGGAACAGATTGATAATGTTTATTAAACAGAACCAGACTTGGGAATGTCCAGATATCCCAATATCTTGAGAACAAATGCATTCCTAATTTTGCTTTAAAGATAATAATATTGATTCTTGCAAAATTTAGTAATTAAGAAAATTAATCCTTTATCACAAACCCTTGTAGCAGAGAACATCCTCTCATAATCTTTTTTTAACATATATATGATAAAATATCATATATATGAGATATATATATATCAATCATATATATAAATCCCACCTTCAACCAAAGGGAGGGTGTCACATTATATTGCATTTAATTAAACTTAGCTCTCCATTCTGTTTCTAATTGTGATATTTAAAATTTTAAACTAGATATAAAATGTTTTCATTTTGTCAAAAAAAGTGTCAATCTTCATAAGGAATCTTTTATCATATATATGATATATATATATTTTATCATATATATGATAAAATAAATATATATATATTCAAGCATTGTACCTTGTACCTAGGGTGGACGTGTTCCTCCTCTTACTTTCGGGAACCTCCTACTCTGTCTATGGAGTAGCTGTATTTTTACCATTTTACTTTCTTAATAAACTTGCTTTGCAGACTTGCCCTTAATTCTTTCTTGCACAAGATCCAAGAACCCTCTCTTGGGGTCTGAATCAGGACCCCTTTCTTGTAACAGTTTCACCACCATGAGCACCCAGCATTTTCCAGAGCTTCAGATGCAAGCCTCCACTTTAGTACAGGAAAAAGTCATTTGTTTCAGAGTTGGATTACCAGGGCCATGTGAGATTTAAAAAAATATATATCAGTGGGGCTTCTTGTGAGGGAGGCTTGGGGGGAACTGAGACAGAAAGACCCGCAGACCCCACCTTCAACCAGGAAGAGGGTGTCACATTCTATTGCATTTGATTAAACCTAACTCTTCATTTGGTTTCTAATTGCGATATTTAAAATTTTAAACCAGATATAAAACGTTTCCATTTTGTCATAAAAAGTGTCAATCTTTATAAAGAATAGAAGCAACCCCCCCCCACCAAGAACTCCGTAACTGTCCCTTTAATTAGGCACTCATTAATAAATCTATCTTGTTCTCAAATCCCCACACACTTGGTACAGTAGTTCATTAGCACAGGAAGAGGCAATTTAGATTTCCTCAGATAATAGCATCTGCCACTAATCAAATTAAGGCAGGATGTGCAAATGTATCTAAAGCCGGACAAGCTTTGGGTGAGGTGAGGCGGAGGGTCAGGACAAAAAAGATTATCTCTAAAATTACCATCCCACATCCCCAGTATATGAGACAGTTCCTGGTCACCTTATTTTCCTTATGAAAAAAATCTTCAGTGGTCAGAATATTTATGTTGAGATAGGTCTTGTCAAATCTTGTCACCATACCTCAAAGCCTTAGAAAGTCACTACCAGTGAACTCTCTGAAATCCATTCATTCATTTAATCATGTAATTAATATTGATTCCATTGCCCTGTACCAGACCTTGGGGAGACAGAAGGAGAAGACAGAGGAAAGGCATTCTTAACTCTGTGTCCCTCGACACATGGAGGCAGGTGAAACCATACACCTGCCCAATCCCAAATGCTGTCACAGCCACCACCACACGCACACACATTCAGTTATTCATGCCTGCATTCATTGATTTATGGATTGAGCAAGTTCTGAGCCCAGCACTATGGTGGGTACTAGAGATACAGCTGTAAACGAACGGAGCATTCTGGAGAGGAGACCAGCTATCCACTGTAAGGTAGTTCAGGTGATATGAAGACAATACACTAAGATTGCTCTATTGAGAGGGGTACAGGACAATTGTTACTGGAAAGGGCTCTGATCTAGACCCCAAGAGAGGCTTCTTGGATTTCTCGCAAGAAAGAATTCAGGGCAAGTCCATAGAGTAAAGTGAAAGCAAGTTATTAGGAAAGCAAAGAAATAAAAGAATAGCTACTCCATAGACAGAACAGCCCCAAGGGCTTCTGGTTGCCCATTTTTATGGTTATTTCTTGATGATATGCTAAACAAGGGGTGTATTATTCATGCCTCCCCTTTTTAGACCATATAGGGTAACTTCTTGATGTTGCCATGGCATTTGTAAACTGTCATGGCGCTGGTGGGAGTGTAGCAGTGAGGATGACCAGAGGTCACTCTGGTTGCCATCTTGATTTTGGTGGGTTTTGGCCAGCTCCTTTACTGCAATCTGTTTCATGAGCAAGGTCTTTATGACTGGTATCTTATGCTGACCTCCTATCCCATCCTGTGACTTAGAATGACTTAACTGTCTGGGAATGCAGCCCAGTAGGTCTCAGCCTCATTTTACCCAGCCCCATTCAAGATGGCGTTGCTCTGGTTCAAATGCCTCTGACACAATGAGAGCACTTTTCTAGTTTGGGTGGTCAGGAAAGGTCTCTGAGCAGGTGACTTTTGAGAATTAAACAGAGAATTACCATTTGACCCAGCAATCCCATTACTAGGTAATATACCCAAAGTAAAACAAATCATTCTCCCCAAAAGAGACCTGCAGTAGCATGTTTATTGTGGCACTATTCACAATAGCAAAGAAATGGAATCAGCTTAGATGCCCATCAACAGTTGATTGGATAAAGAAAATGTGGTACATATACACCATGGAATACTACACAGCCATGAAAAAGAGTGAAACCATGTCCTTTGTAGCAACATGGATGCAGCTGGAGGCCATTATCCTCATTGAATTAAAAACAGAAACAGAAAGCCAAATACCACCTGTTTTCAGCTGTAAGTGGAAGCTAAACATTGGGTACACATGAACATAAAGATGGGAACAACAGACAATGGAGACTCCAAAATGGGGGAGGGATAGAGAGGGGCAAGGGTTGAAATGCTACCTATTGGGTACTATATTCATTATTTGAGTTATGTGTTCAATTGGAGTCCAAATCTCAGCATCATGAAATCTATCCATGTAACAAACTTGCACATGTATCCCCAAATCTATCTTTTTTTTTTTTTTTTAAAGCAGGTGACCATTGAGCAGAGAGCATAATCAGGTGAAGGAGTGAGCCACAAGAGCTGAGAACCATGCGAAGACCTGCAGAAAGACCATCTAAAAACCAAAGGAAGAGACTAAGCAAATCCAGCCTAGTTTTGAAGACCACACCCTTACCCAGCAGTCAGGGAACCAAGGAGCCACGCTGAGGTCAGTGCAAAACCAGGAGCACGGTGACCCAGGGCCTCTGTGATGACAGCCTTTAAAGACAGAAGGAGGACTGGATGTGGTGGCTCACTCCTGTAATCCCAGCAGTTTGGGAGGCTGAGGAGGGCAGATCACTTGAGGTCAGGAGTTTGAGACCAGCCTGGCCAATATGGCAAAAGCCTATCTCTATTAAAAATACAAAAATTAGCCGGGCGTGGTGGCGCACGCCTGTAATCTCAGCTACTCAGGAGGCTGAGGCAGGAGAATTGCTTGAACCTGGAAGGTGGAGGCTGCCGTGAGCCGAGATTGTGCCACTGCACTCCAGCCTGGGTGACAGAGCAAGACCTTGACTCAAAAAAAAAAAAAAAAAAAGATGGAAGGTGGGAGAGATTGGGCCTCCTGCTGCTCAGCTTTGAGTGAGATGAGCAAAGGGAATTTACCGCAGGATTTGGGAGAATGCAGATGGTTGCTGATTTTGGCAAGAGCAGTCTCTATCAGTGATGCAGACAAGAACCTGACTGTTGTGGGTTTAAGGGAGACTGTGAGGCAAGTAAGTGGAGATGGCAAAGGCAGACAACTTTGCGGAGGAATAGGGAGCAGAGAAATGGGGTGATGGCCGGAGGGGATCCCAGGCCTTAGGATGGGCATTGTTTTTAAAGATGTAAGCTGTGTAACACCAGCATCTTCATCAGTGGACAGTAATGGCTCTGGAAAGAGTGAGAAAGCCCAGAGTGAAGAGGAAATAGTCATTGCAGGAAGGGCTGTGGTCTAGTGGTGGTTCTCCTTCCCTCTTTACAGAGGGGATGGAGCAGTCTTGCACCTGACTAAGACATTTGTCTTAGAGATCTTAGAGGTATGAGAGAGGATGTTGAGCTGGAAACAATGGGTGATGGATGTTTTAGTCCGTTTTCACACTGCTATAAAGAACTACCTAAGACTGGGTAATTTATGAAGACAAGTGGTTTCATTGATTCACAGTTCCACAGGCTTAACAGGAGGCATGACTGGGGGACTCGGGAAATTTACAATCATGGCAGAAGGCAAAGAGGAAGCAAGCTGACAGGACATCAGCTTCTGTTTGGATACAACCAGTGATGGCGAGCTCACTAGCTACCCAGGCAGTCCTTTTCATTATCGGGTAGCTCTAACAGACACATCAGCTGCATAGGCATCCTTGCAATTTTCCACATTTGCCTTTGAGAGGTGCATGAGTAGGATCCTCTCTGTAAAGAGGGAAGGCAGAGAACATGTGTAAAATGCAGCAAGGCAAGTAGATTAGATGGTGCCAAGATGGTGTGATCCTTCCACTGCTTTTATTTTCTCAGTAAAATATAAATTCAGGACATTCTGAGAAGAGGCAGGATATGAGAAGTTGGAGGATGTGAGAAAATTGACTCTGGAAATGTAAGAGGACCCCTTGGTATTGCTGAGGTTTGACGTGGGAATTGTAGTCATCCATTTAAAGTGAGATTTGTCAACACTGTGGTGGGTTGTCTTCAGCTATATTCAACTGCTGGGGCACAGGGCAGAGGTTGAAAGTTTAGTTGTTTTCCCAGGAAATTAAGATGGAAGGAAAGAGAAACAGGCTAGTGAAGAATGTGAGCAAGAGAGTGATGACAAGCCTGGAGGGTGGAATCTAAACAGCACCAGGAAGGAAGGGAGGACACTGGAGGTATAACAGAAAAGTGGCAAAGTCAATGGATTGGAGGGCTCAATGGTGTCAAAATAGAGGTATGAGAGGACATTGAGCTGGAAATAATGGGTGGTGGGTGTTTAGTCCGTTTTCAGGCTGCTATAAAGAACTACCTGAGACTGGGTAATTTATGAAGAAAAGAGGTTTAATTGACTCACAGTTTCACGTGGCTGGAGAGGCCTCAGGAAACTTACAATCATGGCAGAAAGCAAAAGGGAAGCAAACATGTCCTTCGTCACATGGCAGCAGGAGAGAGACAGAGAGCAAAGGGGGAAGTGCCACCTGCTTTTAAACAACCAGATCTCATGAGAACTCACTCCCTATCATGAGAACAGCAAGGGGGATGTTTACCCCAATGATCCAATCACCTCCCACCAGGCCCCTCCTCGACAGATGAAGATTACAATTCCACATGAGATTTGGGTGGGGACACTGAGCCAAACCATACCGATGGGTGATAGTTGCCATGGTGATTGTTACCACAGTAATAGTTGCCTTCTGCAGGAAGTCTTCATGGCATGCGGGTGGTAACACTGAGGCCTGTCATTGTCTTGTTCACATACCAGGGCGAGTTGAAGATGAAGGATGGGACCAAGACAAATGGAGTCCTGAGAAGTTACTGGATAATGTAGGGAAACTAACAAGTCAGCTTTGCACAACCTCCTCTGAGGATGGAGGATGGAGACTAAATTAAGTTGAACCAGAAATAATGAGGTAAAGCTGGGGGAAAGATGTTAATCCAAATGGGAATCAAAAGTGGAATCAGATCTGGGAGTGTGAAGCCAGAAGTGAGATGGAAGTCAGAGGGGATAGGAAGACTATACAGTGTAGATAGAAGTTCAGGCAGAGTCTTCTGAATTCACTGTTGTCCTTGCCAGTTCCATACTCAGGAGTCTCTGTCCTTGGGTCTTAAAAGCTCATGGTGTGTCTTTTGATGGCAGTAGGGTGTCAATGTCCCATGTATGGGAAACAATATGGTGGGGTGGAGGATAGTGGAGCAGCACCAGGTCAACACCCCGGGGCAGGAGCCGCACTGGGCTAAGTAGGACAGGGATCATTTCTGAGGGTGCAATTTAGAAAAAGCCACATTTACCACTTCGCCCTTAATTCAATATTTATAGAGTATTGATAAAGACATACCCGAGACTGGGAAGAAAAAGAGGTTTAATTGGACTTACAGTTCCGCATGGCTGGAGAGGCCTCAGAATCATGGCGGGAGGCAAAAGGCACTTCTTACATTGTGGCTGCAAGAGAAAATGAAGAAAGTGCTAAAGCAGAAACCCCTGATAAAACCATCAGGTCTTATAAGGCTTATTCACTACCATGAGAACAATACACAGTATGAGGGAAACTGTCCCCATGACTCAAATTATCTCCCACCGGGTCCCTCTCACAACACGTGGGAATTATGGGAGTACAATTCAAGATGATATTTGGGTGGGGACACAGCCAAACCACATCACAGGGCAATGAGATAGTCAAAGTGATTAAGCAAACTAAATGCAGTTAGAAACAGTGAGTTCTAGACTCAGTTCTGCCATTAAATAATTATTAATTTAACTTTTGACAGCAGATCAAATAACTGCAACAGAATGTTGGGAGATGTTATAGTTGAGAACCGTGTTTTTCTGTTTTTCTTTTTTTTTGACATGGAATCTCGCTCTGTCACCAGGCTGGAGTGCGGTGATGCTATCTTGGCTCACTGCAACCTCCGCCTCCCGGGTTCAAGGGTTTCTCCTGCTTCAGCCTCCTGAGTAGCTAGGACTACAGGGGCCCGCCAACGCGTCCAGCTAATTTTTGTATTTTTAGTAGAGATGGGGTTTCACCACATTGGCTAGGATGCTGTCGACCTTTTGACCTCATGATCCACCTGCCTCGGCCTCCGAAAGTGCTGGGATTACAGGCATGAGCCACTGCACCCTGCGAGAACAGTGTTTTTCTAATATTAGTGTGTGTAAGACTTACTGGGTAAACTTACAAAGTACAGAATCTTAGGTCTCATGATGGAATGTGCCAGGAATTTCATTTCATTTCTTTCTTTCTTCTTTTTTTTTTTGGGAGACAGAGTCTCACTCTATTGCCCAGGCTGGAGTGCAGTGGTGTGATCACAGCTCACTGCAGGCTCAACCTCCCCACCTCAGCCTCCCAAGCAGCTGAGACTGCAGATACATGCCACCATGCCCAGCTAATCTTTTATACTTTTTGTGGAGAGGGGGTTTCTCCATGTTGCCTAGGCTGGTCTTGAACTCCTGAGTTTAAGCAACCCACCTGCCTTGGCTTCCCAAAGTGCTGGGATTACAGGCATGAGCTACCATGCCCGGCCAGAAATTTCATTTCTAACCAGCTCCCAAATGATGCTGGTGCCTCTAAACCCCAAACCACACTTAGAATAGCCCCAATCAAGGAGGCATGATGGGGGTGGGGGCGGGGGGAAGAAGAATCAAAAACACAAGTGGTCAAAGAATACAAAAAGGACAGAGAGAGGTTAAAGATAATTACCATGAACTTCAAAGTTTATTTCTCAAGTTGGTCTTTGTGTAGGTAGCCATTCTGTTGGAATTTGAAGCAAGGCTGGATCAGGAAGACCATGCATACTACGGTGATAAGTCTGGACTGCTTCCTGCCAGCAATAATTTTTGAAAGCAGTGATGGCAATGAGAATCATGCTTTAGGAATATTATTTTGGCAGCAGTTTGCCGGAAAGACTGTTTGGAGTCATCAGGAGAGAGACTGTAATGAAGGTTATTACTCACTGGGAAATGAGGGGATTATAAAAAGTCATACAGCAGAGGCAGGGCAAAGGAAACAGGAAAATAAAGTTGAATCCTGGAAATGATGAAAAAGAATAACTGGGCTGAATGACAGATTAGCTGTTTAGATAAAAGTGAGGGCAGAACCTACAATGAATGACTCAGAGGTTTATTGACCTTCTGAATCTTTTCTCTCTGGGTCAGGATTGGAGAAAAGTCACCAGAAACACACTTTCTTCTATTTGGGCATGAAATGAAGTTTGATGGATTCTAACTCTGAAAGGAAGAATCAGAGGCAAGCATTAAGAAAATAAATTAATTTGTAAAGAACTTCTGGCTTATCAAATAAAAACATAACAGTTACTTAAAGTAAAGCCCTCCAAAATGACCAATTTGACAGTTAGTTTGTGGAAAATGATTTTCTTACATAATTCTCATCCCGACAAATGGCGGAACATATATATCCTTAGATACCAGCATTGTGAAAGTCAGAGATAAGCTTGTTTTGCGGGGAGTCTGCAACATGCTGGAAGTGCTCAAGGTGACCTTAACATGTTGGGTTCTCTTGGGTTGCAAAGGGATCTGGTTTGCTTTTTGGTTGTGTTTAGATTTTGCTTTCTGATGGTGGGGCTTGAGGTATGACAACTCACACTGGTGCAGACAGTGTCTTTTCTTTGCTCTTCTCTGATATTCTTGTTCTAAGGAGATGGTTACATAGAATGGAAACACCACTGGGATGGGTCAGGAGACCTTGCTTGGGGACATAGCAAGTCATTAACTATGGGTTTAGGTTCCTCGTAACAAGGAAATTCTCTTCACAGGCTCCCAGGGGGCTTCCAGAGCTGACACAAGTGTATACATAGAGCTAGAACTATGTAGAACTGCCGTTGACATCTAAGTGGATAACTACCTTCAAAATATACCGTTTTTTTTACCCAAAATATATCAACCTCATCATGAGCTATACAGGATTAATAGTGAATGCCAAAATCCACTGTCTCCTCTCCCCTCCCCTCCTCTTTCCCCAGCTTCTCTTACCTCCCCTTCCCTTCCTTCCCCTCCCCTTCTCTCACCTCCTGTTCTTTCCCTCCCCTCCCCTTCCCTCCCCTCCCATTCCTTCACCTCCACTTCCTTTCCTCCCTCCCCTTCCTTCACCTCCTCTTCCTTTCCCTCCCCTTCCCTTCCTGTTCTTCTCCTCCCCTTCCCTTCCTTCACCCTCCCCTTCCCTCTCTTCCCCTCCCCCCCTCCTGTTCTTTCCCTCCCCTTTCCTCCCCTCCTGTTCTTTTCCTCCCCGCCCCTTCCATCCCCTACCCTTTTGTTCTTCCCCTCCTCTTTCCTTCTCTCTCCTCTTCTTCCCTCTCCTTCCCTCTTCTCCTCTTCTCTCTCCTTTCCTCCTCCTCACCCTTTCTCTCCTCTCCTCTTCTTTCTCCACTCCCCTTCTCTTCTCCTCTTTTCCCTTTCCCTCTCTTCTCCCTTCCTTTCCTTTCCATTCATTCATTATTGTACCCTACTTTTTCCCCCTCCCACCCCCATGACGCACTCCTAGGCTCTCTTTCTCTCTCTCTCTTGCTCTTACCTTCTGCAGGGGAATAATATAAATTCACCTACATGCATGCCCCAGTATGTCTTCCTATATCTAAATATTTTCTTAATAAATCTGCTACAAGTAGGTAGCTACCTATTGTACCAATGTCAACATGCAAGGACCACCCTTTTGCATGGAGACACAATCTACAGAAGCCCCTGATGAACCTGTGAGGTGTTCCAGAAAGGGCTATGCTGTGATAGCATTAGCCAATTCATCAGATGCTCATCAATCATTCTCACAGAGCGCCAAGGCATCCGGAGGCAGGTGAGAGCAGAGGCCCATCTGAACTTGCCATGAGCTGGGCTCAGTGGGCAGGTAATGCTGGACTCTGACCACTCATGACCATGATGAGCACCTCTGCTTTCTTCTGGAAAGAGAAAGTAAGTTCTAACCTTGCCTCCATGTTTCTGTGTAACCAATAATCACCTCTTTCTGAGTTCTTAGCTTCCCCAATTATAAAATAAGACATGGAGAAAGGTGCCAGACGCATTGGCTCATGACTGCAATCCGAGCACTTTGGGAGGCCAAGGTGGGCAGATCACTTGAGGTCAGGAGTTGGAGACCAGCCTGGCCAAAATGGTGAAACTGTCTTTACAAAAAAAAAATATATATATATATATATATATATATATATATATATATATAAATTTGTAAATTAATTTGTAATTTGTTTTTATATATATACACGTATATATGTGTATATATACTTGTGTGTGTATATATATATGTGTGTGTGTATATATGTGTGTGTGTGTGTGTGTGTGTGTGTGTGTGTGTGTGTATATATATATATATATAAAATTAGCCGGGCATGGTGGCGGGCACCTGTAATCCCAGTTACTTGGGAGACTGAGGCATGAGAATTGCTTGAATCTGGGAGGCGGAGGTTGCAGTGAGCCAATATTGTGCCACTGCACTCCAGCCTGGACCACAGAGTGACACCCTGTCTCAAAAAAAAATCAAAAAAAGTTAAGATGTGGGGAAAGTTTCCCCCAAGTCCCAGAATGATGATGTTCTGAGTACAAGGTAGAGGGGAGCAGAAGAAAGAGAAGAGAAGAATGTAAGCCAATCTACTTTATGGTTTTACCCACAGCCAACTAACTACATGGAATGCAATTTACTCAAAATGAAAGGAGACAGTCTAAGCCTTAGCCTGGCATTCCAGCTTTTTTTTTATTATTATTATTATTATTATTATTATTATTATTTGAGATGGAGTCTTGCTCTATCACCCAGGCTAGAGTGCAGTGGCATGATCTCGGCTCACTGCAACCTCCGCCTCCTGGGTTCAAGTGATTCTCCTGCCTCAGCCTCCCGAGTAGCTAGGATTAGAGGCGTCCACCACTGTCCCCAGCTAATTTTTGTATTTTTAGTAGAGACGGGGTTTCACCATCTTGGCCAGGCTGGTCTCGAACTCCTGACCTCATGATCCACCCGCCTTGGCCTCCCAAAGTGCTGGGATTACAGGCGTGAGCCACCGTGCCCGGCCCCCAGCTTAATTATTAATAATGTCTCATTTACTCTCAAAAGTGCCAGGTTTGGATCAAAAATTATGTACTCACCCTATTCAGGGTGAATGTTTCCTAGGAACATAGAAAAACAGGAACACTCCTGCCTCTACCAAGCATGGGTCTTTCGCAGTGTGTTCTTTTAAAATTTCTTTCTTTCACTGAAATTAATCAAATGCAGTCCACCCAATTTGACCACGATAGACAAGCAAGATGCAGTTAGGCAGCAATGCAGAGCAGTGTTCTTCATTCTCTCGGATCAGAAATCTCAAATGCATTCTTGCATCCAGAACCTCATATTTAGCGAGCTGACATTCACCTTTAGCCATTGCCTAAGGGCGCCATATATTCTAAAATGTTCAAAGCCAAAAAGCCTTATGCATGCTTTGAAGCCAATATGGATAACATCAGGTTCTGATAAAAATGCTTAAAATAGAATGTGATGGAAAGGTTTTCAATGCAAGGTATCGCTGTGGAAAAACTTGATGAATGTTTGGGGATTTTTTTTTTTAACTGGGCACTTATGACCAATCTACAATGATGGCTGTCATCCGTAAGGTTGCAGGTGGGGAAGTGCCAATTCCCTTTCCTGCAGTAAGAGACATAATATTCAGTCTTGTCATTGGTCAGTGAACAGGCATGCTCCCTCTTCCTTCTCACTCTGAAGAATTCTTTTTCCCAATAGGGCCATAATTTCTTCATCTCAGCTCTGCAACACCTCCATTTTATGAGATTTTGGAGGCTCAAAGCAGCTATCTGCCATCCAAAACAGCCTGCCCTTTCATCTTCACCAGAGGGTCTTCTACCCCTTTTCAAACAAGCATTATTACAACAGTTTTATAAAACCCTGACAGAGAGTGCTCCCTGGTGCCTCTTTGGAAGTCTTCTCAGCAAGCCACACACAGGAATTTCTCCTCTCCTCCTCCCTACTCACCCCCACTCATGGAAGGAGCCAGATATCAGAAAGAAGGACCAGGAGCCCAGTGCTTGAAAGCCATAAACCACAGGGGAAGCAGAGTGGTAGGCTAATTAATGGCCCCCAAAGCTAAGCATCATGGTTCACACCTGTAGTCCCAGCATTTTGGGAGGCTGAGGCAGGAGGATTGCTTGAGACCAGGAGCTCGAGAATAGCCTGGACAACAGACAAAGACCCCCATCTCTATATATAAAAAAAATTAAACATTAGCTGGGCATGGTGGTGGGTGCCTATAGTCCTAGCTACTCAGGAGGATAAGATGGGAGGATCACTGGAGGCCAGGAATTCAAGATCAGCCTAGGCAACATAGTGAGACCCTATCTCTACAAAAATAAAAATATAATTAGCTGGGCATAGTGGTGTGCCCCTATACCCGTAGCTACTAGGGAGGCTGACAGAGGAGGATCACTTGAGCCCAGCAGTTCAAGGCTGCCGTAAGCTATAATCCAATGATTGTGCCACTGCACTCCATTTGCGCAACAGAGCAAGACCGTGTCTCAAGGAAAAGAAAATGGAAACCACCTTTGCAAAATTATGACTGAGACAGTGAAAGAGATCTAATCTAAATGACTCCATCTTGCCTCTAACCTTTAAGCGGTTCTTATTCCTTCCTGGGCGTAGGCTGAACTAACTTTTGGAGGAACTTAGTTTATAATTTAAAACAAAGAGGATAACAGCCCTTTCCCAAAACAAAGCTCCTTCTTGCCTGGGGACTAGACCGCCTTTGTAGGACTAAGAAATTTGCCACAGGATTAGAAATTATGGTTAGGAGTCACGGAGCTGGAGGCTACAAGCTTCTGACCCTCCCTAAACTGCTCCTAAGATCAGTGCTTGAGAAATTTTTCAGACCCTGCACTTGATGGATCATCTGGCACCACCCAGATCAAGAAACTGGTTCATCTGATCTTGTGGCCCCCACCCTGGAACTGGCTCAACACAAGAAGACAACTTCAATTCCCTGTTTTCATCTCCTGCCTTAAACAATCAGCACTCCTGGCTCACTGGCTTCCCTCCACTCACCAAGATGTCCTTAAAAACTCTGATCCCAGAAAGCTCTGGGAGACTGATTTGAGTAATAATAAAACTCTGATCTCCTGCACAGCTAGCTCTATGTGAATTACTCTTTCTCTATTGCTATTCCCCTGTCTCAATGAATCAGCTCTGTCTAGGCAACGGGCAAGGTGAACCTATTGGATGGTTACAAAATGGACCCCAAAGATATGTCTATGTCCTCACCCCAGAACCCATGAGTGTTTTCTTTATGAGACAGAGTTTCACTCTTGTTGCCCAGGCTAGAGTGCAATGGCCCGATCTCAGCTCACCACAACCTCTGCCTCCTGGGTTCAAGCTATTCTCTTGCCTCAGCTTCCCAAGTAGCTGGGATTACAGGCACCCGCCACCATGCCCGGCTAATTTTGTATTTTTAGTAGAGAAGGGGTTTCTCCATGTTGGTCAGGCTGGTCTCAAACCCCCGACCTCAGGTGATCCACCCGCCTCAGCCTCCCAAAGTGCTGAGATTACAGGCGTGAGCCACCGCACCCAGCCTAATGTTTTCTTATATGGCACAAGAGTTTGCAGATATGAGTGAACCAAGGATCTTAACATGGGGAGATGACCCTGAATTTTCCAGGTGGGTCCTAAATGCAATCACGTGTACCCTTATAGGAGGGAAGCAGAGAGAGATTTGGCACCTACAAGAAGAAGGGAAAGCCATGTGGCCACAGTAGCAGAGATTGGAGCCATGTGTCCATAAGCCAAGGAGTGCCAGCTGCCACCAGAAACTGGAAGAGGGAAGGAATGGATGCTTTCCGAGATTGATAGAGAGAGCACTGCCTGGCTGACAACTTGACTTTGACCAGAGATACTGAATTTGGAAATTTGACCTCTGGAACTGTACGAGAATAAATATGTGGTTTTGTTATTGTTGTTGTTTGAGACGGAGTCTTGCTCTGTCACCCAGGCCACAGTGCAGTGGCGTGAACTCGGCTCACTGCAACCTCTGCCTCCTGGGTTCAAGTGATTCTCCCTGCCTCAGCCTCCCGAGTATCTGGGACTACAGGCATCTGCACCACTCCTGGCTAATTTTTGTATTTTTAGTAGAGATGGGGTTTCACCATGTTGGCCAGAATGGTCTCGATCTCTTGACCTTGTGATCCGCCTACCTCAGCCTCCCAAAGTGATGGGATTACAGACATAAGTCACCACGCCTGGCCTGTTTTAAGCTACCTGATTTGCAGGGATTTGTTGCAACAGCCACAGGGACTTCATTCAGTGCTGAGATGTGCCACCAAGGGGCATGAGGCTGGAGAACCAGTGGGCAGTAGTGCCGAAGAAGGACAGGGTCAGGCCAGAGGTGGCAGAGATGGAACCAGGACATCTTAGACAGACCGGCTTTGACTACATGGCTATGAATTCTGTTCCTGGCTCTCCACAGCCATGTGATGTTAGCCTTAGTCTGTGCCCCAGATCTTTGAAAAGACAACAACAATATCTGTTTTTCAGGGTTGTGGTGAGAAAATCAAGAAATGATCAAAAGGAAAATATCTCACATGTAGTAGGTGGTGATTAAGTAGTAATGGATGGAAAAATAAACTTATTTTAAAAGGCCAATGCCCAGTATGGTGGTTAACATCTGTAATCCCAGCATTTTGGGAGGCTGAGGTGGGAGGAGAGGACTGCTTGAAGCCAGGAGTTCGAGACCAGCCTGAGCCACAAAGCGAGACCCTATCTCTACAAAAAAAAATTCTTTAAAACAATAGTTGTTCATGGTGGTGCATGCCTATTAGTCAGAGTAGCTGAGACTTCAGCTACTCAGGAGGCTGAGGCAGGAGGATTGCTTGAGGCCAGGAGTTGGAGGCTACAGTGAACTATGATCATGCTACTGTGCTACAGCGTGGGTGACAGAGCCAGCCAGCCTGAAAAGAAAGAAGAGAAAGAGAAAGAGAGAAAGGAGAAAGAAAGAAAGAAAGAAAGAAAGAAAGAAAGAAAGAAAGAAGAGAGGGAGGGAGGAAGGAAAGGAGAAAGAGAAAGAGAAAGATGAAAGAAAGAGAGAGAGAGAGAGAAAAGAGAGAGAGAAGGAAAGAAGAAAAGAAAGAGAGAGAGAAAAGAGAGGAAGAGAGAAAGAGAGAGAGAAGGAAAGAAGAAAAGAAAGAGAGAGAAAAGAGAGGAAGAGAGAAAGAGAGGGAGAAGGAAAGAAGAAAAAGAGAGAGGGAGGGAGGGAGGAAGGAAGGAAGGAAGGAGGGAAGGAAGGAAGGAAGGAAGGAGGGAAGGAAGGAAGGAAGGAAGGAAGGTAGGAAGGAGGAAAGGAAGGAAGGGCAGTGGTAGAACCCATTATAGAGAGAGAAGTGGTTTTGTTTGGTAAAACAGTTTGATGCTTTCTTTGGATGTCACTAGGGAAGATACTTCTTCTTGGTTACCTGTCCCTTTCCCTGCCCCATCCCCTATGACCACCTCATACTCTATATAACGGGTTAGAACAAAAAACCCAGAAAATTGAACATCTCAGCCCAGTAAGGATAAGGAAGAGGAAATTTAAAGTTCCCATAAATGAAGACGTGTTCTGGGTTTGACTGTGTCCCACAAAAAAAAATACATGTTCAGGGCCTAATGCCCAGTACCTCTGAATACGGTCTGATTGGAAAATAGGGTCTTTTAAGATGAAGTTAATTTCAAATGAGCGTGGGCCCTAATTCAGGTGACTAGCTTCCTTATAAGACAAGGGAAATCTGGGCACACAGACACATACAGAGGGAAGTTGTCCAGGTGAAGATAGAGGAGATGCACAGGAGAACATCAGGTGAGGATGACAGAGGCAGCAACTGGGGTGATGCGTTGCAAAGCCATAGCTTGATGGCCTCTCTCAGAGGCTAGGAAGATGCAAGGGAAGGCTCTACCCTGTAGGTTTCAGAGGGAGAATGGCCCTGCTGCAACCTTAATTTTGTATGTCCTGTCTCCAAAACAGGTAAACACAAATTTTCTGTTGAGTCAAGCCACCCAGTTTGTGGTACTTTGTCCTAGCAGCCCTTTCACATAGGGACCTGACACTCTGGGGGATGAGACAGGAAAACCAGAAAGAGCTTTCCAAATCAGGTATGCCAGGGTCCAACCGGGAGAGCAAACCTCCTGCTGGTGGGAATGGCCAGGAATTTTTTTTTTTTTTTTTGAGACGGAGTTTTGCTCTTATTGCCCAGGCTGTAGTGCAATGGCACAATCTTAACTTGCTGCAACCTCCACCTCCTGGGTTCAAGCGATTCTCCTGCCTCAGCCTCCCGAGTAGCTGGGATTACAGGCACATGCCACCATGCCTGGATAATTTTTGTATTTTTAGTAGAGATGGGGTTTCATCATATTGGTTAGGCTGTTCTTGACTTCCTGATCTCAGGTAATCCGCCCACCTCGGCCTCCCAAAGTGCTGGGATTACAGACATAAGCCATTGCGCCTGGCCAAGGATTTTTATTAGAAGGTATTGTCTAATGTTCATGTCCAGAGGGTTTGCTGTGAGCCAATGCTTTAGTAATATTTTCCATTCTACATGAAT
Source organism: Homo sapiens (assembly GCF_000001405.40). Lineage (NCBI taxonomy): Eukaryota > Metazoa > Chordata > Mammalia > Primates > Hominidae > Homo > Homo sapiens. The sequence goes on from NC_000007.14 coordinate 68,470,268, forward strand.
GCCGTTGGACACTTTCCTGTGGAGAAAATCGAGCCCCGTGTTACCTGTTTGCTCACCTGGGCAAAGAGAGGATACCCGGTGAATGTTAGGACCAAACGTGAGGAACAACAGAAAATCAGAACAGAAAGTGGCCACAAAACTCGTAACCCCATCCGAATCTCAGGGATTAGGGAAAACCGCCATTTTTGTTTGCCTGGCAAAGAACCAGGTGACTGGTTAGAAAACCTGGGACCTCCAGGGGATGGACTGCGGACAGTGTGGGCTACATTCTTATTAATGTCATTGTCTGAAGGTGAATAAAGGTGGGATTCAAAGCCACAGGGTGCAGAACAATGAGCAGACAATTGTAACCACACCCATCTTCTGGCTGTCTCGCACCAGCTTAAAAACTCATGGTGTTGGCTGGGCGAGGTGGCTCACTGCTGTAATCTCAGAACTTTGGGAAGCCGAGATGGGCAGATCACGAGGTCAGGAGTTTGAGACCAGCCTGGCTAACACGGTGAAACCCCATCTCTACTAAAAATTCAAAAAAATAGCCGGATGTGGTGGCGCGTGCCTGTAATCCCAGCTACTCTGGGGGCTGAGGCAGGAGAATCACTTGAATCCAGGAAGCAGAGGTTGTAGTGAGCCGAGATCGCGCCACTGCACCCCAGCCTGGGGGAGAGAGTGAGACTGTCTCAAAAAAAAAAAAGTCACGGTACTCCGGGCTCTGGTGTGGGGATGGCAGCTTGCCCAACTCAGATTCCCACCGGTCTCTCCTCCCTCTGGAGAGCAGCATTGTTCACTAGGGGATGCCCGCCTCCAGGTGCCTTCCTTGGAAATCCCCCAGCGCCAATCATGTGCCCGGCGCTTGACCTTGGCAGTGCTCGGGAGAACATGAGATCAAAAGAATGAAAGTGCTTCTTTCTGGTACTTCAATCAGGGAGAGAAGCAATTAAAATATGAATTAATCTAAGTGAGATGAAAATGCCGATGTAGAACAAGAGCATCCCGTTCACCTTGAACCTGCACTGTGCGCGGTTTAGCTCCTGTGATTAAAGACATTTTCATGCCATTAAAAAACGTCTCTTCTAGTGTTGAAAATACTATGTCAGTCAAAAGCACCCAGCAGCCTCTGGCAGGACTGCCCTCTCCTTGGTTACGTTCCTGGATCCTTTCAGAGTTCTGGGGGCAGGGGGAGCAGTCTTAGGAGGGGATTTTGAGGGGCTGGGAGAAAGACAGGAGTGCAGGATTCTGCACTAAATGAAAAGAGCAATTGCATGTGGTTCCTCTCACGTAGATTTTCTTGGGGTCTTTGGCGCTTTTGTGTAGCCTGAGTCCTGGCTACCAGATGGCACTGGGAGGATGGAGCTGGGAAACCAGGGAAGGAGCACATTCCAGGAGCTCCACAATTTCTGTGTCCCTTCTGGTTTTCCTACTGTTTCTTTGAACTGAGAGATGACTGTAGCACTTACTTCTCGAGTTTGGGTTTTGCCTCTTTGTGGTCTTAAGGGCACTCTGCTGACCCTCTGCAGGGAGAAGTGAATCTGTGACTCCAGAGAAAGAGGTGGCTGTGAAGGGGTGTGTCTGGATGCCCCTTTGAGCCACTTGACCTTCCATGCCAGTTGTTCATGCTACGGTCCTGGATTTGCTTCTTTTGGTGCATGCCCTACAACTGACCTTGACCTTTCCTCCTATTTCTGGCTCTGCCTCCTCTTCTGGCTATTGTCAGTGGGATTTGTCAGTTTCAGAGTTTGAAGCTTAGAATTTAAAAGACTCATTCTGAATCTCCCTTTGTTAATTTCCAAACCAAACCTCCCTGCTCCCCAGAAACCCTGGGGACCGCGGCGCCATTCTAATCCAGATTTGAGATGGTTTCTCTCTCTCTCCCCTTCTCTAATTCTCCTAAGGATCCACCAAAGGGATTGGACTCAGAGGTCAATCAGAGCCTGCAGTAACGCTTGTTCTAGGGCATAAATCAGGGAAGACCAATCTGGACTGGGGCAGTGGCCATTGGCACCCCAAGGCTTCCGCTTGGGTCGCATCATCTCAGAAAGTTCCATTTAGATCATGTTCATGCAGATCCCAAGGCACACAGATCCCAAGGCTAATGAGTGTCTTTTGCTCCAGGCCCTTTTTAAAAACAGCCAGAAGCTTAACATCCATACACTCTTTTTTTTTTTTTTTTTTTTTTTGAGACACAGTTTTGCTCTTGTTGCCCAGACTGGAGTGCAATGGCATGATCTTGGCTCACCATAACCTCCACCTCCTGGGTTCAAGCGATTCTCCTGCCTCAGTCTCCCGAGTAGCTGGGATTACAGGCATGCATCACCACACCCAGATAATTTTGTATTTTTAGTAGAGACTGGGTTTCTCCATGTTGGTCAGGCTGGTCGCGAACTCCCAACCTCAGGTGATCCACCTGCCTCAGCCTCCCAAAGTGCTGGGATTACAGGCGTGAGCCACCATGCCCAGCCAACATCCATACACTCTTAAACTGCAAAAGGCAGCCCCCATATCTAAAAATCCAAAAATTTGTCATTTGAACGTTGTAAAGAGCCCCAACATTTTGAAATGCCATGGTAATTTGCCATAGCATTCTGCCTTAGACAAATGTGATGCAAGATGCCTCCCACACTTCCTCTCTGCCCCCCATACTTCCCCAAATGCAGAGGATGCACGACCACACTGTGTCATCTTACTTGTTTGGGTCCGTCTCTCTGATGGCTGCTGCACCCTGCAGACCCCAACCCAAATTCATTCTCTTTGTGTCTATGTACTTCCTGTCACCTTGTACAACTTTAGAGGAAGTCGGAAGGGTCTCTTTGCTTCTCCAAGTTAAAATGCAAAGCCCAGAAGACTCCTATAAAGCTATCCAGCTTTCTGTTTGTCTTACCAAACCCACCTGCCTGGGCACCTTAGTCCTCCAAGGGAAAGGGAGTCGTTTAAGCAGAAGACACTGCCAGGCACTGAAAGGGGTCTATGGAAGACCTTCTTCTTCTTTTTTTTTTTGAAATGGAGTTTTGCTCTGTCGCCCAGGCCAGAGTGCAGTGGCGTGATCTCTGCTCACTGCAACCTCCGCCTCCTGGGTTCAAGCGATTCTCCTGCCTCAGCCTCCTGAGAAGCTTACAGGCGCACACCACCATGCCCAGCTAAGTTTTGTATTTTTAGTAGAGATGGGGATTTCACCATGTTGTCAGGCTGGTCTTGAACTCCTAACCTCATGATCCACCCGCCTCAGCCTCCCAAAGTGCTGGGATTACAGCCATGAGCCACCGCGCCCGGCCGAAGAGCTTCCTCTTTAACGGGAAGATTGAAGAAGTAAAAAGCATTGAAAATGCCTGAAATTGTTCCCACTCCAGGAAATAGGAGAGTGAGGGGTTTGGGAGCCTCCTTTCCAATCTTTGTGCACCCCTCTCTCCTCCAATCCTCAGTTCTGCATAATATCAGCAGGTGATGTGGAAGAAAAAGACCTGTTCGTTTTCTGCTTACTATCCCCAGGTAATGAAACCTCCCACCTCTTCCAAATATCTCCACATTTCTCTCTTTTTGCATATAGCATCTTTGAATGCTACCAAGTATAACAATTACAAAAAGAGCAAGCTTCAATTACAATCCCAACTCCATTTGTTGCATAGCTATATGTCATTAGCTTGAAGATAGTAATTGTGACCATCTTAAAGGGTTGTGAAAAATAAATGAGATAATATATGGAAAGCACTTAGAACCACTCCTGGTACATAGTAGGGGTTCAGTAAACGTTAGTTATTATCATTATTGTTACTATTATTATCACTGTCATTACTACTATTTCTACCACGATCAAGGACCCTTCCTGTGCAACTAATTTTCCACCTTTGTGTGGATTCCTCTCTTTTATTTTCTTAGCTCCTATGCAGCGTACCCCACACCCCTTCACTTTCTGCAGAGTCCCCACCATCACTGCTGGGTCTATAAGTTACTGTTGGTCTTCCTTTCCCAGGTTGCTCATTGTCTGTCATGAAGACCTTACAGCTAATAGTGCACTATTCATCGTGCTACAGTGCAGCAGTCTGCAAAGCATTTCCCATCCATGCATTTCATGTTTTGATCCTCTCTACTCTTAAGCACTTTTGGTACCAGCCTTGGGAAATCATTGCACAAGGAGGTTCATTTATTTCTTCACTGCACCGAGCTCTTAGAGAGTTAATTTGCTCTGTTGCAGGGGCGTGAGCTTTATTTCACCTAGTTGGGTGGTCTTCTTCCTCATGTCACTGGAGGGTATGGAAATGGAGCGAGCTGAAATGGACAGAACTTTTCTCTCTTCACTAACTCTGTAAATAGCCACCCTGGTGAGTGGCAGGGGTGCGAAAACCTAGCATTCTAGAAACATTGAGCCAAACATGCTGAAATTGCTGGAATTGATAAGTGTCTTATCATTAGTCAATAAGCTGTGCTTAACCTTCTCTAGTTCCCACAACTTGAGATTCCAGCTGCTGCATCCCAATTGTACGTGTGTGTGTGTGTGTGTGTGTACAGTGGCTGTGCACACAAAAGATCTGAAAATGAGAACTCTCCCTTCATCAGTGAGATGGATTGGGCCATAATTGATTTTCCACAGACTAATGCTTTACATTTTGGTAAACGTTTTGTAACATCTTAGTCAAATTAAACTGAGCCCTTTCAAGTCAGATTTATAGTCCATAGAATTCCACTTAGCTGACATAAGCAATGCAATTTCAGGGCAGTTTAAAGGGTATTTCATTTAGACACAGAACAAATCCTTGTCAGGGCCCTGTAGGTAGCAAGAAATCTTCCTCCTCTCATTTGCTTAGAAGCAATTGTCATTCATTCCAAGGGAGCCGCACAGCGTGTTAGTGGCTCAGTGCAGTAGACTTCATGACCCATGTTCATTGAAGGGGCAGTGACCAAAAGGAGGAAGAGAAAAGAAGGCAGGGCTGCGTAGGACATGAGAGTCTTAGTAAGATTTCAGAAAAGGTGCCCACTCTGTGTGGAAAAATTACTACAAGGCGGCCAGGCGCAGTGGCTCATGCCTGTAATCCCAGCATTTTGGGAGGCTGAGACGGGCAGGTCACGAGGTCAGGAGTTCGAGACCAGCCTGGCCAACACGGTGAAACCCCATCTCTAATAAAAATACAAAAATTAGCCGGGTGTGGTGGCACACACCTATAATCCCAGCTACTCAGGAGGCTGAGGCAGAAGAATCTCTTGAACCCGGGAGGCAGAGGTTGCAGTCAGCCAAGATTGCATCACTGCACTCCAGCCTGGGCAACAGAGCAAGACTCCATCTCAAAAAAAAAAAAAATTACTACAAGGCACCTCTTCAAGTTGGCTGCAACCTTTCACTGGCACAAGACTTGGGATCTGAGCACTGGCTGGATTTCCATTGCCATTTGCCTCTTTGACTGGCACTTTGAGCAGGGTGTAACCTGTGCAACTGTACACAGCAGCCTTGGAAGGGAAGCATGATCTCAGGAACTTCACATACGCATATTACCTTCTTTTTTTTTTTTCTTTTGAGACAGGGCCTCACTCTTTGGCCTAGGCTGGACTGCAGTGGCACGATCACGGTTCACCGCAGCCTCAATCTTCTGGGCTCAGGCGATCCTCCCACCTCAGTCTCCTGAATAGCTAGGATTACAGGCATGCACCACTAATTTTCGTATTTTTTTTGTAGAGGTAAGGTCTCCCTGTGTTGCCCAGGCTTGTCTCAAACTCTGGGCTCAAGTGATCAGCATATGTTTTTGGTTTTGTTTCTTTAATTTTTTTTAAATGAGGGTCTCTAATTCCTAGGCTGAAGCCGTCCACCCATCTCGGCCTCCCAAAGTGTTGGGCTTACATATGTGAGCCACCATGCTATTAGGGAGCTATTAGAAAATTCATATAACCTTCTTTAATACTCAGCTCATGAGGTTTTAGTTGCTATCCCCATTCATAAATAGGAATGACAAAGAGAGATTAAACACTGTCTTCATATACATGTAGGTTGAGCTAGGATTCTAGTCCAGGTCTGTCTGATTCTAAAATCCAAGCTCTCTACTAATTACCCATGGTATGTGAGTTCAATTGAAGGGCTTAATGAGCTTTTGCCAGGGAAAGAGGAAGAACTGGCAGGGTCTGAGCCTCAACCCTTAGAAGGTTTTAATGGAAAGAAGCAGCAGATTTTCTCAGAGGGCCATTCAGTTTCTAAACCTCCCCAGAAGTAAGATGGTGCAGTTCTGTCTTACAGCAAGCTGAAACCTTCCTTCCGCTGACCCGGAAGAATAAGATGAGTGTCGGAACCCATGATTGCAGGTCCCTGTCCTACAGGACCCATGGGCAAAGCTGGAAAAGGAGAGGGAGACTGGAACAAGTCTTTTCTTCCCTCCGATTCTTGGTTCCACTCCCAAAAAATGCAACTAAACTTTGTCCTGCCCACATTACAGGGTTGTAAGAATCAAAAGATGAAACAAAGGCACTGCAACACCTTTGCAAGTGAAATATGGATGTAAAGAAAATATATTGCATTTTTAACAAAGCTATATTTACCCCCATTTAAAGGACTGTCTTTCATGCTGAGATTAAACCCTTGTAACTGTCTTGTTTTATAAAATGCTCCTTATTAAATTGAAGAAGAGAATACATGTGTGTGTGTGTGAGTGTGTGTGTGTGTGTGTACACACAGGGGTTTTACTGCAGTTTGTGTTTTATAAAACCCTTGACTTGGAAAAATAAAATGTAATTTGTGAAGCTTTATCAGTATAAAAAAGTGTATGTGTGTGTGTGTGTGTGTGTGTGTGTATGTGTGTGTGTGTTTTAAGTTTACAGGTCCATGGTTTCAACACTCTGAAAAATCTTTGTATTAGGCATAGAGAACTGACATTTACTGCGTGCCAGTCAAATCATTTCATACTCATGACAACCCTGTAAGATAAGTATCTCTGATTCAAGGTATGCTGTTCCTCAAAGAATTTGTGTATCTTGCCCAATCCTTCACAGTTAGGAAGTTAAAGATCCAAACACGAGTCTCTCTAATGCCAAAATACCAGGGATTTTTTGGTCATTTACTTTTCACTTTGCTGCACTGTTTGGTAGCTGCCTTTTCTTCTTGTAGTTACACACAGGGGTACTCAGGAAACATTTTTTGGTTTAGAATATAATCTGTAAAATTTCAATCTTTTTTTTTTTTTTTTTTTTGAGACCCAGTTTCGCTCTCCTTGCCCAGGCTGGAGTGGAATGGCGTGGTCTTGGCTTACCGCAACCTCCGCCTCCCAGATTCAAACGATTCTCCTGCCTTAGCCTCCCATGTAGCTGGGATCATAGGCATGAGCCACCACGCCCGGCTAATTTTGTATTTTTAGTAGAGACGGGGTTTCTCCATGTTGGTCAGGCTGGTCTCGAACTCCTGACCTCAGTTGATCCGCCCGCCTCAGCCTCCCAATCCCACCACGGCAGGGATTACAGGCGTGAGCCACCACACCCGGCCAATTTCATTCATTTTTTTAAATTTTGCTTTCAATGATGTGAAGTCTATGTGGCTCCAGAAAACATATTTGACCCATCTGGAGAGAGATTTGGAGTCTATAACCCAACACAACCAAAAGGGAGCTATTAGAAAATTCAACCCTTATTCCATGGGCTTCATAGTTTGTTTAGATCAGTAATTCTTAAGAAAATTTTCAGTGAATCCAAAAATTTCACTCTGTAAAGGCAAGGGATTTTGTCTTGCTTTATTCACTGCTATACTTTCTACACCTAGACCATAATAAACACTCAAAAATTATTTGATGAATGAGTGAATGAATGAATGAAAACAGTCTCATTTGAGTACCTGATAAAAGCTACGAACTATCTTCCCAGAAAAAAATGCAACAGACACGTGCACAATAGCGCATAGCATTTTCAGTTTCAATGCCCCTCGACGCCTCTCCATGAGTACACAGAGGCTTAGACTATTTTCTCATGAAGAAATAGGTCTTGACATTTTCATGATGGAGTGGAGCAAAGCTGGGCTCTTTCTTTCATGTTGATGGGCAACCTGATGGTGTAAGGCCTTCAACACTTTGGATACCTGTTGCTTTGCCCATTATCTCTGAATGCCTCTAGCCCTTCTGAGCCTGAGAGTTTAAAAAGAGGAATAACAGCCCTCACTCAATGAGGTTATATAGTCTGTCAGACACTATGTTTGATATTTTATATATAATTGATCAGAATTCGTGGCAACTCTACTAGGTATATATTATTATTATTCCTATATTTCAGATGACACAATTGAGGCCCAGAGAGGTTAAGTAACTAGCCCAAGGCCACACAGCTAGGAAATGACTAAGTTAGGATCCAGATCCTTGTCTGCCCAAATTAAAAGCTCTTTTTTTCCCCAGTGTGGCAGAATGTCTCATGGCTTATAAGCAGCCCAGCAATTTTTAAAGCCTATAATATCAAGTCTAAAAGAAATCCTCAGTCCAGAGGTACCTCCTGACTTGGAGGTACATCAAATAAACAAATAAACCAAATAAATAACCAAAATAACCAAGTAAGCACATTAACTGTTTAAAGGTGAAAAAATTTGGAATTTGAAGGCATCGTTCTTCTATTTTCTGGATTTCAAATGTATTTTCGCTTGTGTTTTTCTTAAAAGTACTGTAGAAAATGGCAGCCTGTTTCAGCTGTGCTCTTGGGACCAAAGAAAAGGGATTGCCATCATTCGGGAAACTGGCCACGAAACAAATTAGGCCCAGGTGACAAAACTTAACCCACTCTAGATCTGGCTCTTAAGGGGGCAGCCAGAATCCAAATTACATTGTTCAAAGTCATACAGTAAACTCAGATCTAGTGGCCATGCAGTTCCAATTCAGTGAGTGGGATCCACGTAAGGCTGAACATTTTGAGTTTGGCAAAGGAGACCACCAGTTCTTTGTCGCAGCATCTGGGTTCTAAATCCTTGCCCTTGGAAAGGGAGGTGACAACTGCAAAGTGGGATGTTGTAGACCCAGGAAAGATGGCTGGGAATAAGATCACAGCACTGGGCATGGTGGCTCACGCCTGTAATCCTAGCATTTTGAGAGGCCGAGGTGGGTGGATCACTTGAGGTCAGGAGTTTGGGACTAGCCTGGCCAATATGGTGAAACCCCATCTCCACTAAAGATACAAAAATTAGCCAGGCATGGTGGTGGGTACCTGTAATCCCAAATACTCGGGAGGCTGAGACAGGAGAATCGCTTGAACCCTCGAGTCAGAGGTTGCAGTGCGCCACTATAATCCAGCCTGGACGGCAGAGTGAGACACTGTCTCAAATAAATAAATAAATAAATAAATAAATAAGATCACAGCTCCATTCTCAATCAGACACAATACTATGGCCAGTTTATATGATCTGGGTAAACATGGGGAACTATGAGGTAACTCCAACTGGGTGAGCACAGAGTGTCATAGGTCTCCTGACCCTCCAATCCCATTATACTAGACACACACGCTATCAAGTGCTGCAAGACCACTTCTGTTATTGAGTTCAAGCTTCCCAAGGAACCACCTGTCATTGTCTGGGCTGGTCAAGAACTAGGCCACGTTCTGGATTCAGGTTCTAGGCTCCAGGAACCTCAGTAAAAGCAGAGCTTGGGCAGACAGGGACAGGTAGCTATTGGTGTTTATCAGGCCATTAGAACCTTCACGTTGCATTGCACGACCCCAGGGTGCAACATTGCTGTTGGATTCCATCAACACTCAAGGCAAGAGAGGAAGACTATTAAACGATGATGGCAAAGAAGCCTAAAAGACAAATGCATTCCACCTAAGCATAGTTGATAGTCAGACCGTGGAAATCCACAGCCAGTTGTTTACATGGCTAGACAAAAAAATGAAAGCTTAAGAACACCAGGCTCCAATCTGCTTTGTGAAATGGGATCTCCTGGCAGCAATTCTTTCATTTAAGAGAAAAATTCACTAGAGACACAAAACAAGTCCCAAAACAGATTTGGGTTCAACCCTGAGTTGACCTAATTGCAGTCTTTAAAAAATATATTTTGTGAAAAAATTCAAACACACAAAAGTAGACAAAATAATGTTTCAAAGTACTGTGCTAACTCAGCGACCATCAACTTTCTACCAATCTTGTTTCACCCACCCTGTTGTATTTTTATTGCAATTTTTAACCACTCTTTTCTTTATACCCTCAAAATGCATCCCGATGGAGACATTCCAATGGAGGCAACTGACTTCTGTTTAAAGTAGCCATAATTCTTTATGGTTTAAAGAGCAAGGAATTTGTGGACAACATACTCTACTCATTAAATCTAAAGAGAATGCAGGTTTAAATTATGCATAAAGAGAGAAGAGACGAACTTTCACCAGCACAACAAATAGACTGAGACAATCTTTCTTTCAATCTGGAAATGCAGACTCCCAGGGATCTGTTGAAACAGGCTATATTCCCCAAAGTACTGGGGTGGTTTATATTAGTTTCACTAGGGTAGTTTTGGTTCTTACTTGTAGCAGAGCTTGGTAAATGAGAGGCCACCTGAGAAGCAATTAAACTAAACCAGAAAATCTTTCCTGTTCATTTCATCTTGTCCTTAAATAGTTTACACATCAGTTGAACTGGGAAGAGCTCGTGGTGGTTTATGATGATTACTTCAGTAGGGGTCAGTGCCTAATGAGCTGGGTACTTATCTGTGACCCCAACAAGATGGCTGTAAATGAACAGATAAAGGGACCGAAGGGACTTGTTCTCTAAGCTGTCCATGGAATCAAGATTACAGAACTCGATAGAGTTAGGTAAACTAAACTGCAGAAGCTGATGAAGGTTGCTAGATGAAAACACCCAGGGTTTTTTGGTTAGAAAAACAACGTATTTATTTCTAGTGCTTGGTAAATTACAAAATGCCTATTCCATCTACTCTTTCTTGGGGAGGAACACTGTACTTTCTCTTCTTTCTCATAAGATCTGGGAAACCTGTAGTTCCCATCGAACGAATCTGTCCAGGCAGATATCTTTATTTTTTATAGAATACGTGTGTCAACGGGGTTTAGGACACACACTACCCAAAAATGTGCCACTTTGGCAATGTTAAATATTTTAGTTGGAAGGAATTTGAGAAATTGCAGGTGCAGGAAGAGGTTTTTGACCTTCCTCTGAAGCAGGTCATAAGATTCTCGTGGGACGGGTGCCCTTTTTATACCAGGAGGAAAGAATCATTCTGTCTCTGAAGAAAGAAGGACACCAAGACACTCTGGACAACAACAACAAAAATAGCAAATCCTGGAGAAAAGGAAAAATTGGATTTCTAGAGTTACCACTCTTTAAGATTCAAATTCCGGTTTTCAAAACAAACCAACGAACAAAAAAACACAAGGCACACGCCTTGCTGAGTTTACCTGTTGAATACGATCGCAGACTTTAGAAGTATATGTAAGTCGTAAAAAAGCTCAAACACACAAAAGTAGACACAATAACACCGTGAAACACATTACCTTAGCGGCCATCAACTTTCTGCCGATCTCGTTTCACCCACCCCGCTGTTTTTTTATTGCAATTTTAACCACTCTTTTCTTTATGCCCTCAAAATGCATCCCAATGGAATCATTCTAATGGAGGCAACTGACTCCCGTCTAAAGTAGCCATAATTCTTTATAGTTTAAAGAGCAAGGAATTTGTGGACAATGTACTCTACTCATTAAATCTAAAAAGAATGCAAGTTTAAATTATGCATAAACAGAGGAGAAAAGAACCTCCACTAATCCTTCTCTGAGACATCTGAGCTTAGGGGTCTGAGCTTAGACCTTGCTTTGGCATATTACTTTTTCCTATGACTCACTATTCTTCATCAAACCTAGCATAAAAACACTCAGGTGTAATTGTTTCCTTGGGTCTTCATTTTCTTATGGAGGCTCTTGTGTTATGTAATATTTATATTAAATATACTTTTATGCTTTTCTTTTGTTAATCTGTCTTTTGTTACAGCTAAAAACTAAGAAGGATAGAAAGAAAAGATATTTTTCCTGCCCCACAGTGTCAATTTCAGTCTAGTGGAATGGTACTGATATGATTTGGCTCTGTGTCCCCACCCAAATCTCATCTTGTAGCTCCCATAATCCCCATGTGTTGTGGGAGGGACCTGGTGAAAGATGATTGAATAATGGGGGCAGGTCTTTCCGGTGCTGTTCTTATGATAATAAATAGGTCTCATGAGATCTGATGGTTTTAAAAACTGGAGTCGCCCTGCGCAAGCTCTCTCTTTGCCTGCTGCCATCCATATAAGATGTGACTTGCTCCTCCTTGCCTTCCACCATGATTTGGAGGCCGCCCCAGCCACGTGGAACTGTAAATCCAATAAACCTCTTTCCTTTGTAAATTGCCCAGTCTCGGGTATGTCTTTATCAGCAGCATGAAAACGGACTAATACAGGTACAATTAAAATACTTACGTATACCATCACAGAATCATACTGAAAACTGCAAAACAAATCACCAAAAAAAAAAAAAAAAAATAGTAAAAGTGCATTTGCAAGGTAAACAGGTAAAATCATAGTGACATATTCTAGTGCATCATCAAAATGCTCAGTAATTGGCAAAATGGAATAAGTAATCTCTTTTTTTTCCCATTCACTAGCTGTATTAGCCAGGTTTTTTTTTTAATGCGATAATGTTGCATAACCAACAACCAAATTGCCGTGGCTTACAGCAACAAATATTTACTTCAAGCTTGTGGGTTGAAGTTTGGCTGCGGTTTAATGCATCTTAGTCGGGTTCTGCCTAGTTAGGTTGGATCCAGTTCTGTTCCCTGCATTTTTATTCCAAGATCCAACCTTAAGCAGCAACAACTGCCTGGGGCATACTTTTCTCATTATAAAGGGAAGAAGCTTAATAGGGCTGGTAGAAATGTGCTGACTTCTTCAGCCCTCAGCTAGGAATTGGCACACCATCACTTCTACTCTATTTCAATTATCAAGGCAAATTGCACGGTCAAATTCAAAGATGATCAGAGATGTATACTCGGCTGAACTCTAGTGCAAGGAACTGATAAGTCATAGGAAAAGGGAATCCTCTCTCCTGAGGATGAGAGTTGGGAGCACTCATTCAACCTTCCACAACCACCATGGAAGGAACCAATTTCTACCACCTCCCAACATGTGTGTCAATGTCTCAACACAATTTACAATCAATTCTGCTGCCTGTGGCCAGTTCTGCAAGACAAAGAATGCTCTCAAGTTTTCAGCAGTCTTATCCTTTAAAGTCTTTAGCATTGTTACCCGTGATTCTACCTACATACCATCAGTATAGAACAAGGCGCAGAATTTTCCTCTTCTCTAACAAAACACCAATGATTACTTTTATGAATCATGGCAAGGAGTAAACCAGGTAGCAAGCACATTAAAGAAAAAAAAAGTTCTGTTTAGGCTAAAATAAATTATTTGGGATGAAGACTGACCACCACTAAGTACTTTAATGGAAAGGATGGCTTTATAATTGAAAAGGGTGAAATGAAAGGGTTGGACTTCTTTAGTAGTTAATTTTTTTTTTTTTAGATGGAGCATTGCTGGGGTGCAGTGGCGCGATCTTGGCTCACTACAACCTCCACCTCCTGAGTTCAAGCAATTGTCTTGCTTCAGCCTCCAAAGTAGCTGGGACTACAGGCATGCACTACCATGCCCAGCTAATTTTTTTTTTTTGTATTTCTAGTAGAGACAGGGTTTCACCATGTTGGTCAGGCTGGTCTCAAACCCCTGACTTCAGATGCTCTGCCCACCTCAGCCTCCCAAAGTTCTGGGATTACAGGCATAAGCCACTGCACCTGGCCCCAGTTAATTTTCAAGATTAATAATTGTCTCTCTCTTTCTGGGATACTTGAGAGAAGCTGGAAAATTCTATGAGCTTGACACTCAAGGCAGCCATTCTATCTCATTACATTCATTGGCTCACTGCAACCTCGGCCTCCTGGGTTCAAGCAATTCTCCTGCCTCAGCCTCCCAAGTAGCTGGGACTACAGGCATGCACCGCCATGCCTAGCTATTTTTTTTTTTTGTATTTTTAGTAGAGACGGGATTTCACCATGTTGGTCAGGCTGGTCTCAAACTCCTAACCTCAAATGATCTGCCTGCCTTGGCCTCCCAAAGTGCTGGGTTTACAGGCATGAGCCACCATGTCTGGCCCCAGTTAGTTTTCAAGATTAATAATTGTCTCTCTCTTGGCTGGGTGCGGTGGCTCACACCTGTAATCCCAGCACATTGGGAGGCTGAGGTGGGAGGATCACTAGAGGTCAGAAGTTCAAGACCAACCTGGCCAACATGATGAAACCCTGTCTCTACCGAAAATATAAAAAATTAGCCGGGCATGGTGGCGTGTGCCAGTATTTCCAGCTACACAGGAGGCTGAGGCAGGAGAATTGCTTGAATCCAGGAGGCAAAGGTTGCAGTGAGCCAAGATCATGCCACTGAACTCCAGCCTGGGCAACAAGAGAGAAACTCTATCTCAAAATAAATAAATATTAAAAAAATAATTGTCTGTCTCTTTCTAGGATACCTGAGAGAAGCTGGAAAATTCTATGAGGTTGACACTATAGGCAGCCATTCTATCTCATGTTACATTTACTGATGCCCCATCAGAGAGAAGATACAGAGAAAGAAAGACAATGGGGGCCGGCTGGCATGACATTCCGTGTGCCCTCCCACTCATCCTGGGTAGTGTGCGTCACCCAAGGGCTCACAAACTCAGATGCTAGATCACTCACAGGAATGAGTGGGGCTGGCTGGGAGTCAAGAAAAGAATTGCATAGGTAGGAGTATTGATGGCAGCTGACACCCAGACTCAGTGTCAGGGAGACTGCAGAGGGTAGTGGGGACCGAGACCATGTTGGACGCACAGGCCCATCATTAATTAGCTCTAGCTAACTTTGCCAAGTGCAAACGGGAGCATGTGTTGCCCGATATAATTTTTCAGAAGAAGCCAGAAATCCAGACAAAAATCTCTTAATTTTTAAATATTGACAAGGATAATACATTCAATTACAAAGAGAAGGAAAAAGGAAGAAAGAAAAACAAAATGAATAAAAGAAGGAGGTAATGGAAAAATTAAAAAAGGAAGAAAGAAGGGAGGGGAAGAAAGAAGGAAGAAAGGAAAAGGGAGGGAGGGAGGGAAGAAGAGAGGAAGGAAGGAGGGGAAGAAGGAGGAAAGGAAGAAAGGGAAGAGGGAGGAAGGAGGAAAGGAAGGAAGAAAGGAAGCAAGCAAGCAGGAAGGAAGAAAGGAAGGAAGGAAAGGAGGGAGGGAGGAAGAAATGGGGAAAGAGAGGGAGGGAAGGGGGAGAGGAAGAAAGGGATGAAAGAAAGGAAGGAAGGAAGGAAGAGAGGGAGGGAGGGAGGGAGAAAGGAGAAAGGGAACAAATCGTTTTGCAGGTCTACCTGGTGAGTGAGTCAAAAAAAGACCATTCTGAAACCAAGAACAACTCTAATGGCAAGTGAGTCCATGACCTCCGCATACAGATGATGCTTTTACCCCCAGAGAAAGCTGGAAACAGCAGGACACAGAGCAGGGGGTAGACAGGGTTTCTGCCAACCTCTCCTGACTCATGCCATCACACCATATCCTCACTTTGTAAGAAGCAATATGAATCCCATAAATAGCAAATCCATATTCAGATATAAATTCATGAATGCATTTTTAAAGCATAGCATATGTGATTGAATAATTATTCATTCCATTGAATTACCCATGCTATTACTCCCAGGAGTGTGGATCACAGAATTTAATATCAATATTTAATTTAAGATCCATTCGTTAGCTCAATAAAAAGAATGAGTGTGTTTAATGGAATGTCCATTGTGGCCCAACACCATGCTGGGCACCGTGCCTAGACTGGAGAATTCACTGTAGATCTTCAAGGAGCTGCCCCCCAGTGGTGAAGTCAATGAAGTTTAAAACAGTAACTGTGGGCTGGGTGTGATGGCTCACGCCAGTAATCCCAGCACTTTGGGGGGCTGAGACGGGCAGATCATGAGGTCAAGAGATCGAGACCATCCTGGCCAACATGGTGAAACCCCGTCTCTACTAAAACTACAAAAATTAGCTGGGCATGGTGGCATGTGCCTGTAGTCCCAGCTACTTGGGAGGCTGAGGCGGGAGAATCGCTCAAACCCCAGAAGCGCAGGTTGTAGTGAGCTGAGATTGCACCATTGCACTCCAGCCTGGGTGAGAGTGAGACTCTGTCTCAAAAAAAAAAACAAAATAAAATAAACAACTGTGGACATGGCCTTTCCTGGCCCCACTCTTGTTCTTGCCTCTCAGGCTGTGTACCTGAGCAATGGATTTAATCTCCCGAACCTCCCATTTTTCACAGAAAGATAAGTCTTTCTCAGATTTGCAGAAAGGATCTATGATTATAATATATTTAAAGTCCTAAGTTCAATGCCTGGTGCTTAGTAGACACTGGGAAAATTTCATAACATTTCTGTGCCTTGGTTTTTTCATCTACAAATAGGAATAAGAATAGTTTCTATCTCATATTAATTTTCTACCTGAAAATTAATATGAGGAGGAAATGAGATTACTGTATATACAGTGTTTAGAACAAAGCCTAGAGCCAGGCATGGTGGCTCACGCTTGTAATCCTAGCACTTTGGGAGGCCGAGGCAGGGGGATCACCTTGAGGTCAGGAGTTCGAAACCAGCCTGGCCTACATGGTGAGACCTCATCTCTACTAATAATATAAAAATTATCTGGCATGGTGGTGCATGCCTGTAATCCCAGCTACTCAGAAGGCTGAAGCAGGAGAATTGCTTGAACCCGAGAGGCAGAGGTTGCAGTGAGCCAAGATGGCGCCACTGCACTCCAGCCTGGGAAACAGCAAGACTCCATCTCAAAAATAAATAAATAAATAAATAAATAAATAAATAAATAGAACAAAGCCTAGAACTTAGTGCTTACTTAATATATTTAATCATTAGCTATTATTTTTTGATACTTATTATTATTATGTAGATTTTATTAGGAGAAAAAATATCTATCATTATTGTGATGAATCAAACATGCTCCAAATGAGATACTTTCCATAAGCAGAAATACTCTTTATAATTCTAGAAACTTTGTTGTCCTTTCAGCTCTCACCTTGCCTGTGGGTGGAAGTAGTTATTAAATGTTTTGGTTTAAAAGAGAAAAAAATGAGACCTCCTTCTCTCAGGCTCAGCTGATATATAAACCGAGGTGGTGACAGCATTGGCACTGATTTTGCTGTGAGCTCATGGGGGCAGAGGTCACATCTATGTCACCTTTCATTGTATGATGATGGATGACTGAAGGTCATAGGTAGAAGTAAATTCCACAGGGGAAACAGCCTGGTTTCTGTGAACCTCCCTCCAGCCCAGCTCTCAACTTGAGTGCATCAGAGTATACCCTTGGGGCTTAACTAATGCAGATCCCTGGGAAGGGCATGATGAGCTGGTGGGATAAGGACAGTCAAGGAATGATATAAGCCAAGAAGAAGAAAATGTGGTACGTATATACCGTGGAATACTATGCAGCCTTAAAAAAAGAATGAGATTATGTCCTTTGCAGCAACATGGATGGAGTTGGAGGCCATTATCCTAAGCAAACTAATGCAGAAACAGAATGCCACATACCGTATGTTCTAACTCACAAGTGGGATCTAAACGTCGAGTGCACAAGGATACAAAGAAGGGAACAATACGAGACACTCGGACTTGGTTGAAGGTGGAGGGTGGGAGGAGACTGAAGACCAACCAAAAAAACTGTGTATCAGGTACCATGCTTATTACTTGGTAACAAGACTAATCTGTACACCAAACCCCTATGACACATAATTTGTCTGTAAGACAAACCTGCACATGAACCCCTGAAACTGAAATCCAAGTTAAATTTAAAAATTAAAGTAAATAAAAGGAGCTTCTTAATTGCATAACAGCCTCACATCTTGAGGGGGTAAGTTGCATGCCTTTGGAAGGAATGCAAATGAGAGAGGCAGGCAGGCTGGGTTATTCTTAACAGTGATCAGCCACGTGTCTCTGAGGGATTTGCTTAATTTCCATATTCCTCAGTTTCCCCATTTACAATGATAATATTTAATTGTCTGAAAGGTACTTAGAGATCCTTGCAAGAAAGGCACTCCATAAAAGCAAATGATTCTCCTTCTCCTTTGCGGGGGGTCTCTGCTCCTGGCATCCAGGCAGCTCCTGCTATAGATGCCTGAGACAGATGTGGCCTGAGAAAGCAGTAAAGAGGAGGATGTGGGGAGGCAAGGGGGCTGCTCAGGGAACAGAGAGAGCAGGACAGCAATTTGTGGGTGGCTGCTTAATTGAAAGCCCCTCCTGCTCAGAAGGCAAAGCTGGCAGAAAGCTCTGTTTAATATGAACAGAGGGTCCGGAAGAGTGAGAGGAGATAAGAAGCGAGTGGAAGCAGGGTCTGGAGAGGGGGAAGGTTTAGCAGAGAAGCAGGGTTGCCATCTGCCACCTCCCTGCTATCACCTGGCGGAGAAGGGCCCCCCCCAAGATGCACAGCCTGTCATGGTGGAGTCTGAGTCATCGCGGCAGCTGTGCTGCACCCTCCCCAGGGCCCCAGGACTTGTGTAACCTGCCATGGGAGGCCACGCCACAGGGTATGTTGTAGAGGTGAGGGTCAGTGGGCTGCAGGGCTGCCAAGGGCTGGCAGAGAGAGAGGAAAGCCTATCTCCAAAGAGTATTTAGGTCAATGAACATGAAACTAACAGGAGTCAAGGGCTATAGGCTGAGCTGGATTCCAGACACAGACCCACACCTGCACACGCTTCCTGGCCCCTGTGCCTACTCAGCACAAACACATGTATATACACAGACCAGGAACACATGCATGCATGGAAATGCAGAAAGTGGTGTATTCCAAAAGGGGAGAGTAAAAGAATAGATATGCTTAATGATTTCCAAGGTATAGTGTTATTCAGCTGAAGAATTTTAAAAACAAAAAATTTTTTTTTGGATTGACATATAACAGAACTTTTCTTTTACTTTTTTTCTTTTTGAGATGCCCAGGCTGGAGTTCAGTGGAGCAATCTCAGATCACTGCAACCTCCTCCTCCCAGGTTCAAGCAATTCTCCTGCCTCAGCCTCCCGAGTAGCTGGGATTATAGGCGAACGCCACCATACCCAGCTAATCTTTTATATTTTTGGTAGAGTCTGGGTTTCACCATGTTGGCTAGGCTGGTCTCAGACTCCTGACCTCAAGTGATCTGCCCGATTTGGCCTCCTAAAGTGTTGGAATGACAAGTGTGAGCCACTGTGCCTGGCTGATGGAACTTTTCAAACCAACTCTCCATACCAGTGCACTTTGCACTTAATTGGAACTCAAAATTTATTGTATCGATACATAGTGTCAAAGAAAGAGGAAAGGAAGACTGGAGCAAGGGAAGGAGAGAGAAGTCTGGCTTCCTTCAGAAAAGACTAGGTAAGGTGAGGACACTTCTGAAGGTCAAATTGCTCTTCCTTCATCTTGACTAACCACGAAGAGGTAAGTCTTCTATAGAAATGTTTAAGAGGGAGAAGGGTGATGGGGTCCAGGATGGCTTATACATGATATTTTCTCCACGTCCTGCTATATTCTAAAATGGTTGTCATTGTTGTTGTTGTTGTTGTTGTTGTTGTTATTTTCTGTTTGGGTGGTGGGGAGAGTAGTAGAGTTAGAATCTTTTTTCCTGGCATTTGCTTTAAGTGGTGGCCAGGTGACCAGCTCCCTGGTGATGGAATCAAAATGGGTTTGCAGGCAGGGCGCA
This sequence comes from Homo sapiens, assembly GCF_000001405.40. NCBI lineage: Eukaryota > Metazoa > Chordata > Mammalia > Primates > Hominidae > Homo > Homo sapiens. Next base: position 68,489,967 of record NC_000007.14, read on the forward strand.
GTGGCTCACGCCTGTACTCCCAGTGCCTTGGGAGGCCAATGGGGAGATTTGTTTGAGGCCAGGAGTTTGAGATCAGCCTGGACAACATAGCAAGACTCTGTCTCTCTAAAAAATAAAAAAAAATTAGCCAGTCATGGTGGCACATGCCTGTAGTCTCAGCTACTCAGGAGGCTGAGGTAGGAGGATCACTTGAACCCAGTAGGTCAAGGCTGCAGTGAGCTGTGATTGTGTTACTGTACTCCAGCATGGGTAACAAAGAGACTCTATCTCTTAAAAAAGGGGTAGGGGAGGTTGCAGAGGAAGGAAGGTTGGGCCTGGGAGGTGGTGGAGGCCACAGAGGAAGCCTACACAGCTGGACCATAACTTGGGGATAGGAGTGTCTCCATCTGTCCAGGAGTTCTTGCCTGTCTTTATGCCTCTTCTATTTTTCATTGCTTCGCTTTTGCTCTTCCTTAATATTTGGTCAGTTTCTTTGTTTACTTCTAACACTTCAGCCTTTCTCGTCCATGCTAAGGAAAACGAGAGAAAGTTGTTTGTGTCCCCACACACATATGCATACTAATTTATTAAAAGAGATGTGGCCAGGCACGGTGGCTCACACCTGTAATCCCAGCACTTTGGGAGGCCGAGGTGGGTGGATCACGAGGTCAGGAGATCAAGACTATCCTGGCCAACATGGTGAAACCCTGTCTCTAATAAAAATACAAAAATCAACTTGACATAGCGGCACATGCTTGTAGTCCCAGCTACTTGGGAGGCTGAGGCAGGAGAATTGCTTGAACCCCGGAGGCAGAGGTTGCAGTGAGCCGAGACCACTGCACTCCAGTCTGGCGACAGAACTAGACTTCAAGATGAATCTTGGGGGACAGAGCTATATGCTGAGCTATTATTCCCTTTCTTGAGATTTTCCTTCAAGTGCTAAAGACTTGAAGATGCTGGCTTTCTTTCAAATTAAAGAGGGCAATGCTTGTATAAGGAGTCGCTAAAAATAATAAGGAGTTTTCAAGGAGCCTCAAGGTAACAGGAGGCAAGATGAAGAAAATCGATCTCAAAGAGTCAACATTATTTCTAACTCAGCCCACCAGCACCAACTGCAAAGATATGAGTACAAGCCAGAAGGCATGCTCCTTCCAACAGCTGCAAAGCAGAGATGGTCATCAGGATGGGGAGGGCCACACAGCAGAGGCCCTTTGGCGAACATTACTTGGGACTAACAAGCACAGGAAAAAGTGGAGAACAATTTTGCAGGAGCCGAGAAGCCAAGTCTCAGCCAACAGTTTCCTTGTCCCCAGGGGGCATCTGTTTCCACAGCAACTACAACCTGGGGAGACTGCTGCCTTCAGACTGTCCCAGGAAAATATTTAGTCTGCACTATCAATTCTGGATGGCCAGAAAGAGCACTGAATACAAGATGCAAAACTCACTGGGGCTTAGGGAGGTTGAACAAATTGGTTCTGTTGTTAGAGGCAGCTGTCAGCACCAAACCTGAACTCTTCCCCTGACTCCTGCTGATTCCTGCCAGCTTCTATCACCACTGAACCTGGTGCCTCATCCCAGCAACCTCCACCTGATGACAACAATGATGATGACAAAAGTAATAATGATCATGACAGCAATGACAAAGATGATGATGACAGTAATGATGATGATGATCATGATGAAGATGATAATGAAGACAAAAGTGATGATTATAATGACAACAATGACAGGATAATGATGACAGTGATGATATGGTAATGATGAAGATGATAATGGTGACAATGATGATGATGATAGTAATGATGACAAAGATGATGACAATGATGAAGATGCTGACAATAATAATAATGACAAAGATGATGATGACAAAAGTGATAATGTTGATGACAATAAAACAGGATGATGACAGTGATGATGATAGCAATGATGATAATGATGACAATGATGATGATGATGACAATGATGATGATGTTGATGACAGTGATGATGACAAAGATGACAATGAAAAAGATGATGATGACTGTGATGATAATTATAACAATGATGACAATGACAAAGATGATGACAATGATAATGATGATGATGATAATGATGACTGATGATGACAACAGCGACAATAATGATGCTAATGATGATGACAATACTGATCATGACAACAATGACAATGATAATCATGGGAATAGCGATGATAATGACAATAGTGACAATGATAATAATGATGACAACAGTGACAATGATGTTAACAATGAGGGCAATGACAATGATGATGATGACAATGAAAATGATGATGATAATAATGATGACAAGGACAATTTTCTAATAGTGATGATGACAACAATGACCATGATGACAGCAATGACAATGACAATGATGATAATGATGATGACAATGATGATGACAATGACAATGATGATAATGATGACAACAATGACAATGATGACAATGAGAATGATTATGACAATCATGATGATAATAATGATAATGACAATGATGATGACAATGACAATGAGTATAATGATAATTATGATGACAACAATGACAATGATGACAATGACGATGATGGTGACAATGACAATGATGACAATGATGATGACAATGACAATGATGATGATGACAGTGATGAGGATGAAAGTACCAGTAATCATGACAGAACTGGACATTGATTGCTAAGTGTTTCACATGCCTTTTCTTATTTTGCTTCACAAAAGTCCTTTGAAATTGATGCTATTCTTGACCCATTTTACTGATAGAGAAACAGAAGGTGAGAGATTAAGTAACCTATCCAGAGGCACAAAGCCAGCAAGAAGGACCTGATACCCAGCTTTGTGTAACATCAAAGCCATTTCTTTCAGGAACAGTGTAGCTTAAAAGATCAAATTCTGCAACAGACTGCCTTGATTCAATCCTAGTTCAACCCTTACCAGTCATGTGACCTGCACTTAATATCTCTGTGCCTAAACATCATCATCTATAAAACAGGAATAGCAATAGTAGCTCTCCCAACTTGTTTTTTTGAGAATTAAGAGTTAATACATGTAAAACAGTGTTTTTCATAGTTGTATGTGCATATGAATTACCTGGGATCTTGTTAAAATGCTATTTCTTGCCCAGTGCAGTGGCTCACACCTGTAATCCCAGCACTTCAGGAGGTCAAGGCAGAAGAATCACTTGAGGCCAGGAGTTCAAGACCATCCTGGGTAACATATTTCTACAATAAATAAAACCACAAAAATTAGCCAGGTGTCGTGGCAGGTTCCTGTAGTCCCAGCTACTTGGAAGGTTGAGGCAGGAGGATCACTTGAGCCCAGGAGGCAGAGGTTGCGATGAGCTATGATGATGCCACTGCACTCCAGCCTGGTCAACAGAGTACAACTCTGTCTCAAAGAAAAATGCAGTTTCCAGTTTGGTAGGACTGGGTGAAGCCTGAGAGTCTGCATTTCTGATGAGCTCCCAGTTGCTGCTGGTGCTGCAGGTCTACAGACCATACTCTAGTTAGCAAAGCTGTGAATCACTTGGAATGGTGCATGACAAGCAATAGATAAGTGATCACTGTTACAAAGACTATTGTTATTTTAGCCTCCCCTAACCATATCCCTGGGCCAGACCACATGATGTTGCCTAAAGGGCTGTATCCTGGCAGCCATCTCACTTCCTGAGATCTGCTGCTGACAAGAACCTGGACGTTTGTATTTCTCTCCCTGATCTTCCTCTTCCCATCCTGCTTTCCCCTAGGGTGGACCCCTCTAATTACTGTTGGCCTTGGATGAACTGAAGTTGCTGATACTGCAAGGGATGGAAGAGACTCTGCCGGCCATCCTCTCTGGGTCTCTGGGTTCATTCTCCATCCCCTGTGCAGTTCCATCCTGTTTGCACACTTGGACCATAATAGCTGTAAAAGCCTCAAAGGCAGAAATCCAGGAAAAATATCACATCTCAAATCTCTTTTAGAAACAAGTCAATCTGAGGTGGACGGATCAAGAGGTCAGAAGTTCGAGACCAGCCTGTCCAACATGGTGCAACCCCATCTCTACTAAAAATACAAAAATTAGCCAGACATGGTGATGGGTGCCTGTAATCCCAGCTACTCAGGAGGCTGAGGCAGGAGAATTGCTTGAAACTAGAAGGCGGAGGTTGCAGTGAGCCAAGATCATGCCACTGCACTCCAGCCTGGGCAACGAGAGTGAAACTTCAGCAACAAGAGTGAAATCTCAGCCTCTCAAAGTGCTCAGATTACAAGCATGAACCACCGTGCCCAGCCAATTTTTATTTATTTATTTATTTATTTTGAGATGGAATCTTGCTCTGTTGCCCAGACTGGAGTGCAGTGGTGCTATTTCGGCTCACTGCAACCTCTGCCTCGCAGGTTCAAGTGATTCTCCTGCCTCAGCCTCCTGAGTAGCTGGGATTACAGGTGCATGGCACCGCGCCTGGTTAATTTTCGTATTTTTTTAGTAAGACAGGGTTTTGCCGTGTTGTGCTCAGCCATGACTGTGCCAATCTCATAAATTAGCAATACAAAGATGGAAAGAAGCCCCTCTACAGACACAATGCATGTGAAAGAAACAGATTCAGGCCACAATGTGGCGAATGGTTTACCCGTCTAGGTGCTGATTGCAAATAGAAAGAAATGTTGACAGGTTCCTTTCTTTGCTATACTGCTATACTGCCAGTAAGCTCAGAAAACACACATGCACACACACACATCAAATTCATTTACCTTTATAGTCAGCAAAACTTTTTTCCTTTCCTTTTTGGACGTACATTCTCTTTATATCTTTATTTTAATAACTTTAGTGTGGATTTACTCTTTTTTTTTTTGAGACGGAGTCTCACTGTCACCCAGGCTGGAGTGCAGTGGCGCAATCTCGGCTTCAAGCAATTCTCCTGCCTCAGCCTCCTGAGCAGCTGGGATTACAGGTGCCCACTACCACACCTGGCTAATTTTTTTGTATTTTTAGTAGAGATGGGGTTTCACCATGTTGGTCAGGCTGGTCTCAAACTCCTTGTGATCTGGTTGCCTTGGCCTCCCAAAGTGCTGGGATTACAGGCTTGAGCCACCGTGCCCAGCTGATTTATTCTATTTTTATACTGACACCTCACTTGTACAAAATTAGATATCATAATTTCAGCTCATGACACACTGATCATTGATCCTTACATGCTATAGCATTCCCTTCTTTTTTGTTTGTTTCTATATTAATTAATTTATTTTCAACAATGTAATACGTATCTATGAGCGCACTTCCAAACCAAAAACTAGGTCCATGACAACTTATATAGTACATTTATTCTCTACTTCAAAACATCTGCAAGAATGTATAATTTTTTTCTGAGTAAAATTAACAAGCTGTTATTCTGAACATTTTTAAATTTTCAAAATACAGGATAGCATAAAGAGAAAAATATTAACTGTAACCCGTTCCCTCATTTTCACTCACTTAATCATCAGCAGTTAATATTCTATTCTGGCATCTCTACATTTAAATATTTTTCTATAGTTTTAAGTTACAACATATGGAAATTTTCACATTCTAGTTTTCTTCTATTGGTCATTAAACATGCTACTTAAATATTTCACTTAACATTATATTTTAAATTCCTTCTTATTTTTGACAATGAACATTATATACTGTATTTGGATAATACCATAAATGATTTAGTATTTGACTTCTTGTTAGACATTTAAGCTGTGTTTTTGCAGGGGGAGGTGGGTAGGGGATATATGACAAATAACATTACCAAATAATATTTTATATGTATCATTTCATTTTTCATTCAGTTTTCTGAATATATATGTGTTTCCAGTTTGTAAGGGAACGAATGTCAGAGTCAAAGAATATTCACATTTTAAATTTGTTGTGGCACATTGCCAAATTGTTTTCCAGAAGGATCACACCAATTAGTACTGACCTTGGTAAGAAGAGTCTTCACTCTACTCTCACACTTTTTGGGCCCATCTCTGACTTTCCTGGGTCCATGACACTTCTTATGGGCCAAGATGACAGCCCACTGGGACCCCATGACCCCTGGCCTTCTAGGTCATGGTCCAAGTGCCTGGGGTCCAGGAAGTGCCTGCCTTGGGGTAGTATGGCCGCTTCCAGAGTTTCTTCATTTCTTTTCGGGGCCATCTTCTCAAGGACAGAGCTCAACTGCAATGTGCATACACCCTCTAGGCCTGTTGGTGGAGTTAGTGGACACTTCAAAAGATCTTGTGCAGTTGGGGTATCCACACCACATTCACAAAGCCCCTCATTGTGGCAGTGGATCTGGGGTTCAGAAGAGGAGCAGCAGCCCAGGAACCAGAAGCCTGGAGCCTGGGCTCTCTTTCTCCATACCATCAAGTTCTATCAGAGAATTCCTGGGAATCAAAGTTTTTATGGAGATGTATTTGTCCAGGTAGGAAGATTAAAAATATTTACGTTTGCTGGCTTTGTTTAAAACTTTTTTGTTTAAAGAGATGGGATCTTGCTATGTTGCCCAGGCTGGTCTCAAACTTCTGACCTGAAGCCATCCTCCTGTCTTGTCCTCCCAAAGAGCTGGGATTATAAGCATGAGCCACCACACCTGGCCTCTTTAGAACTTTTAGATATTTAGACATATGGTATGAGGGCCTTGGGTTGTACTCTTGTCCTTGGCCCTGGGTTGTACTCTTGTCCTTGGCCCTGAGCTTGTTGTGGGAGGAACTGATACCCATTTCCATTGTCACCAACACCTTTGAGTGTGCCTGCTCACCAACATGATAGATTATGATTATCCTTTGCTGATTTGGTGAGTGAAAAACTACCTCATGTTTGTTTCGATCTGCACTTTTAAAATATCTGGCCAATTTTTTTTTTAAACAGGATTTTGCTCTGTCACCTAGGCTGGAGTGCAGTGGCGTAATCATAGCTTACTGCAGCCTCCTGGGCTCAAGTGATCCTCCCATCTCAGCCTCCCAAGTAGCTGGGACTACAGGTACCTGCCACCACGCCGGGCTAACTGTATTTTGTAGAGATAAGGGTCTTAAACTCCTGGGCTCAAGTGATCCTCCTGCCTTGGCCTCCCAAAGTGCTGGAATTACAGGCATGAACCACCACACCTGGTCCATATTTATCTTTTGCTAATGGTTAATGTTCTTGGTTTATCTACTGGGCCTCATAATTTTTCTTACGAGTTTGTAAGGCTATCTCTGTTTTAAGGATAGAAATCCATATGCATGTAACATCAAACTCAAAGCTAGTATATGGTATGTGTGCAATCTCTACCCTCAGGAAAAACTGGCTTATGTCTAGCAGGGAAGAATATGAGGCCAGCCAGTGAGGAGTGAGTGCAATATGAGAGCTCTAGGGACCCCGTTTAATTACAGTCATCAAGTACATTACTAGCGCAATGAGAAATTCAGAACCATCCCAAATCAGGAAGATGAGCACAGCAAAGAGAAAACCAAAGAAGGGCATTTGGAGAAAGTTCTGAGAGTCCAGGCCATCCCTTGTGGCTTGATTTGCCATTTACAAATTCCTGGACTGGTAAGGACCAGATTCACATATGATCCTGCTATCAGGCATGTATTGGTAGTCAATAAATGCATGAAGAAATGCATTATTGAACCAACCCAGAGTCTAACTGACCTGAGTATCCCAGAGTCAACCCTTCCCTAAAATCATCTCCAGTCAACAAAGGGTCTGATATGGTTTAGCTCTGTCCCCACCCAAATCTCATCTTGAATTGTAATAATCCCCATGTGTCAAGGGTGGGGTCAGGTGGAGAAAACTGAATCGTGTGGGCAGTTTCCCCCATACTGTTCTCATGGTAGCAAATAAGTCTCATGAAATCTGATGGTTTTATAAATGAGAGTTCCCCTGCACATGCCTTCTTGCCTGCTGTCATGTAAGACGTCCCTTTGCTCTTTCTTCATCTTCTGCCATGATCATGAGGCCTCCCCAGCCATGTGGAACTGAGTCCATTAAACCCCTTTGCTTTGTAAATTAGCCAGTCTTGGGTATGTCTTTATTAGCAGCATGAGAATGGACTAATGCAAAGTCGATCTAATTAAACCACAAATATCCAAGTCACTACTTCAGGGTCCTTCATTTCTATTTTCTTCTTCAAACATCCAAGCAGAATCTCTGCATATCATTTGGATAGTTGGCCAGTAAATGCTTCAATTATAAGTTGAAAGAAATAAAATAAAATCATCTGGTGGAATGGTTTTAATTAGAATTTAGTGAGTTGGGCAAGCAATTAGCGCATCTAAGAATGGAGGCTACATACGCATATTTGTCTCCGTTGAGCTTCACTGATTTAAATGAGCATTTGACTCAGATTTCTCAAGTTAAACAAAGGCCATCATAATGACAATAACAAGAAGAATGTAGCCTGAGCTAATAGAAAAATTGCAAAAGCTATCACTCTTTGTCCTCCCAGCTCTCAGTGGATGGATTTTATGGCAGTACCACCGCCTCCATTTTAGCCAAGGCTTGAAATTCTCAAGATGATCAGGAATATTAATTAATTTTAAATTTTCACATAGAAAGAGGGGACAATGAAGGAAGAGGAACTATCATGTTTGAGCAATGCTGTATGCCAAGTACGCTACAAGAAATTTATGTACATCATCTCTCTACTACTTTGTACCAGCCTGTGTGGAGGCTGCCATAACAGATGCAATTAAAAAACAAACTGCCAAGTACAGTGGCTCATGCCTGAATTCCAACACTTTGGGAAGCCTAGGTGGACAGACCACTTCAGTCCAGGAGTTTGAGACCAGCCTGGGCAACATAGTGAGACCCCATCTCTACAAAAAATTGTTAAAAATTGGCCAGGTATGGTGGCCTGTTCCTGTGGTCCCAGCTACTTGGGAAGCTGAGGTAGGAGGATCGCTTGAGCCCCGGAGGTGGAAGTTGCAGTGAGCTATGGTGGTGCCACTGCACTCCAGCCTGGGGCACAGAGAGAGGAGGACCCTGTTTCCAAAACAAGCAAACTAACTAAGGTCCACAAAAGCAAAGTCATTTCTAACCTTGAATGGCCAGTAAGGGAAGAACCCTGTTTAGTTGGAACCCAAGGTTCTTGCTCTTTTTAAGAAATTTAGAATCCCAGCCGGGTGTGGTGGCTCACGTCTGTAATCCCAGCACTTTGGGAGGCCAAGGCGAGCGGATCGCCTGAGGTTGGGAGTTCGAGACCAGCCTGACCACCATGGAGAAACCCCGTCTCTAGTAAAAATACAAAAAAATTAGCCAGGTGTGGTGGCACATACTTGCAACCCCAGCTACTCTGGAGGCTGAGGTAGGAGAATCACTTGAACCCAGGAGGTGGACGTTGTGGTGAGTCGAGATCACACCATTGCACTCCAGCACCTGGGCAACAAGAGTGAAACTCCATCAAGAGAAAGAAAGAAAGAAAGAAAGAAAGAAAGAAAGAAAGAAAGAAAGAAAGAAAGGAAGGAAGGAAGGAAGGAAGGAAGGAAGGAAGGAAGGAAGGAAGGAAGGAAGGAAGGAAGGAAGGAAAGAAATTTAGAATCCCTTAAACTTAAGAGATGTATTTAATCTCCCCAAAGAGACAATCGAATTGCTCTTGGAACAGGCTGATTGTTACATCTCCAGTGTGATCTCACTTTCCAACTGAGAGGTTGAGAGCTGCAGGAGCTGAGAGCGATGCTGCTTCTTCCACAGGCCAAGAAGGTGTCACACTGTCACTTCTCAATTTTGGCTGCACAATGAAATCACTAGGGAGCTTTAAAAAAATACAGATGCCAGGCTCCCAGCCAGAGAGGTTCTGTTTTCATGGGGATGGGGCACAACCTGGAATAGGCATTTTTTTTTTTAACTTCTCAGGTTATTCTAACATGCAGCCAAGGTTAAGGACCACAGAGCCCCATGCACAGTGTGCATTGAGAGAAGGTTATGGGAGTCCCACTTAAGAGTGAAAATGTCACTTCCCTGAGCTTTGCAAGGCTGTGCCCATGATCTTTCCCTAAGCGCTATTCCAGTCCTGGACCTGGCAGAGAGTCACCAATAGCAAAGTGAAAGACCCTAGGTGGGGATCCTGGCTCTGTCTCTTACTGGCATTATGATCTTGGCCAAGTAAGTTAATCTGAATCATAGTTGTCTATCTATAAAATAAAGATAAGGGTTGGGCGCGGTGGCTCACACCTGTAATGCCAGCACTTTGGGAAGCCGAGGTGGGCAGATCACAAGGTCAGGAGATCGAGACCATCCTGGCCAACATGGTGAAACCCCGTCTCGACTAAAACTACAAAAATTAGCTGAGTATGGTGGTGCACGCCTGTAGTCCCAGCTACTCAGGAGGCTGAGGCAGGAGAATCTCTTGAACCCGGGAAGCAGAGGTTGCAGTGAGCCAAGATCACACCACTGCACTCTAGCTTGGGTGACAGAGAGAGACTCCATGTCAAAAAAAAGAAAAGAAAAAAAAGAAGATAAGGGGCTGGGCATGGTGGCTCATGCCTGTACTCCCAGAACTTTGAGAGGCTGAGGCAGGAGGGTTGCTTGAAGCCAGGAGTTCAAGACTAGCCTGGGCAACAAAGCAAGACCTTGTTTCTACAAAATAAATAACTAAATATTTTTAAAATTTAAAATAAAAGAAAAATGAATACAAGGAGAAGTACCTGACTACCATTTTGGATTAGGGTGAAGATTTAAAATAAATGCTTCCCCGCCATGCCTAGCAAATGATATTTGCCAGTAACTGATAATTACTTGCTTAAACTATGTGACCCTTGAAGGCAGAGACCATACACATTTGAACCTCTCTATACATAGCATCTGGAGTATAGTACAGGCTTAGTTTGTGCAGTAATTGACACTACTATCCCTGAATTTTCCTATACCAAGAGCTACTTCATGAATGGGATTTATGCTTTTTACCTCTTTTTTTTTTTTTTTTTTTTTTTTTTTTTTTGAGACGCAGTCTTGCTCTGTTGCTCAGGCTGGAGTGCAGTGGCATGATGTCATGATCTTGGCTCACTGCAATCTCTGCCTCCTGGGTTCAGGTGATTCCCCTGCCTCAGCCTCCCAAGTAGCTGGGACTACAGGCATGCGCCACCACGACCAGCTAATTTTTTGTATTTTAGTGGAGATGGGGTTTCACCATGTTGGCCAGGATGGTCTTGATCTCTTGACCTCGTGATCCACCCACCTCGGCCTCCCAAAGTGCTGGGATTACAGGCGTGAGCCACCACGCCCGGCCTAGTTTTTACCTTTTAAATGCACTAAGTATCATTATCTCTCACTAACACCTTGGTCCAGTGTTTTTAGTTGTTGTTGTTATTGTTAATAGATGCCCCAGAAAAGTAAAGCAAATAGGTTTTGGGATATATTGTATGCTAGAGTCTCCCTTCTGCACAGTCACAAGGCATACAATGTACTTAATCCTTTAAAAACTTTCCACAATGATACAAATCTGTTTAACACTGCCACATTCCAAAATATATTATTGCAAAGTGTATTTGATGGGACACTTCTGAGTATCTGTACTAGTCGGGGTTCCCCAGAGAGACAGAACCAATGGGATATACAGAGAGATATATCAGAGTGGATTTATTAGAGGAATTGGCTTATGTAATTAGAGAGGCTGAGAAGTTCCATGATAGACTGTCAGCAAGATCAAGACCCAGGGAAACTGGTATTGAGGCTCAGTCCACATCTGAAGCCATCAGAATCAGAGGCCTGAGAACTCGGGATGGGGGAGTATCTGTTGCAAGTCCTTGAGTCCAAAGGCTGGAGAATTTTGGGTTCCGATGCCCAAGGGCAGGAGTAGAAAGGCAGCTCAGCTCCAGAAGAGAAAAAGTCAGTTCCCCTTTCCTCTCCCGTTCTGTTTTATCCAGAACCTCAGCCAACTGGATGGTATCTGTCCAGGTTGAAGGTGGATCTTCTTTACTCAGCCGACTGATTTGAAGGCCAATCTCTTCCAGAAACACCCTCAAAGATATGCCTAGAAATAATGCCTTACCCATTATCTGCATATCCCTTAATCCAGGCAAGTTGACACCTAAAATGAACCATTGCAGTATCTAATGAAACATTTTTTGGGATTCTATCTGGGAAAACTCATCCTAATTTAAGCCTTGCAGTAAAAAAAAAAAAAAAAAAAAAAAAAAAAAAAATTGCTAGGCTGTGGGCAGTGGCTCATGCCTGTCATCCCAGAACTTCGGGAGGCCACTGTGGGCAGATTGCCTGAAGTCAAGAGTTTGAGACGAGCCTGGCCAATGTGGCGAAATCCTGTCTCTACTAAAAATACAAAAAATAGCCAGGTGTCATGGTGCACAACTGTAATCCCAGCTACTCGAGAGGCTGAGGCAGGAGAATCGCTTGAACCCAGGAGGCAGAGGTTGTGGTGAGCCGAGATCGCGCCACTGCACTCCAGCCTGGGTGACAGAGCAAGACTCCGTCTCAAGAAAAAACATTTTGTGAGAAAGAGACTAGCAAAATGACCACAAGGGCAAGATCTTCCATGGCACCTACCATTTAGGCAAGTTCGGCGAGCAGCTTTTAAGTTGAGACATTCAATTTTATCAGTTTACCCACAGGATAGCCTTTTCTGGGCAGCAGATTCACAAATACTAAAAGCAAAAGACATTATCTGCCATAGCAGAATGGAATTTTGTTAAGGTGCAAAGCTGATTTTGATTTCTGATTAAATTAATCAAGTTCTCCTAGCTTCAGAAACCTCATCTGAGAAATGAGAATACTACAGTGACTCTATGAGCTAGATCTTATTTTAGAAACTAGCAAAGCCATTGACTGGTGTTTTTCACTAAATATTTCTCACTCTCTGCCTTCTTGCCACAATGTAGGATTGTTGTGTTGTGGCTCTCTTTGGAGCAGGAAAGATAGCTCTCTTTGTTTTATTTTATTTTTTAAAATTTATTGTTGTTATTATTTGAGATGGAGTCTCATTCCGTTGCCCAGGCTGGAGAGCAATGGCTCAATCTCGGCTCACTGCAATATCCACCTCCCAGGTTCAAGCAGTTCCCCTGCCTCAGCCTCCTGAGTAGCTGGGATTAGAGGCACCCACCACCACGTCCAGCTAATTTTTTATATTTTGGTAGAGATGGGGTTTCACCATGTTGGCCAGGCTGGTCTCAGACTCTTGACCTCAGGTGATCTGCCCACCTCGACCTCCCTAAGTGCTGGGATTACAGGCATGAGCCACCACACCTGGTGATAGTTCTTTCTCAAATGACAAGCACCATTCAAGATCTAGTCCTCCTGGTCATTTCACTAGGCTCTTTCCTCTGAATATTATTTACTCCACAATTAAAGCATAGAATCATGTGACTGTTGTGTATGGAACTGAGACTATGTCACCTTTAGGTTAGGGTACTTTATTGCTACCGTGGTCTCTCCAGAGCTATCTATCTATCATAGAGCCACCGGTGACTTTGAGATGGAAAATGTTCCACTAACCTGGGGTTTGCAATAAACAGAGGTCACCTGCTAACCTGAAATAAACATGTAATGTGAGCAAGACAGAAACTTGCATTGTTAAAGTCACTGGGCTTTGCAAGTTGCCTGTTACTGCAGCACAACTTAGCTTAACCTGTCTTATTCAATAATCAAATGAGATAGCACAGAGCAAATGTCATCACAGTTCCTAGCTCCCAATAGGCGAGAAGAAGGAAATAGTCTGCACTTGTTGGCATTCTTATTATAACTGTGACGTCATGCCACAGTTTAGAATGCCAATGAATGCAGCTTACTCCCCTCTCTTCTCTGTAGACTGCCCATGGAATTCCCTAGTCCCAAGGCCTTGCCCATCCTTTATCCTTCAGGGAGGTCTGCTACTTTTTCACGCTTCATCTTGAATTTGCAGATGCTGCACAAATGTGATTCTGGGCTTTGTTTCTGATGAACTCTACTTCCTGCATGGGACAGCTTCACCCAAGTGGGATGGGACCTGGTCAAGTGCCCAGATCCTCCTAGCGTGTTGCACCTCACCCTTCTGCTGCATTTAACTACACTAAGCCTGAGAAAGATGAGCAAATTGATCAATAAATGTTATTTATTCCCTTTCTAAAGTGGGGACTGGGGCACACTCACTAGTTGACTCATATCATACATTTGAACACAGAGCACTCCATCCTGGTAAGCAAGTGCACTCAGGAAAATAAATACACAGCAGAAAGTATGTTCATGGCTTTAGGATAAAACTAGTTGGGGTAGTTGATATTTAGGAGGTTTGCTTGTTTGGGTTTTCTTTGTTCTTTCCCTCTTTTTTAATGCACAATAGACTTTGCATTAGTCTGTTTACACACTGCTATAAAGACATACCTGAGACTAGATAATTTAGAAACAAAAGAGGTTTAATTGATTCACAGTTCCTCCTGGCTGGGAGGCCTCAGGAAACTTACAATCATGGTGGAAGGGGAAGCAGGCACGTCTTACATGGTGGCAGGTAAGAGAGAGAGAGAAGAAGAAGGAACTGCTAAACACTTATAAAACCATCAGATCTTGTGAGAACTCACTCACTATCACAAGAACAGCATGGGGGAAACCGCCACCATGATCCAATCACCTGCCACCAGGTCCCTCCCTTGACACATGCAGATTACAATTCAAGAGGAGATTTGGGTGGGGACCCAGGGCCAAACTGTATCAGACTCCTAGAAAATGGTTGAGAAACGGAATTGAATTGCATACCTTGGGCATCAGTTAATCACATTGTTTTTAAGAATAAAGTAAAAAGGAACACAAGGCAGATGGCAAAGACTCCAGTTGCAGAGAGGATCCTTGACTCCTGACACTACCCTTCCGCCCCTAACCTAACCCTCCCTTTCTTCCTGTCTTCCATTTTTAAATAGCTCTGGATTTAGCACTTTGTCCCATTTTCCATACGCAGCTGCATTTTTACCTCTGACTTGGGATGGCAGCCCAGCCCTTATCTGCATGAGCTTATAAACACTAACTGAACATGTTTCTCATTAACATGCACTTGAGAGTCTCCCAGGAAGATGAGCTCAAGCTCAGCTGAGGTGGGTTTAGCAGCACTGTTGGCTCCTGTGTGCAGGCACTTGGCCTGAATGTTTTTTCTACTGGGGGGTGAAAGCAAACTTTGTTTTCTTAGCACAAAGCACAGACTGCTTCTGCAGGAGCTGAGGCTGCCAGGCCTGGTTCTCAGCCTTCCTGTCTTTCTCTCCCTGCTGGGAGCTCAGACACTCCCCTGAAGATTCAGCCCACCTGCAGTTACTTCTCTAGCATCAGGGAAGACCAAGGAGCAGAGAGGCTGCAGGCACCATGGCTTTTAGGATGTGAGTCAGGTTCTGCTTTCAAGCCCCCAACAAATGAGCTTTTGTAGAATAACCCAGCCTCACCCCGTGCCTCAGCTTCTATTCTAGAAATGGGATCTAAACCTCATTCTGTGCCCCAAACGCTGACCAAGGGGGCTTCCCAGCACCAGACATTGTGCCCTACTCTGCTCTACTTAAGCCCTCCCAGGGACCTGAACTGACATCACACATCACAGTTAAGAATGACGATCAATGCCTGTAATCCCAGCACTTTGGGAGGCCAAGGGGGCGGATCACCAGGTCAGGAGATCGAGACCATCCTAGCTAACACAGTGAAATCCTGTCTCTACTAAAAATACAAAACTTATCCAGGCATGGTGGTGGGCACCTGTAGTCCCAGCTACTCGGGAGACTGAGGCAGGAGAATGGCTTGAACCCAGGAGGCGGAGGTTGCAGTGAGCCGAGATTGCTCCACTGCACTCCAGCCTGGGCAACACAGTGAGACTCTGTCTCAAAAAATAAACGAGAATGACAATCAAGTCTGATTACTCCCCTCTCCTCTCTGTAGACTGCCATCAATTTCCCTAGTCCCAAGGCCAAGGCCTTGTCCATCCTTTGTCTTTCAGGGAAGTCTGCGGTATTTTTCATGTCTCATCTCAAATTTGCAGATGCCGCACAAATGTGATTCTGGGCTTTTTCTCATGAACTCTGCTTCCTACTTGAGTCAGCTTCACCCAAGTAGAATGGGACCTGGTCCAGTGCCCAACTCCTCCAAGGCTGCTGCGCCTCACCCCTTTGCTGTGTTTAACTACACTAAGCCTAGGAAAGATGGGCAAATTGATTTAAAGTTAAAAAGGTAAATAACAAAGAAAAATATCGTCAGCCCTTCATATTCATGGGTTTTGTATTGGTAAATTCAACTAACAAAGAATTGAAAATATTCAGAAAAAAATGGATTGTTGTGTCTGTTCTAAATATGTTCAGACTTACTTTCTTGTCATAATTCCCTAAACAGTATAGTATAACAACTATCTGCATAACATTTACACTGTATTAGGGCATTATAAGTAATCTGGGGGCTATTTAAAGTATACAGAGGGATATGTCGTGATTATATGCAAATACTGCACTATTTTATGTAAGGAAGTTGAGCATCAGTGGATTTTGGTATCTACAAAATCCACGGATTTGGTACCAATCCCTCATGGATACTGAGGGGTGATTTGATAGTGCAGAGTGTAATAGCTCGT
Organism: Homo sapiens; assembly: GCF_000001405.40. Classification (NCBI taxonomy): domain Eukaryota; kingdom Metazoa; phylum Chordata; class Mammalia; order Primates; family Hominidae; genus Homo; species Homo sapiens. The sequence continues at coordinate 68,506,416 of NC_000007.14, forward strand.
TTTTATGTGTCAACTTGGATGCCCAGATAGCTGGGAAGTGCTTCTGCTGGGGGTGTCTATGAGGGATTTTTTAGAAGGGATTAGCATTTGAATCTATAGACTGAGTAAAAATGATCCACCCTCACCAATGTAGGTGGGCATCATTCAAGACTTTGAGGCCTCAAATAGAACAAAAAATCAGAGGAAGGAGGAATTCACATTTCTCTGTTTGGGCTGGTATATCCATCTTCTTTTTCCCTCGGACTTCAGTGCTCCTGGTTTTCTGGGCTTTGGACTCAGATTGAATTATGCCAGCAACTTCCCTACTTCTCCAGCTTGTAGACAGCAGACTCTGGGACTTCCTGGGCTCTATGATTTTATGAGCCAAATCCTATTATAGATAGATATCTATTATAGATAGATAGGTAGGTAGGTAGATAGATAGATAGATAGATAGATAGATAGATAGAAGATAGATAATAGGTAGATAGATGGATGATAGATAGATAGTAGATAGATAGATGATAGATAGATAGTAGATAGATGATAGATAGATGGATGATAGTAGATAGATAGATATACAGGTAGTAGATAGACAGATAGATGATAGACAGTAGATAGATAGGTAGTAGATAGATAGATAGATAAATGATAGACAGATAGTAGATAGATAGACAGATAGATGGATAGATAGGTTGACATATGTATGCTGTTCTATTTCTCTGGAGAACACTGACTCATACACATAGATAGGGTAAAATCATAAAGACTATCCTCAAAGAAACTAAATGTAGAAAACAGTGTCTCATGGGATGATGTAATCTAAATGTCTCGTGCACTGAGATGATGCACTTTTCTCTCTTCTTCTGTCCAATGGGGCTAAGATCACCTGTCTGGTGAGGCTGTTGGAAAGGTCAGAAAAAGGCATGTAGAGCACCAACCCAGTGCCCGCTATACAAACTTGTTCTAGTGTTATTGCGGTTGCATATCCCTTAATTAAGCCATGTGTATTTCCTACTGATGCCAAAGCCACAAGAGAGACGCTCTTCACTGGAGACCCTGCTCAGACTGTCATGTGGTTCAATGATCCCACAAAGGAGGCAGAGTCCACAGAAATCCCTAGAGATATGTATCTCCTCCAAGGCCTGACCCAGCCATTCCACCTTTTCTAAACACTATTTAGCTCTAATGCCCTACAAGAGTCCAAAAAGAAATCATCTCAAATAGGATAAAGGATTCTTGAGGCAGGTCATTCTGCAAACTTTTCTTATAAAGTCAAAGCTCCTGGCAGCCAGGTGTACCCTCCGCCTTCAAATGTGATTATCTCTGGGCTTAGCCAGATGAGGATGCAAAGTGCAGAAACCTTGCACGGCATTTATATAACCCTGGTCGATTCTGCAGCAATCATTGTCTGAGTTAGCTAATGCCAGGGTACAAGGACTTCCCACTGAGATTCCATTACCTTGTAATTTTCAGCTTGTTCACTGTTGCAGTAAAGCCCCTCTGTCTTATAATTCCCCAGCATTCACATCTCATCTTCTCAAGAACTGAAGTATGTAAGATGCTTTCTGCTGGGGATTCATTGAGATAAGTTATTGAAGTCAAGCAGAGAGGCAGGCTTCCAGCACTCGGCTATTCATCTCAAAATTTATGTTCATGCTTTCTTTTGAAGGTCTAACATATCACAAACAATGTACTTTCTATATGATTAAAAATTCATAAGTTTCCTAGACAATGAAGGTGGAGGAGTGAAGAACCCTCACACTTGGGTCTCATTAGCAAGGGGAGGCTTGGAACAGCTAACTTGTTTTTGATGTAATTTTTGTGGGACTGAGATGCCACAGTCATTCACAGCCTTTCAGCAGGGAGGAGAAATGCTGTCTACACAGACTCATTAACCTGCCCCCAGAGTTGAGCTGCGTGATCTGCTAGAGGGTCCTTTTCTTTCTAGAAAATTTCTGCTCCCTCCTTTATCTTGTTCTTTGGGCTCTAAATTATGTCCCTTTTCTCCTCTCTGTATACACAGATACCGCCCTAGTGCTCAGCCTGCACACGGTCATCTCATTTGTCTCCCTGCCCATGGTGACCCCTTGCCATTCAACTCAGCTCATCATCACCCTTCTGATCACCCCAGAACAGCATTCTTAAAGCTGCCCTCTGCAGGAGGCTCCTCTCTGCCTTCCCATTGAAAAGGAGAAAATCAAATCCAAATTTCTCATGGTGGGATTGAAATACAATCATTTCTGCCTCCCTTGGAATTCATCAGCATAGGTTGTGAGAGCTGTCACTGGGGGTTTCCAGAGAGACTCTGGGAGGGGAGCAGGGTGTGTGTTGCAAGGAGCTTTGGGCTGATGTCTCTCAATCTGCTGCTCTTCTCCAGCTGGGCAGCCTCCCACCAAAAGGATGAGTTAAGGGAGTAGAGGCTCTAAAGTACAAATTAGAGGGCACTCCTCCTATTGAGAGGTGGGGGACATGCCTCACATTTTGAATCTAGGAGGGTTTTCAATTGCTTTGGATACTAGTAGACGGGAAAGTCACCTTCTGTGTCTTTTAGTGCTTCTGACTAGCTCTTAGAACTCTAAGGCTTCATATAAGGAATCTGACCACAAGGAGGCCACCATGCTATAAGGAAGCCCAAGCCATGTGAAGAGGCCATGTGTGGGTGCCCACCATGTCATAAGGAAGTTTAAGCCACACATAGAAGTCATGTGTGGGTGCTTACACATGGCCATGTGAAGAGGTCAGTTTTCTTGAGCTTACTTCATGCCATAAGGAAGCTCAAGCTATGTAGAGAGGCCACATGTGGGTGTCCACCATGCTATAAGGAAACCCAAGCCATGTGGAGAAGCCATGTGTGGGTCATGTCATAAGGAAGTTCAAGCCACGTGGAGAGGACACATGTTGGTACCCACCATGTCGTCAGGAAGCCCAAGCCACATGAAGAGGCCATGTGTAGGTGCCCACCATGCTGTAAGGAAGCCCGAGCAATGTGGAGAAGCCATGTGGGGGTGTCCACCATACTGTAAGGAAGCCCAAGCCATGTAGAGGAGCCATATGTAGGTGCTCTGGTAGACATTCTGAGAGGGGGCCGACCTCTGAGTCATTCTATAACAGACACCAGATTTGTGAGTATAGAATCCCCCAGACTGTTCCAGCCCCAGCCACTGGAGTCACTCTCAACCATGTGAAACCCCATCTGTGGTCCCAGACAGGATAGAGCAGAGACAAACCATCTTCACTGTTTCTGTCTAAATTTTCTGCCCCATGGGGAAATTTGGTCAGAAACCATCTTCACTGTTTCTGTTCAAATTTCTGCCCCACCATGCTGTAAGGAAGCCCAAGCCACGTGGAGAGGCCATGTGTGGGTGCTCACCATGCTGTAAGGTAGCCCAGGCCACGTGGAGAGGCCATGTGTGGGTGCCCAGCATGCTGTAAGGTAGCCCAGGCCACATGGAGCGGCCATGTGTGGGTGCTCACCATGCTGTAAGGTAGCCCAGGCCATGTGGAGAGGCCATGTGTGGATACTCACCATACATAAAAAAACCCAAGCCACGTGGAAAGGCCATGTGTGGGCGCTCTGGTTGACTTTCTGAGAAGAGGCCAACCTCTGAGTCATTCTACATCAGGCCCCAGATTTGTGAGTGTAGAATCCTCCAGATCTTCCCAGCCCCAGCCATCAGAGTCACCCTCAGCCATTTGAAACCTCCCATCTGTGGTCCCAGACATTATGGAGTAGAGACAAACCATCTTCACTGTTTCTCTCCAAATCTCTGCCCCATCGAGTCTGTAAACATAACAAAAGACTGTTATTTTAGGCCACTGAAATGGGAGTGGTTAGCGATGCAGTAGTAGTTAATTGGAATGGAGGGAGATGGTGAAGCTCCACCCTCCGTCATTCTCCAAGCAAGTTCTCCATGCACATTCTGGGTGCCTGAAAATGCACTGTCTTGCCCAAGGATCCAATGGGAGGAAAGCGCTGATATCTTATTGCTCAGATTATTTTATTATTTGGCAGGGCATGTGAAGCCATGAGACTCAGGGCAGACAAATTTTGAAGAGGGTTTGGGTAGAGGGAGAGGTTGTAGCACAGAGCAATTTCATAGGCAGCAGGGTTTATCTGGAGCACTGTGGTGGAGCCCCTGGAAGCTGATATTGCAGTAGAAGGGCTGGGCATGAGCTGTAGATACAGAAGGAGAAAGCAGGCAGGGAGCACACCACAGAGCCAAGGTCAATATCATCACCCTAATACACCTGACTCTGCTAGAGCCCTGAGTATAAAATATCCAGATCTTCTAGAAATTCTGATTTCAACTCAGTTCTATTCACATAACAAGTACCCAGGATCTATTACACAGGAGGCCAGGTGTAGGAAGAAGGTATACAAATGACGACGTTGCAACCTCAAGTCTGGAGAAGTTATTCTCCATCCTGGGTACATTGTCCTTCTGGAAAATCATGAAGCTATTCAGAATTATATTAAAGGTCTTTTCAGAGGCCAGGCGCTGTGGCTCAAGCCCCTAATCCCAGCACTTTGGGAAGCTGAGAAAGGAAAATCACCTGAGGTCAGGAATTCGATATCAGCCTGGCCAACATGGCGAAAACCCATCTCTAGAAAAAATAAAAATTTGCTGGGTGAGGTGATAGTGCCTGTAATCCCAGACACTTCAGAGGCTAAGGCAGGAGAATTGCTTGACCCTGGAGGTGGAGGTTGCAGTGAGCTGAGATCACTGCACTCGAGTCTGGACGACAAAGCAAAAATCCACCTAAACAACAACAAAAAAGTCTCTCCAGAAATTGCAGCCACAGGAAGGCCAATTCATATCCGGCTGCCAGTTAGTGGGGTCTCCTGCTTTGAAGGGAAGGGGTAGACTTTATTCTCCCTTTCTATCATTCTTAGACGATCGCTGATGGGCTCTGAGCATAAATGCGGTCTTCAGAAGGGAGCCTGAGCAGCACCCTGAGGCTGATCCCACCGCCTTGCCAGCTGGCTGCAAAGGAAAGCCAGGGAAAGCCTCATTAAGCCACACAAAGCCAGCCTAAGAAGCGACAAAGTGGACTGCAGCTGCCTCGCCTGTCTGCTGCAGCTGATTGCCTGTGATCTCCATCATCCTGCAGCAGGCATGCCTGCTGACACAGCCTGTTGTGTCGGAGACCTGATTACTGCAAATCCCATTTCCACCTCGCAGATTCCTCGGAAATTGCAGACGTGTCTGTCTGTGGCCAGCCTGCCTGGAAAGGTCACTGCAGCAGTGAGTGTGCCTCACTGCCATTTCTCTCATTCACACACATACAAACTGTAAATACCAAGGTCAAAAACAGTCACAGTCCTTTAAAGTGATGCTGCTGAAGGCTGGGCCCCATGCAGAGGCCGAGGAGGCTTCCTTCTCACACAGCAGTGCCTGGCACGTATCCCCAGAGATTCTAACAAAATTGATCTAGTGAGAGTCCCTGTATTGTATGGTGTGGGCTGTATTTTTCAAAGATCCCTAGTTGTGAAAATGTGTAGTATAGTTGAGAAAATATGTAGTATGGTTGAGAAATGCTACCAAGAGAAGTGGGGCTAATATTAGTTGAACACCTGCTATGTATCATATAAATTAATACAAATTTTCTCATTTCATCTGTAAAGCAATTATTAACAAGATATCCCCTTTTGTGAGAAGTAAGAAAAATACAGGTTAGAGAAGTTGACCGAAATTTGCTCATCACAAATTGGGTGATGTGTGATGAGCTAAAATGGACATTACGATGGCTAAAATTACAATGACTAAAATTTAAAAAGACTGGCGAGGACGGGCATGGTGGCTCACGCCTGTAATCCCAGCACTTTGGGAGGCTGAAGTGGACAGATCATGAGGTAGGGAGTTTGAGATGAGCCCATCTCAAACCCCATCTCTACTAAAAATGCAAAAAATTAGCCGGGCATGGTGGTTCATGCCTATAATCCTAGCTACTGGGGAGGCCGAGGCAGGAGAATTGCTTGAACCCAGGAGGCAGAGGTTGCTGGCAATACCCAATACCAAATATTGGTGAGGAAGGAAAGCAACTGGAACTTTCAGTCTTGCTGATGGGCTTGCAAAATGGTACAGTCATTCTGGAAAACATTTGGCCATTTCTTAGAGAGTTAAACATACAGTTATTATATGAACCAGACTTCCATTTCTGGGTATGGACCCAAAAGAAATGAAAACATAAGTATAAACAAAGACTGTACTTGAACATTCACAGCAGTTTTATAGCATGAAACCAACCCAAATATTCATTAACAAGTGAATGAATGAACCAATTGTGCTGTATGCATCCGGTAGAATGTGATTCAGGAACAAAAAAGAACAGAGTACTGGTGCATGCACAACGTGGGTGAATTTTAAAAACATACGTCGAGTGAAAAAACAAAGCCAGAAACAAAAAAAAAGCGAGTTTATTTACATCAAGTTCAAGAAGAGGCAGATTTGTCTATGGTGATAGAAAGAAGGTCAGGGGTTGGGTATCGAGGCGTGGGGTGATTGAGGAGGGTCACAAATTGTGGTGGTTACAAATGTTATCTATTTTTCAAAACTCATCAAACTGTATTCTTTTTATTCATTTATTTGAGACAAGGTCTTGCTCTGTTACCTAGGTTGGAGTGTAGTGGCACGATCATAGCTCACTGCAACCTGCAACTCCTGGGATCAGCAATCCTCTCGCCTCAGCCTCCTGAGTAGCTGGGACTACAGGCAAGCACCACCATGCCTAGCTGATTTTTTATTTTTTGTAGAGATGGATTCTCACTATGTGGACCAGGTTGGTTTTGAACTCCTGGCCTCAAGAAATCCCCTGTCTTGGCCTCCGAAAATGTTGGGATTACAGGCATGAGCCACTGCACCTGGCCAAAACTGTATTCTTAAGATAGGTGTATTTATTGTTTGTAAAGTGTATCTCAATAAAGTTGATTTAAAAAATAATGAGGTTTTGGGCGGGGCATGGTGGCTCATGTCTGTAATCTCAGCACTTTGGGAGGTCAAGGCGAACGGATTACCTGAGGTCAGGAGTTTGAGAGCAGCCTGGCTAACATGGTGAAACCACGTTTCTACTAAAAGTACAAAAAATTAGCCGGTGTGGTGGCACACACCTGTAATCCCAGCTACTCAGGAGGCTGAGGCAGGAGAATCGCTTGAACCCAGGAGGTGGAGGTTGCAGTGAGTTGAGATCACACCATTGCAATCCAGCTTGGGCAACAAGAGCGAAACTCTGTCTCAAAAAATTAAAATTAAAAAATATAATAAGAATGAGGTTTTTCTGCCCAAATTGATCTGATTCTGAAACTCCCATAGCTGCCACCAGAAGGCCCATGTGAGGACAGCATGTACCAGAGTAGCAGCCTACTAACAATTTCTCAGGATCTCATCAGGAGCAAACAGAAGCTGAGCTCTGGAGCAAAGGGAGAAGGGCCGCAGGTGGCCAAGGGAAACTTAGGGAAAATACCTCTGACTTCTCAATTCAAATGAGCACTCTGAAATAGTCCCCTCATCCTTGTGGCTTCTAACATCCTTTTCTTCTTGCAAGAAAGAATAAAATAGTTTCCTTCCTGGAAGTTGAACTTGTTTTGCTTTGTTTTTCCCAAACTTTAGGGTAGTATAACTGACAATAAACATTGTATATATTTAAGGTATACAATGTGACACTTTGATATACCTTACATGCAAAATGATCACCACAAGCTAATTAATTTCCATCATTTCACATTGTTACCATTTTCTTCTTTGTTTTCTTCTCTTTTCTGTGTGTGAGAACACTTAAGATCTACCCTCTTAGCAAATTTCAATTATATAACATTACCTTTTTTTTTTTTTTGAGATGGAGTCTCGCTCTGTCACCAAGGCTGGAGTGTAGTGGTGCCATCTCGGCTCACTGCAACCTCTGCCTCCCGGGTTCAAGCGATTCTCCTGCCTCAGCCTCCTGAATAGCTGGGACTATAGGCACGCACCACCACACCAGGCTAATGTTTGTATTTTTAGTAGAGACAACGTTTCACCATGTTGGTCAGGCTGGTCTCAAACTCCTGACCTTGTGATCGGCCCACCTAGGCCTCCCAAATTGCTGGGATTACAGGTGTGAGCCACCACGCCTGGCCAATATTACCATTTTTAACTACAGTCATTATGCTGTGAATTAGACCTTCAGAGTTCATCATCACACATAACCAAAACATTGTACCCTTTGACCAACACCTTTTAATTTTCCCCTTCCCCCATCCCTTGGCAACCACCATTCTACTCCCTGTTTCTATGAGGTCAACTTTTTTAGATTACACATGTAAGTGAGATGATGTTGTACCAGCCTTTTGGTGTCTGGCTTATTTCACTTGGTATAATGTTCTCCAGATTTGTTCATATTGTCACAAATGGCAGGATTTCCTTCTTTTTAAAGGATGAATAATATTCCACTGTGTAGTTATATATATAACGTAAGTGCCTGTCGATGAACAAATGGGTAAAGAATACGTGGTGATGGTGTGTGTTTGTCTGTGTGTGTGTGTGTGTGTGTGTGTGTGTGTGTGTGTGTGTGTGTATGTCCATTCATCCACCGATGAGCACTTAGGTTGATTTCATATCTTGGATATAATTTAGCAATCCCACTTCTGGATATATGTGTCCAAAAGAAACATAATCAATATCTCAAAGAGGTATCTGTACACCCACGTTCATTGCAGCATTATTTACGATAGATACTAAGATATGGAAGGTGACATAGTTTTTATCAGAGGAGGTAGAACATTTTTCAAATTAAATTCACCTGGGAAGCTTGTTAAAAATATCAAATCCTTTTTAAAAGTTTTGAGGATCTTCTGTATTGTTTTTCATAATGGCTGTATGAATGTACTGTCTCACCAATAGTTTAAATGTGTTCTCTTTTCTCCACATCCTCGCCAATACTTGCTATATTTTGTCTTTTTGAGAACAGCCATTCTTAACCGGTGTGAGGTGATAGCTCCTTGTGGTGTTGATTTGCGTTTTTCCCTGATGATTAGTGAAGTTAAGAACATCTTTTTATATGTCTGTCGGCCAGATCCAGCAATTCCACTTCCGGGTGTTTATCCAAAGGAAAAGAAGTCAGTATCTAGGAGAGATCATGTTCACGGCAGCATCATTAACAATAGCCATGAAACAGAAACAGCCAAAATGCCTGTTGATGGGTGCACGGATAAAGAAAATGTGGCAGATAGATAGATAGATGATAGATAGATAGATAGATAGATGATAGATAGATAGATAGATAGATATTATTCAATTTTAGAAAAGAAGAAAAGTCTGCTCTTTTTGACAACATAGACACGCCTGGAGGACATTATGTTAAGTGAAATAAGCCAGCCACAAAAAGACTAATACCACACGATCTTGCTTATGTGCAGAATCTAACAAAGCTGAACTCACAGAAACAGTGAGTAGAATGCTGGTTGCCAGGAGCTGGAGGGAGGGACAGTGGGGAGATGTTGGTCAAAGGATACAAAGTTTCCAGTTATAGGGAATGAATAAATTCTGGAGATCTAATGCACAGTATAAAGATACATACAGTGGAATGTATACTTGAAATTTGCTAAAAAGATGGATCTTCAGTTTCCTCACCAAAAAAAAAAAAAAGAGAAGAAAAAAAGAAAAGAAAGAAAGGTGAGGTGATGGATATGTTAATTAGCTTGTGTGGATCATTTTGCAGTGTACACATATACCAAATTGTCACATTGTACATCTTGAATGCATACAATGTTTATTTGTCAATTATACCTCAACAAAGGTGGGAAAAAATATATTAAGTCCCTGACCTCATTATCCATCAACCAAAGAGGTCCACAGAAATGATACAGGAATCTACATTTGTAAAACGTTTCCAAGAGATTTTGATAGGTTGGGGGCACTCCAATGCTACAGTTCTTCCTACCTCAGCTGCTGTTCACACAGAGATACATGGCTTCGAAGTCGTTCTCAGTTTCCTCATCAACTGCAGTTACTTTTGAGCCTGGAGTGTTTTCCATGGCCCACTTCAAAACAGGTCCTGGAAATGAGCTATCCCTCAAGTCTCTCTTTGAGCTCTCCCTGAGTCTCAGTGTATGAAAAACAGCCTCTGTGGCCAAAGGCTGAAGATCAAGATTCAGGGAACAGCCTATTTCCAGACAGAAGCACTTTTTCCCCAAGGGAAACTGCCAGGGATAATCTCTACTATGCTTTCCTTCTTAAAAAATAAAATAAAAATTACAAGCAGATTATACCAAGCAAAGTACCCTGAAATATGAAATGTAGTTTATTAGACATAAATGAAAGAAAGTGTGTTTTTAGCGCTTTCATCCATTTCTAGGAGAATCAGGTTAGTGTGTGTGAAATTACAGATGTGGAGGACTGCTATTGAAGCCCCAGTTTCAGGTTCAGGAAGTCATTTTTGGGGGAGCGCCTCATAACAATTTCTTGATTGTGCAGGGCTGTATTTTCCTCAAGGTTTTCTTCATGCAAAGCCACAGAGGGCACAAAGGAGAAGCAAGGGGAAGGAGTGGGAATATCTGAGCTCTAGGGTCCACTGACTTGACCCGCTTGTGACCTGGTACTTACTGATGTTAAAGCAAACTAAATATGGCCTAAGAAGGACTCCGTACTTCTATGTTTAAGTCCCTGTGGATGAAGTGCAACCTAACTTAATAGGTAGACAAGATTGAAAACCTAACTTAGGAGTATGAACTTGTAACAATCGCTGAGTGTTGGCCAATCCCAGCCGCCGTACTTCAACCATTCATACACTGCTGAGTGTTCAAACTGTGTTAAATAAGGCAAATGCCAGCCTGTAACCAATCCAGCTGTTTCTGTACCTCACTTCCGATTCCTGTACATCACTTTACTTTTTTGTCTGTAAATTTGTTCTAACCACAAGGCACCCCTGGAGTCTCTCTTGAGTCTGCTGTGATTCTGGGGGTTGCCTGACTGGTGAATACTTCATAGCTCCATTATGCTGCTTTAAATTTCATATGGCTGATGTTTTTCTTTTAACAGTAATAAACTTACAAACTATACTTAGAGCCTACATCCCTAAGATAGCCTCACAAGCAAAACCACTCAGGTGGCTGGCTCCAAAGGTCTAGCAGAAGGAGAGAAACCCAAACTAAATGGATCTAACCTCTAACAAGACCATTTTCCAAGGAAATATGATTCATATATATTCTGATATGTATCTCCACTGCTTTTAGGATGAAGAAAAGCGCCTTTATACGGCTCGTCTGAGCAGGCCTCTCCTCTCTAGCCTCATCTCGTAGTTTAATTCTTCTCTCTCTTTTTCTCTGGCAAATGAGCCTTTCAGCCCCTCCTGCCAGAGTACCTTTGCTCAATCTGTTCCAGGCTCCTGACACTTTCTTCTTTACCTAATTAGTGTCTACTCATCCTTTCAGACAGCAATTCAAGTATCCCTTCTTGCACGATCCTTCCCCTTATCTTTCTATGTCCAAACCTCATTAAAATGGTTCACAAGTTATGTAATTTTTTAAAACGCAATGAACATAATTGTGATCTTACTGTTGTTTGTGCGGCTATTGGATGAAGCTTTGTGATGGCAGAAACTTCAGTCATTTCTTCTTCACCACTAGAACCCCAGCATCTAGTACCTCACCTGGCACATATATGCACACACACACAAAAAAAAAATGAATGAAGGATCATCAGTGCAAATTCCTCCTCTTGCAGATGAGGAAACAGGAGCCCAGTTAGAGGAAGTTACCTGCCTTGGAGAACCCACCACAAATTAGTGATTGGCCTGAGACCGAGACTAAAGCTCTTACAGCTTTGAGCCTTCATTTCTTTCTCGACACCACCATTCCTTTCTCGACACCACCATTCCTGTACATGAAATGATGATTCAGCTGATTTTTTAAATGATGAAAGGAAGCCAAAGAAAAATCAGAGTTGTTTTTTTTTTTTTCCTTCACAAAATGGACCATTTTTGGCGATGCTCAAAGGGAAAGGACAGTGCACAAAAGAAATCATAAAAAGAAGTAAGGGTATAATAAGCAAAGTGCTTGATATGAATAATACTGAACAAAAACATTTCTGCTTATTGTTTATCTAATTTTGAATTTTAATGAATAGCAGGGAAGGTAATTACTCAATTCCAATGTTTATATAAAACTAACACATGAAACCTCACAGTTCGATATTTATGAAGTGTCAGGTTCCCTTAAATACTCAGCTTTGAAATTAGAAGGGGGAGCTATTCATTAACATTCTAAACTAGATAAATAAAGAATAGACTTGTTGTTTATTCATTAAAAAAATTAAAACTGGAAATTACACACTCATCTTTTGGGTGCCTCCATATTATTTAATTAGCCGTGAGTCAAAATGCTACCAAGAAGCAAACATCTACTCACCTAGAAAGAGACGTAACACCTATTAGCAGTTGGAATGATTTAACCAGGTTAGCAATTCAGATTCCTCTTCCATTTGTATTAAGGATCTTCATGAGATGCCTGAGGATTTACAAAGAGCACTGGCTCTAGAGTCAGATGATGCTGGGTTTGAATTACTTTTTCTTCTGGGTGACCTTTGGCAACTTGCTCAAATGTTCCAGAATCTGTTATTTTATCCATAAAATGGGATTAGACTCTTACTCGACAGTCAGGTGTGGTGGCTCATGCCTATAATTTCAACAATTTGGGAGGTCGAGCCAGAAGGATCACTTGAGCCCAGGAGTTCAAGACCAGTCTGGGCAACAAAGTGAGACCTCATCTCTACAGAACTCACCAGCTGGGCATGGTGGTGCACGCCTGTAGTTCCAGCTACAGGGGAGGCTGTGGTGGGAGGATTGCTTGAGCCCAGTGGGTCCAGGCTGCAGTGAGTAGTCATTGCAGCACTGCACTCCAGCCTGGGCAACAGAGCAAGACTTCATCTCAAACAAACAAACTATTTCCACAGGGTTTTGGGAGGCATTAATAGATCTAAAGCACAGCAACTGGCTCAGAGTAGGCATCTTATGAGTCATGACAAATGTAACATTGCTTTGGCCCCAGCTGTGGTGCAGCTATATGGAATAAGCATTTGGCTTTCTCCAAGTGGTGTTCCTGGAGCTACTGAGAAGGTCGGGGTGTTGAGAGTGATCACCCAAAAGCTTGCGGCATTTGAGGATACTAGGAAGCTCTCTACCTGAGGGGTCAGGACCAGGCTTTGCAGCAAAACACTCTAAGCACTAGGCGGGAACCACACCAGCTTCACTCATCACTATATTCCTACGGCCTAATACCAAGCACATAGTAGGTACTCATTGGTTCTGTGAATGAACAGCTGTATAACTTTCATTGCAACATTAGCACCTTTAAATACTTCCTCTGATGCCCAGGCTATCTCTCTTTGGCACAGGTCACTTATGTTTCCCAGCTTGTTCCACTTCCCCAAGTCACTGGCATGCAAAAGGAAGACATCCCAGGGACCTTGTCTACTTGGACCTTTCCCTGACAGCGCCACGCTCCCGGGTTCTGGGAGAGGGCTCTGGAAGCTTCTGTCTGGTTTTCTGGACTTCACCTCATCGCTGATTCTGTTTTCTATCCTTTCACTGTAATAAACTATACCCCACCTTGATCCAACTTCTTTTTTCTGATTTTCAGATGGGTTCGAGAGCTGACTGTCAAACAACATACACACTGCTGTTGGTCTGCTCTTTTCAGGAAGGGCAGTCCTCTTGCATATCTGCACATCTTGCATCTTTGTACATCTCTGCATTTCTTGCATCTCTGCACAGCGTCTGGGCCCTGGAAGGTCAATGTTCACCATGCCCACGTCCAGGTTTGGGATGGAGTTGCTTCAACACCCTGCCCTGCTTGTCTTCTCTCCTTTTCCTTGCTTTTCCTCTGAATTCATTGCCCTGCAACTCTGCTAGTTTCCCTAGATACCTCCTTCTCTGTGGAAGCTTTAGACCTCTCCCCTCCCTCCCATGTTGCGGTGCCCATTGGCTTTGCAGAAGTGGGAAGGGAGCAAGGGCAGATAGTCACCCTCCTAAAAGGTGACCTGCCATTCCCCTAGACCTTTGACAGAATCTACTGTTTCCTACTTGGTGAACTAAGTAGGACTGATAAATCACATGCTTCTAGGCCCTAACAGCCCCCACCCTTCCCCTGCTAATCATAGAGTCTCAATCTATTGAGGGGGGAGAGAGTAGCGATGTCTCAGTCCTGTTCAGGACACCAAGCAACAATTTGTGGAAAGGGGCAATTGTGGGGGCTTCCTACTAAGCATGTATTTTTATTCTGATGTTTTGGTATCTGGGGCCTTACTGGCCTTACTGGGAGACTTCAACCCACAGGGCAAGCCATTTTTTTTTATTTTTGTGACGGAGTCTCGCTCTGTCACCCAGGCTGGAGTGAGTGCAGTGGCACGATCTTGGCTCACTGCAAGCACCACCTCCTGGGTTCACGCCATTCTCCCACCTCAGCCTCCCGAGTAGCTGGGACTACAGGCACCCGCCACCACTCCTGGCTAATTTTTTGTATTTTTAGTAGAGACGGGGTTTCACCATGTTAGCCAGGATGATCTCGATCTCCTGTCCTGGTGATCCGCCCGTCTCGGCCTCCCAATGTGCTGGGATTGCAGGTGTGAGCCACTGCACCCGACCCTTTTTTTTTTTTTTTTTTTGATACAGACAGGGTCTCACTCTGTCTCCCAAGCTAGACTGCAGTGGCATAATCATTGCTCACTGCAGCCTCAGCCTCCTAGGCTGAAGTATACTCCCACCTCAGTCTCCCAAGTAGCTGGGACCACAGGCACAAGTCACCATATCTGGCCAGTTTTTAAAAAATTTTTTGTAGAGACAGGGTCTCACTATGTTGCCCAGGCTGATCTTGAACTCCTAGCCTCAAGCGATCCTCCTGCCTTGGCCTCCCAAAGCTCTATGATTACAGGTGTGAGCTACCTCCCTTGGCCTTCTTAGGGATAGTAAATGGTTGGTCTGCAGATGTGCCTTTCATGTGCAAACCCACCAATCCACAGCTTATACTCAACCACCTCCTCTATATGGCTCTTACCACTCCAGGCCAATACTTCCCTATCTTAATTACCACACGGCCAGGTGCCAGCCCCTACACCCCAGAGCCTGTTGAAATTATTCTAACTAGCCAATCCTAAGCCTGCCTACCCTGCTTCACCCATTGCTTCCTGCAGAAACCACAATAAAGGCTTTTGCCCACATTTTTCCCTCGCTGCCTCTGTCGCATGGCCAACCCTACTGTTTCCCTGCATTGTCCAGGGTGGCATGTCCCTCCCCTGGGGAACTGTGAGTAACAACCTAGCTTTACCATGACAGTCGTCTCCTTATCTGTTGACCCCACCATCCCTGAGTAATAATGAAACCTACATTTTAGAATAGCTACTCCCATTGTCTTTGTCTTCTGGTCCGAGCCCCAGGAAAATCTATTCTGACCTTCTTGGGAAGGGTGAACTCTCAGAAACTGATAATGTGGGCTGAATAGTGAGCTGGAGTGTAAGATATATTGCAAGGAAACAGAGTGAACGCTTTTTGGGTGGATGTGGGGGGTTCATGTGGGATGGGGTCCCTCATGTGGGGGGCTCCAGCTCACATGATTAAGGAACAACAATCTCCCTCCATAGCAATATGATAAAGCAACACCATGACTAGCTTAAGAGTGTTATGAGATAAATATTGTGGGATGTTCAATGGCACCAAGATCACCCCACATGGGCAACTTCATGGTGGAGTCAGGGTGTGGTTACAGCAACTGCAAGCTGAGGCCCCCTCGAGTACCCACCTTGGTACTGCACCAAAGCTGCAGAATGCCAATAGTGGCCACAGAGGATAGGGAATCGTTGGGACTTTGTTGGGGTAATATCAGTGAGGAATGGATGTCTCCTCCAAAGTATTTTGTTCTCATTGGATTCACTTCCAAGAGACTATTGTGATGGTCATTCATATCTCTCTCTCTCTTTTTTTTTTTTTTTTTTGAGCCAGTCTTGCTCTGTTGCCCAGGCTGGAATACAGTGACATGATCTCGGCTCACTGCAACCTCTGTCTCCTGGGTTCCAGCGATTCTTCTGCTTCAGCCTCCGGAGTAGCTGGGATTATAAGCACATGCCACCACACCTGGCTAATTTTTATATTTTTAGTAGAGATGGGGTTTCACCATGTTGTCCAGGCTGGTTTCAAACTCCTGACCTCAGGTGATCCGCCTGCCTCAGCCTCCCAAAGTTCTGGGATTATAGGTGTGAGCCACCACGCCTGGCTTCATACCTCTTGATTGTCTTTTAAATTGGTGGTGTGAATGCTGAAGGATGTATTTAAGACTATTAGAACTTAAAGACAGCTCAGATGGACCTCATGTATACTCTAAATAATTTAAACCTTCCCTTCACTTACTACCTCTCTTCAACTTCCATATGCAAACTAATCAGTCCTGTTTTCTGGGTGAAAAAACTCAGACCCAGAATGCATATATGATGAGATTAGAACCAAGGTTTCCCAAGACCTAGTTGAGTGTTTTTGGTTGATCGCCTGCTTATTTGTAACAAAGGTGCTATTATAGCTGAATTGTGTCCTCCCAAAATTTATATGTTGAAGTCCTAACCCCAATACCTCAGAATATGATGGTATATGGAGATAGGGACTTTAAAGTTAATTATGTTAAAGTGAGGTCTTTAGGGTGGGCCCTCATTCAATATAACCGGTATTCTTATAAGAATAAGGGCTGGCATGGTGACTCACACCTGGAATCCCAGCACTTTGGGAGGCCAAGGCAGGAGAATCACTTGAGGTCAGGAGTTCAATATCAGCCTGGGCAACATAGTGAGACTCCAACCCTATCTCTACGAAAAAGACAAACATTAACTAGGCGTGGTGGTGCACACCTGTAGTCCAAGCTACTTGGAAGGCTGGGGCAGGAGGATCTTGAGCCCAGGAATTTAAGACTGCAGAGAGCTATGATTGCACCACTGCATTGCAGCCTGGGTAACAGAGAAAGACCCTGTCCCTTAAATAAATAAATAAATAAACAAGAAATCTGGACACAGACACAGAGGGAAGACAATATAAAGACACAGAGAAAAGATGATCATCTACATGTCAAGTAGAGCGGCCTCAGAAGAAATGAAGAGATCAACGCTGTTGACATCTTGATCTCAGACTTCTAGCCCCCGGAATTGTGAGAAAATTAATTTCTATTAGGTAAGCCCGTCAGTTCATGGTACTTTGTTACAGAAACCCAAGCTAATGAACACAGATGCTATTCTCTCTCACCAAGGCTTGTTTTGAGAAAGGGAAGAAAGGTCTCTATAGCACAGTAGAAGGCATTTTCTTTTCTTTTTTTTTTTAAATCCAGACTGCCAATAAACATGCTTATAGCCTCAAATTAGATGTAGGTAGCAGTGGCAAGTGAAGTCAACACATCAAAGCATGGGAATGAATAGTGCATGTTTGAATTCTAGCCCACAGAAACTCTTATCTCTCCCAATACCCACATCCCTTGCCCAAAATACTACCACCATCAAAGGTGTTTTTGAAATACAGAAACCCTGAATTATCCAAAAATCCAAAACTTTAATCGACGCTGTCATGCTGTGGCTCTGTTGGCTGATCAGGTGGTTAAAAGGGTTCGCCAAAGCTTTTTAGGTACATGCAAATAAGGCTATCAGACTTGCAGAAACTGTAAGGTTCTTTCAAATGCAATATCAGGATGAAAGAAGGCTTATACCCTCACCCTTTCGGATGATTGCAAAGCTGTTGTGGAGCAAAACTCTGTGCGTGAGTCTGATTGGTTCTGTGGCATCCTCAAGCAAGGTTAAAGCCAGATGCTTTGGGATATACTTAGAAGTAAAGAATAATAGCTGGATTTCAAATCCAAGATGGTGACTCCTTCCTGGCTAGAAAATATGGACAGAGAGGAGTCCTGGCAAGCTGCCTGGCTTAGCAAGAACACAGAACTTGAAACCAGGAAATCTGGACTCCATGAATAAATCATTCATTCTCCCTAAACATCTGTTTCCCAATCTAAAAATATTAGCATCCACTCCATACTTACCACTCACACTGCTGAGAGGTTCAAATGGGAAGATCATTGTGGAAACACGTGGAGAATTCTAAGCGTCAGGCTGAGCTGGGGACATCTTACTCTTTAAACAGACATCACGCCTTCAACTGCAGGATAATCGCACTGAAGCATTTACAGTCATGCAGAGAAATTACCGACACTATCTTCCTGCGCTATTTTAGCTTTAACTTTTTATTTAAAGATAGTTGTAGACTTAGAGGACAGTTCAAGGATAGCCTTCATGCAGTGTCTTTCATTGTTAACTTTCTGCATAAGCGTTACAGGAAAGGGGCCCCGATCTAGACCCCAAGAGAGGGTTCTTTTATTATTATTATTATTAGACTTTAAGTTCTGGGGTACATGTGTGGAACGTTCAGGTTTGTTACATAGATATACAGGTGCCATGGTGGTTTGCTGCACCCATCAACCCGTCATCTACATTAGGTATTTCTCCCAATGCTATCCCTCCCCTAGCCCTCCAACCCCTGACAGGCCCCAGTGTGTGATATTCGCCTCCCTGCATCCATATGTTCTCATTGTTCACCTCCCACTTATGTGTGGTGTTTGATTTTCTGTTATTGTGTTAGTTTGCTGAGAATGATGGCTTCCAGCTTCATCCATGTCCCTGCAAAGGACACGCACTCATCCTTTTTTATGGCTGCATAGTATTCCGTTGTGTATATGTGCCACATTGTTCTTGGATCTCATGTGAGAAAAGAATTCAGGGCAAGTCCACAGAGTAAAGTGAAAGCAAGTTTATTAAGAAAGTAAAGGAATATAAGAATGGCTACTCCATAGACAGAGCAGCCCCAAGGGCTGCTGGTTGCCCATTTTTATGGTTATTTTTTGATGATATGTTAAACAAAGGATGGATTATTCATGCTTCCCCTTTTTAGATCATCTGGGTAACTTCCTGACGTTGCCATGGCATTTGTAAACTATCATGGCGCTGGTGGGAGTGTAGCTGTGAGGACAACCAGAGGTCACTCTTGTCACCATCTTGGTTTTGGTGTGTTTTAGCCAGCTTTGTTACTGTAAACTGTTTTATCAGCAAGGTCTTTATGACCTGTATCTTCTGCAGACCTCCTATCTCATCCTGTGACTTAGAATGCCTCAACAGTCTGGGAACGCAGCTCGGTAGGTCCCAGCCTCATTTTACCCAGCTCCTATTCAAGATGGAGTTGCTCTGGGTCATAGGCCTCTGGCATAACCATAGTAAAATTGTCAAAATGAAGAAATTAACATTAGGTACAATACTACTCACTAAACTACTGACTTTATTCATAGTTCCCTAGTTTTTGCATTAATTTTTTTCTCTCCTCCAGAATTCACACTACATTTACTTGTTATGTCTCCTTCATCTCCTTCAACTTGTGACAAGCATCTACTTGCCTTTCATGACTTGGACACTCAGTTATTTTGTAGACAGTTCCTCAATATAGATTTGTCTGATATATTCTTATGATTAGATTGAGGTTGTCCATTATCAGGGAAAAATATCTGTAAGGTGACGTGCTTTTCTCAGTGCATGATATCTTGGAGTATCTGATGTTACTACCTTTTATAGTAATAAGGCATTTGCAGTGACCTGGATGAGATTGGGACTATTATTCTAAGTGAAGTAACTCAGGAATGGAAAACCAAACATCCTATGTTCTCACTGATATGTGGGAGCTAAGCTATGAAGATGCAAAGGCATAAGAATGATACAATAGACTTTGGGGACTTGGGGGGAAGAGTAAGAAGGGGGTGAGGGATGAAAGACTACAAATATGATGCAGTGTATACTGCTCGGGTGATGGGCACACCAAAATCTTGCAAATCACCGCTAAAGAACTTACTCTTGTAACCAAATACCACCTGTACTCCAATAACTTATGGAGGAAGGAAGGAAGGAAGGAAGGAAGGAAGGAAGGAAGGAAGGAAGGAAGGGAGAGAGAGAGAGAGAGAGAAAGAAAGAAAGAAAGAAAGAAAGAAAGAAAGAAAGAAAGAAAGAAAGAAAGAAAGAAAGAAAGAAAGAAAGAGAAAGGAAGGAAGGAAGGGAAAGGAAAGGAAAGAAAAGGAAGGGACGGAAACAATCACATGCTTTATGTAGTACCTGCAGGTTTTCTCTACCGTAAAGTTACTATTTTTTCCTTTTAAATTCATAATATTTAGTTTTGGAGAGACACTTTCAGATTATGCAAAATATGTTTCTCCTTAAACTTTTGCCTACTGATTTTAGCCTCCTTTAGTGAATCTTGCCTGCAGCAATTATTACTGTGGTGTTCTAAGTGATTTTCTATTTCCCTTGTTCTATTTC
This sequence comes from Homo sapiens, assembly GCF_000001405.40. Classification (NCBI taxonomy): domain Eukaryota; kingdom Metazoa; phylum Chordata; class Mammalia; order Primates; family Hominidae; genus Homo; species Homo sapiens. Next base: position 68,526,731 of record NC_000007.14, read on the forward strand.
CTTCTACATTTATGGCTTGGAATTCTTTTGCAGTGAAGAGTTGTCTCTTGTTCCCTCATTTATTCATTCCATTATGTACGTATGTCAGTGTGAACTCATGGATATTTATTTTGTAGTTTGGATTTTTATCTAATGCCAGTTCTGGACACTGGGAGCTCCTTCAGCATTGGTTCTCATGCCCTTTCAACATACCCCAGTTTTGTTTGTTGTTGTTGTTGTGTATTCTTGATTGGTTACTTGGTTTTGTTTTGTATCATTTTTAGCTCTTCCTGGTTTTTTTTTTTTTTTAGACAGGGTCTCGATCTGTTACCCAGTCTGGAGTGCAGTGGCGTGATCTCAGCTCACTGCAAGCTCTGCCCCCTCCGGGTTCAAGTGATTCTCCTGCCTCAGCATCCCAAGTAGCGGGGATTATAGGTGTGCATCACCACTGCCCTGCTAATTTTTGTATTTTTAATAGATACAGGGTTTCGTCATGTTGGCCAGGCTGGTCTCGAACTCCTAACCTCAAATGATCCACCCACCTCGGGCTCCCAAAGTGCTGGGATTACAGGCGTGAGCCACCATGCCTGGCCAGCACTTCCTAACTTTCTGGTACCACAAGATGCTCTGGGGTCTTGTGCATTTTGCCTGCTTTAGCTCTCCCATCAGTCACTTCCCCCATATGCTCTACATTGGATCAAGAAACACTCAGACATTAAAAAGAAAAATCATTGGAGAGAGAAAATAAAGCAATTTATGCTGTGAAAGAAAAAATACTAGTTTAATTTATTTTCTGGGTTGCTAGCTTCCCTGACCATCACCACTTCCTCCCATACAGAAAGGGCCACATAGTCTCATTAAGAAGTTGTTACTGGGGGCCGGGCGCAGTGGCTCATGCCTGTAATCCCAACACTTTGGGAGGCCAAAGGCAGGTGGATCACCTGAGGTCAGGAGTTCAAGACCAACCTGGCCAACATGGTGAAACCCCGTCTCCACTAGAAATACAAAAATTAGCCAGGCGTGGTGGTGGGTGGCTGTAATCCCACTTACTCAGGAAGCTGAGGCAGGAGAATCACTTGAACCCAGGAGGTGGAGGTTTCAGTGAACCAAGATTGTGCCACTGCATTCCAGCCTGGTCAACAGGGTGAGACTCTGTCTCAAAAAAAAAAAAAAAAAAAAAAAAAAAAAGTAGTTACTGGGTACCTGGTATGTGGGACACCATGGGTCCACCAAGATTAGTGTCATCTGATGCTATTCTCATCACTCAAGAAGTTTTTAGTCTATGGAAGAGATGATTTTAGTAGCTATGCTCCCAATAAATAATTACCAATACCCAGTAGTAAAAATTATACTAGTCATTTATACTTAACCCCTACTTGGCCCATGGAGATCATAACTTGACTTTAGATGATGTACCCTGAGACAATGGCTTGGCACACGTAGTAGGCTGAAGGGTCGCCCCCACCAAAGATCCCCATGGATTAATCCCCAAGACCTAATAAACATGTCGCCTTACATGGCAAAAGGGAGTGCAGATGTGCTTGAGCTAAGGATCTTGAGATGCGGAGGTTCTTCTGGATGATCTTGGTGAGCCCGATGCAATCACAATGGTCCTTGTAAGGATCAGAGTCAGAGAAGGCAGTGTGGTGATGGGGACAGGGATGAAGGGCTGGGGACCAAAGAAGGTAGGCAGCTTCTTGAAGCTGGAAAAGGCAAGGAAATGGATTCTCTCTTGAGCTTCCAGATGGACTCCATCCCTGCTGACCTGTTTACCTTTCTGACCTCCAGAAGTGTAAGAGAATACATGTGTGTTGTTTTAAACCCCTGCATGTGTGATCATTTGTTATGGAAGCAGTAAGAAACTAATATACCATAGAAGTGTTAGGTTTTGAAGGGAAGGTGAGTGTTAAAGACAGAGAAAGAAAGGGGGAGGCTCTGCAGCAACACAGGCATATTGCAAAAACCTGCGGAAGCGGGGGATCAGCTTAATGCCAGAGCCCACCGCTTCTTACAGGCTGGGGTAATTTATCGGTCTGGGTGGGAGGGGTCTGGGCGGTATGGCTGGCTGCCTGGGAGGATATTGATAAGATGTCCCTATGATCAGGCAGTCTGACCCTTTTTTCTGGTGGAATGTGATAGGATGTTCCTTGAACCTTTGCCCAGTGGATATACGATAGGGATGTTCCTTCAGCTGGGCCTTTTCCCACCAGGGCATAATAAGGATGTTCCTGCGCCTTGTGGTCAGGCGGTTAGGCAGATGTTTCTCATGGCCCATACCCCTGTGGAATGTTTCACTCTGACCAGTTTGCAAAATGGCGGGGGGCTTACAAAATGGTGCAGCTTGGACTAACAATAAGCCCCATAACTGCTGAAGACTAACAAGCTGGAGTGCAGTGGCGGGATCTCGGCTCACTGCAACCTTCGCCTCCCGGGTTCAAGCAATTCTCCTGCCTCAGCCTCCCGAGCAGCTGGGACTACAGGCATGTGCCACCACGCCTGGATAATTTTTGTATTTTTAGCAGAGACAGGGTTTCGCCATGTTGCCCAGGCTGGAGGGGGAATATCCAAGTGTTTTGAAAACAGAAAGCTCTGTTCTGTTATAACATTTTGAGGTAGGAGGCGGGATTCAACTCCGGAGGCAGGGCTCAGACTCCAGACTAGACTGAAGACTAGCTGAAACAGGAAATGAGACTACCAGTGCCATGTCAGTTTACCATTGTCATGGCAACACCGGAAGTTACCACCCCCTTTCTATGGCAACCACCTAAGGACTCAGAAGTTACCACCCTATTTCTAGACATCTTTGCATAATCCTCCCCTTAATTTGTATATAATTAAAAATAAGTATGACTGCAGCCCTGCCTCTGAGCTGCTACTCTGGGCCCACTGCCTATGGGGTAGCCCTGCTCTGCAAGGACCAGGACCTCTGCTGCTGCTGTGTGTGCCCTGCTGCCTCAAAAGTTGCTGCCTAGCACTACCGGCTCCTCCTTGAATTTTTTTCTGGGCAAAGCCAAGAACTCTCCCAGGCTAAACCCCAATTTTGAGGCTCGCTTGCCCTGCATCGATTTCATTCCTAATAACTTGCCCCTTGCAACACACAGAGGGCCCTGTGCAGCATCAAAAGGGCTACCTTTAATTGAACATCAGCCAAGACTGGAAGGTAAATCATCTATTTTTCCCCCATCACCATGATGGCCTCTTTTAACCCTTCCCGGGGCAAAGAATACAAAACCCTGCATGTGGCTAAACTAACAGAGGAAGGCTTCGGAGGTCCCTTATTCTTCAACCCAGTCTCCTAACAGCCATTCAACATGTTGGCGGGGAGGGAAAAGGAAAAAAAAAAAAAAAGGTCTTTTCAACATCTTTCTACCTTTCTGATGTCCAGACTTCTGTGAAAGACCAACTTCCCTCTTCAGGTGCCTGCTGTCTCTCAGCTCTGTGTTTTCTTTTGGTTAAAGATACGTTTTTAAAAATCAGGATATATAAATTCCCCATTTCAAGCCTACAACATCACAACATTCATCACATAAGCAAATAAAAGTAAACAGATCTATGAGGACCCTCCTCCCATCCCCGAGACTAAATCTGTAGGAAAGAAATTCCTCAGGGAAGGGAACATGCCTGCCTTGGTTTTTGTCTTCCTGTTATAGAATTTCTGCTGCTTTTCTAAAGACCGCGGGCTGTTCGCTGTTAAAGATCAGATCATTGGTTGGATGTGGCTCAACTGTGTGTGCGCCATCTACACTGATACCCTTTGCCTATTTCAAAAACAGAGCATGAGAAGCTCTAATTCCCATTTGCACACCAAGAGATCAAATATGAATTCTTCCCGAGGAAATGAGAATAAAATAGGCAGCCCAGAGATGCTTCTATGCCCCAATTATATCCCATTTTCAGGTTGTGTTCTACTTCTTAAAATGATAGAAAATTGTGGAGTGCTTCTAATCTGTGCCGTTTGGATTGAATCCATCTTCCCTGAATTGTTTTAAAGTGAGCTTGTGCTAAGAAGGGCTTTCAAAACAGCCAAGTAGCGGGTCTGGTTGGTTAGAGACCTGGTCAGTTGGAAAATATTTTATTTCTCTAAAATGTCACCCAATCAAGTCAAAAGCAAAATGTATCAGGTTTGAGTTCTATGAGTTCTACAGATTTATTTTTATTTCTTTTCCACCAAGTGAGAGAGGGAACCAGCATTTATTAAATACATAAACTGTCCCACGCACTGTGTTGGTATTTTACATATTTCATCTCATTGTATTCATCACAAGTATAAGGTAGCTCTGCTCCTCCTCCTCCTTTTAATTGTAAGAAAACAAGGATGCTTTTTGTTTAAAAAACTGCTGACATCTACCTGTAATTCCAGCACTTTGGGAGGCCGAGATGGGCGGATCACGAGGTCAGGAGATAGAGACCATCCTGGCTAACACGGTGAAACCCCATCTCTACTAAAAATATAAAAAATTATCCGGGCGTGGTGGCAGGCGCCTGTAGTCCCAGCTACTTGGGAGGCTGAGGCAGGAGAATGGCTTGAACCTGGGAGGCAGAGCTTGCAGTGAGCCGAGATCGCGCCACTGCACTCCAGCCTAGGCGACAGAGTGAGACTCCGTCTCAGAAAAAAGAAAAAAGAAAAAAAAAACTGCTGACATCCTTCAGGAGAGCCAGGACTAAATCCAGATGTGATAGAGGCAACGTGGTGTGATGAAAACAACAGATATTTGGGAACCTGATTATAATCCTTGTACAACTATGTATTATCGCTATGATTCGAGCAAGTTATATAACTATATAACCTTTCTGAACTGTTTATTAATCAAATGAAGTAAAGCTTAACTTGTGCGGCCACTGTAGTGTGTGCAGATGTGTGTGTGTGTGTGTGTGTGTGTGCATCCATAGATGGCAGGCATCAGCTGCTATTCCAAATAATTAATATTATTCAATCAATAAGCAATTATTGGCCACTACTTAATTGAAAGGAATTATGTCAGGCACTGGTTTTCATGGTACAAAATGATTGCCATCTTTAATTGTGTTTTCTAACCTAAAGTGATACAATGGATTCTTCCACTGTAACCAATATTTGTAGAGAACTTCCTATGTGCAAAGATAAAGTATAGGGGCCATCGGAGATCTAAGGGTAATATTACAAAACATAAACAAAAGGATCATGGTCCCTATTTTGGTGAGGCAGATATTCCAGGGAAAACAATTGGCACATCATTTGGTGACTCTTCAAGATCAATTACAGGTAATCCTGAAGATACCGTTGGACTTTTCAAGGGGTATTCAGTACGAATGGCTTTAGGGAATCTAGCTCCAGTGTGGATGTTCCATTTGTGTTCTTTGCTAAAATTATTTTAACTAAGAACCCTCCGGTAGTTGAGGGGATATGGATTCTCAGTGTCTACTTTCCCTTAAACAATCTCCTTTCTCCCTTTTTACAAAGGTAGACAAACTCCCACTCATCTCCGTTTATTTCCTAGCACGTAACTGGACTGGGGAGGAAGAAGGGAGGGGCTCCTGGGACTTTTGAACATTGGAGAATTTGAAATATTGCTCTTGTGATTGAGGAAAATACAAGGTCTGTTACTGAAAAACAAATCCATTTGCAAGTCAGTTACTTTCTGATTCTTTGCTTTCAATTTGAGGACTCAATTGCTTTGTAAACAGGGAGATCACTAAAAATGTTTTTGATGCTATGTCTAAATGAGTATTTTGCAAATACCTGAAAAAAAAAGAGTCTCCTTGTTTCCTTCCTTCCTTTCTCTTTCTTTCCTTCCTTCCTTCTCTCTCTCTCCCTCCCTCCTTCCTTTCCTTCTCTTTTCCTTCCTTCCTTTCTCTCTTTCTCTCAATGGAGTCTAGCTGTGTAGCCCAGGCTGGAGTGCAGTGGTGCAATCTCGGCTCACTGCAACCTCTGCCTCCTGGGTTCAAGCAATTCTCCTTCCTCAGCCTCCCAAGTAGCTGGGATTACAGGCACCCGCCATCACGCCTGGCTAATTTTTGTATTTTTAGTAGAGATGGGGTTTCGCCATGTTGGCCAGGCTGGTCTCGAACTCCTGACCTCAGGTGATCCGCCCGCCTCGGCCTCCCAAAGTGCTGGGATAACAGGCATAAGCCACTGTGTCCGGCCTAATTCTGCTTTCTTTTATTCATTTAGCATGAGTTTTCTCAGTACTTACATGAATAAAACCAAAGTAGGAATAAAATTTATACCGACTCTTTTGATTTAAGGAATAAACAATATTTATTCATAGATGCATGACCTACCTGAATATTTTCCTTTCTATCTCATCAGGAGATGTAATTTCTAATAAAATTTTTATGATTAATCATAATCACAGTATGCTATACATTTGTATTGTTTGGGTAAATTGGATATAACAATTATATTGTTTATGGCTCAGTGAATATTTTTAAAAAATAAATCTTAGATCACAGAAAATGAAAAACAATTTTAAATTATGTATTGAGAAAGAGAAGAAGAGTTTCCGATGCCCTGAGACTGGCCTGCCACTTACAACGAGATCTTGGAGCTCTTAGGAGCTGGCTTGGTGTTCACAGAAAGACCTTGGGGGCCTCCTGTTAGATATCAACCATCCTGCAGAGCATCCGCATCAGCCTGGGGTCTGCTGTTCTGTGTCTGTGATGCAGTGAGAAAAAACAACAATAAACAAAGGAAAACAATTTCAGAATCGCATCTAAGCACAGATAAAAACAAAGTTATTGTGAAAACCACGAAAGCCCCAAACATCACGCTCTCCCAGCTTATAGGAGGGGCCATTGCTTCTTCGACAATTATACCTTTACCTGTGCACTCCTTCCTCCTTCCAAATAAGATTGGCTCACTTCCTGACAGCATTTAATCCAGAAGAAAGCCCTCATCATTAAGCTGTCCCCAAAATTACCTAACCCAAGTCCAAATCCAATAATAAGGGGACGTGTATTGGCTATGTCCCTACCCAAATCTCATCTTGAACTGTAGCTCCAACAATTCCCATGTGTTGTGGGAGGGACATGGTGGGAGGTGATCGAATCATGGGGGTGGGTCTTTCCCATGTTGTTTTCCTGGTAGTGAATAAGTCTCCTGAGATCTGATGGTTTTATAAGGGGTTTCTCCTTTCTCTGGGCTCTCATTCTCTCTTGCCTGGCACCGTGTAAGACATGCCTTTCTCCTTCCACCATGATTATGAGGCCTTCCCGGCCATGTGGAACTGTGCATCCATTAAACCTCTTTTTCTTTATTAATTACCATCTCGGGTATGTCTTTACCAGTGCATGAAAATAGACTATTACAGCATCTAAACTTTGTGTCCTCTCTTTGTAGAGAAAACATAATTAGACTTTTATAATGATAATTTCATGTTTTCCTGAAGCTGCCCACCTTTCATTAGTTTCTGTTCCTCTCTCTCTCGCCTTCCCTCTCTCGGGGAAAGAGGTTAATTTTTTTTTTTTAATGTTCATTTTGTGTCCGGAATTGGTGGGTTCTTGGTCTCACAGACTTCAAGAATGAAGCCGTGGACCTCGCAGTGAGTGTTACAGTTCTTAAAGGCAGTGTGTCCAGAGTTTGTTCCTTCTGATGTTAGGATGTGTTTGGAGTTTCTTCCTTCTGGTGGGTTCGTGGTCTCTCTGGCTTCAAGAGTGAAGCCACAGACCTTCGCTGTGAGTGTTACAGCTCTTAAGGCGGTGCGTCTGGAGTCGTTCATTCCTCCTGGTGGGTTCGTGGTCTCGCTGGCCTCAGGAGAGAAGCTATAAACCTTCACGGTGAGTGTTACAGCTCATAAAGGCAGTGCCAACCTCAAGAGTGAGCAGCAGCAAGATTTATTGCAAAGAGCTAAAGAACAAAGCTCCCACAGCGTGGAAGGAGACCGGCGGGGGTTGCCATTACCCAAGCCTGCTTTTATTCCCTTATCTGGCCCCACCCACATCCTGCTGATTGGTCCATTTTACAGAGAGCTGATTGGTCTGTTTTGACAGGGTGCTGATTGGTGCGTTTATAATCCCTGAGCTAGACACAAAAGTTCTCCAAGTCCCCACTAGATTAGCCAGACACAGAGCACTGATTGGTGCATTTACAAACCTTGAGCTAGACACAGGGTGCTGATTGGTGTGTTTACAAACCTTGAGCTAGACACAGAGTGCTGATTGGTGTGTTTACAATCCCTTAGCTAGACATAAAGGTTCTCTAAGTCCCCACTAGACTCAGGAGCCCAGCTGGCTTCACCCAGTGGATCCCGCACCCAGCAGCAGGTGGATCTGCCTGCCAGTCCCACGCCTTGTGCCTGCACTCTTCAGCCCTTTGGCGGTCCATGGGAAAGTGTGCCATGGAGCAGCACATGGCGCTCATGGGGGAGGCTCGCCAGCACAGGAGGCCACGGTGGTGGTGGGTGGGGGGGTGGTGGGTGGCGGGGTGGTGGGTGGCCGGGGGGGTGGTGGGCGGCGGGGGGGGTGGTGGGCGGCGGGGGGAGGTGGTGGGCGGGGGGTGGGCGGGTGGAGTCTCAGGCCTCAGGCATGGCTGGCTGCAGGTCCTGAGCCCTGCCCTGCGGGGAGCCAGCTAAGGCCCGGTGAGAAATGGAGTGCAGCGCGCCTGTGGGCCGGCACTGCTGGGGGACCCGGCGCACCCTCTGCAGCTGCTGGCGGAGGTGCTAAGCCCCTCCCTGCCAGGGCTGGCGGGGCTGGCTGGTGGCTCCGACTGTGGGGCCCTCTGAGCCCACGCCCACCCGAAACTTGTGCTGGCCCGCAAGCGCAATGCAGCAGCCCCGGTTCCCGCCCACGCCTCTCCCTCCACACCTCCTGGCAAGCTGAGGGTGCTGGCTCCGGTCTCAGCCAGCCCAGAAGGGAGCCCCCACAGTGCAGCAGCAGGCTGAAGGACTCCTCAAGCATGGCCAGAATGGGCGCCGAGGCCCAGGAGACGCGGAGAGCAAGCGAGGGCTGTCAGCACGCTGTCACCTCTCAATTTGTTATATTGGCACAGTAGAAATACCTAGTCCAGATAAATAGTCAACGATGCCTCAAAGAAAATGTTATGAAGCAGTGTTTATTTTTGCAGATGCTGACGAGTATATTGATGTAATAGCCATTGTTACTGTAGTGCCGAAGTGAGAAAAAATGGCATTAGCTCCAAGATAAAACAGAGGTTGGGGCATGATTCAGTCTTTAAAATAATTAGTTCACCCTAGAAAAATACTGACAGCACAAAATTTTATTTGTATAAATACAGAGTTTAATGGCTCATATTTAAACTTTCTAAATTGCCTACACTGCTTTTATGAAGTACTTAAGTTACCACTGTCCCCATAACTTGTTTAAAATAAAAAATTTATACATATAAAATTATAGTCACCTAAAGAAAATGATAATACTAGATTTGTCTTTAAAGGTTTACTGTTATGAAATTCTTATGCTGCTACAAATCAAAAGGATTTAACAACCAAATTATAATTTTCAGAACCATAACTAATTTTAAGACCTTAGATAAATGTTTAATTAATAAATGATCTTTGGATGCCTGGACAGTTTCTAAATAAAAATAGATTTGGAACACTAGTCAACAAACATAATTTATCTTCACTTATTAAAATGGCAATAGATTAACAAATTATACAACTGTTTTGGATATCATATATTTATATTTATGTATTCATTTAATTTTTCCTCATCAAAATAATTAAAATGGTATGTGTTCTCAGAAATAAAAGAACTAAGCAGTTCTTAGTTTTCTATAATCTAATTTTCTCTTTTGTTTGCAGAAAAGCAACCTCTGTTAGGAAACTATCCATGCCTTTTTGAGACCTGCTAGAAACTTCCTTGAATATCCCTGATTTAATTATATTTACCGATGGCTCGTACTTAAAAAGAAAACAGCTAAAAATTGCCAAAATGCTCAGCTATACAGAGTTGAATTTACCTTTGAAATTTAAGCTTCTCACAGGAATTAAATCAGTGTAGATGAATACATTAAGTAACCCTTGCCCAGACTTACCAACTCATAAACAATAAAAGAACAAATATTGATACTCTAAAGAAGCAAATAATTTAGGATTAATCTGACTTCTAAACGATTTAAAAACAAAATGATTTTCTGACCACTTACAGGAACTCCTATAAAATGGACACAGCCTGAGCTCACTCTTGTCGTGATAAATGATGCTTATATTTCCAATAGAGCCCGTGCCCCACTAAAATTCTAGTTCTTTTGTTTATCTTTTTTAAAAATAAGTATTTTAACTTTAATTTTAGGTTCAGGGGTGCATGTGCAGGTTTGTTTTATAGGTAAACTCGTGACTTGGGTGTTCTAGTTCTTAAGTTAATATCAGGCTGATGCCTGCCGGCTTTACACCAACTTATCCTGCATTTTAGGGGGTGAATATTAGAGACTACTAGCTATGCAAAACTACCACCACTCCCAGGAACCTCTAAAATGAGGCAAGTATGGAATACTCCAGAAGGGATAACTGATGCCCTCTTCATGCAAACTGAGTTGCAATTCTCACAGTGATCTGAAACTTGTCATTGACTCTAACAGATGTCATAAATAATAGAACATCTGCTCGGGAAGCCCAGTAAGCTCATTTAAGTTCATTAGCCAGAGTTGCCATGGAAAATCACTTTGCTTTTGACTTCTTCTAAGCTTGCTGCATGCACCTATGCAAATACTGCATGCACCTACGCAAATATTGCATGCACCTATACATGCAAATACTGCATGCACCTATATACATGCAAATACTGCATGCACCTATATACATGCAAATACTGCATGCACCTATACATGCAAATACTACAGAGCAGGTAAAAATACTCCAAGACTACAGGAAGAGAAAAAGGCACCTAAAACTCAAACAGGCCCAGCTGGATTCAGGGATGTAGTTTTATTGCCTGGATTTTATCATCTAGACCTCTTCCTTTGAGATCTGTTACAAGGACTAATAAACATACGGGTTTCCGGTAATTGCCTGCGTTATAGTTGGGCAATGTATCCAATCCAGAGTCTTAAATGCAACGATGTAGCAATAATCTCATTCAATCACATACAGACTAGGTTCAGAGACACTGTTCTGATCTTGAGTGGCAAAATTTCAGCAATCTGCATGTCATGAATTCGTGTCCTGTGGTCTTATGTCATCCGTCCTTGGCTAAAAGGGGAAACCAAGAGGAAGGGATCCCCTGCTGGACAAGGATAGCTAGGTCTTGGAGTCGTCACGCATTGGCAGAGAGATTAATGCCACATTCTCAACCACTAGAAAAGTTTCTGGTATACAGGCAGAGATTAATTTTTCTCCAGTTACTGCCCCATTCACTGGGTTCTCCTTCAGCACTGTAACTTTCAGATTATAACCATTTTCTGTCCTGATGTTACCGAGGCATCCCTGATGAAATAAACGCGAACGTTCCTTTGTGTTACGGTCCCTTTATCTATAGGCAAAGCTGCTTAAAAAGCCAGACAGCCCGAGATGGCACCAGAGCTTCTTGATCCCTAACCCGATACTGGGAGAAGAGAAAACGCTGCAAAACTGGTGCAAACTGGAATAGGTGACCGTTAGTTGCCTTCCAATTATTAACATATCATTATGATGCTAAAACTCTCTCCCCTGAAAAAAGATCTCCACTGTTTTGTGTACATGTGATGCAGGAAGACGTGTTTATGAATTATGCCTGTGTGTCTGGAGTCCCACCGGACACAGGCTCACATTCTTCTCTTGCCCTGAACCTAGTCCTTAAAAATCCCATGCTTTTGGCCAGGCGCGGTGGCTCATGCCTGTAATCCCAGCACTTTGGGAGGCCGAGGCGGGCGGATCACCAGAGGTCAGGAGTTCGAGACCAGGCTGACCAACATGGAGAAACCCTGTCTCTACTAAAAATACAAAAAATTAGCCAAGCGCATGGCGCATGCCTGTAATCCCAGCTACTCGGGAGGCTGAGACAGGAGAATCACTTGAACCCAGGAGGCGGAGGTGGCCGTGAGCCGAGATCGTGCCATGGCACTCCAGCCTAGCAACAGAGCAAGGCTCCATCTCAAAAAAAAAAGAAAGCATGCTTTCTATTATTTGGGGAGAAGGTGCATTTAGGGTGAGAGCTCAATTTCTCCATTCCCTGGCCAATGAATAAAACCTGATTGCCTTTTCCAATTGGATGTTCTTTCTTTGTGACCAATACAAAGTGGAGAATGAACCATTCACCAGTGACACTAATGATGTTCTCTGGAGAAGGCATTGTTGTTTTTGCCTCACTAGTTCCCTTCTTCTTTCTTTGGTGACAGCATCCTGATTTTCCTTTAAGGCATGATCTCTCTCTTACCCCTTGCGTATATGAAAGAGAAATAACGTTCTAGGATTACATGGTATCAGATATTATATCATTATCCTGGTGGAGTTGATCTCTGTCATGCTTTGTCAGTTCGGCATCTACTTTCTTTTTTTTTTTTTTTTTGAGACAGAGTCTCACTCTGTCACCAGGCTAGAGTGCAGTGGTGCAATCTCAGCTCACTGCAACCTCTGCCTCCTGGGTTCAAGCTATGCTCGTGCCTCAGCCTCCCGAGTAGCTGGGATTATAGGCGCCTGACACCACGCTCAGCTAACTTTTGTATTTTTTAGTAAAGACAAGTGCGGTGGCTCACACCTGTAATCCCAGCACTTTGGGAGGTGGGTGATCACAGCTCTGAGAAACTATTTCTCAAGGGAAGGATTTTTTTTTTTTCAGAGTCTCATTCTGTTGCCAGGCTGGAGTGTAGTGGCGCGATCTCCACTCGCTGCAGCCTCCACCTCCCAGGTTCAAGCGATTCTCCTGCCTCAGCCTCCCAAGTAGCTGGGACTACAGGCACGCACCACCACACTCGGCTAATTTTTGTATTTTTAGTAAAGACAGGGCTTCACCATGTTGGCGGGTGGATCACAAGGTCAAGGATCATTTTAAATAGTGGTTTATGGGTCTGGCACGGTGGCTCATGCCTGTAATCCTGGCACTTTGGGAGGCCGAGGCAGGCGGATCACTTGAGGTCAACATGTACTTTCCTTTATTCTGACAACAGGTTCTGATTTTTCCTGGGGAAACAAATACTCCTGTATTTAGTCACATGAATTAGTTGGAGCTGACTCCATCTCTGGCTGTAAGATTGGGCACTAGCATGAGAGAGGACCATCTGATCATTCATTCAATAAATACTACTGAGCCAGGCCAGTCATGAAATACCTCATGAAGCTAGCATTTTTCAATGCTTTTAGCTATTTTTTTAATGAATTACATTTTTTTCCCAATAAAATCTACCTACCACAATCTGTTCATTCATTTCAAAGCAAAATGTGGTAACTTCCAATTTTGGTAATACTACGTGCCAGGCACAGTCTGAAGACATAGAAATAAAGAGCAAAGATAGAAACCCCAGTTCATAGGAGGATTCAGGCAGTGTGTGTGTGTGTGTGTGTGTGTGTGTGTGTTTGTGTGTGTGTGTGTGTGTGTGTGTGTGTGTGTGTGTGTGTATTTTCCCCCTTAGAGAAGAGCCTTCCTGGAATTGGGTCCACACATAGGAAGACACAGGTGAGATTTGCAGGGAGGCAAATTATTTTGAGCACCTGATTGATTCCAACAAGTATAAACCTAGATCTACCTCTAGACTTTCTCACTTTGGGAGTCATAAATGCCCTTTTTTTTTTCCTCAAATCAATTTGTGTTGGGTTTTGTCTCTTGCAGTAAAAAGAATCCTGACTCTGCACTGAATATTGGGGATGATATAGAATTACATGCAGCAATGTCTATAAAGCAGACCATATATGCTGGCTACAGTGCTAGTACTCACTTCCACATCAGCACAAATCCAAGGAAATTAAATGAAAACTGTTCTCACTGAATATGATCAGGAGGAAGCAGGAACAGAACCACCTTTTGAATTTCAACTAAACACCTCCAAACACTGCCAGTCCCACCATTTTATAAAAGGACAAGAGAGACCTCAATTACCTCCAACATAGAACACAGAATTGGGGGTATGAGTCTCTTAAAATAGAGATGCCTTCTTTTATTGCAAAAAGCTGGCTAGTCAATTATGTTGCAGAGCAATTAAGTGGTTTCATGCCTAAAGAGGGGTCAACATGCCTACGAATATGAGTAAGATGCTTTAAAATACTTGCCAAGGATATTAATATGTATCTTGAAGACAATCGTTTATACATTGGATGCAGCAAATGGAAATGGACTAAACATTTTATCCACACACTCAATTATTTATCAACCCACCTTCTCTTTTTTTAACTTTTATTTTAAGTTCAAGGGTACAAGTGCAGGTTTGTTACATTGGTAAACTTGTGTCATAAGGGTTTGTCATAAAGATTATTCCATCACCCAGGTATTAAGCCTAGTACTCATTAGTTATTTTTCCTGATCCCCTCCTTCCTCCTACCCTCCACCCTCCACCCTCCAAAAGTCCCCAGTGTGACTTGTTCCCCTCTATTTATCCATGTGTTCTCATCAGAACGGGCAGTATTTGGTTTTCTCTTCCTGCATTAGTTTGCTAAACATAATGGCCTCCAGTTCAATCTGTGTTCTTGTAAAGGACATAATCCTGTTCTTTTTTATGGCTGCATAGTATTCCATGGTGTACATGTACCTCATTTTCTTCATCCAGTCTATCATTGATGGGCACTTAGGTTGATCCCATGTCTTTGCTATTGTGAACAGTGCTGCAATGAACATATATGTGCATGTGTCTTTATAATAGAATGATTTATATTCCTTCGGGTATATACTCAGTAATGGGATTTCTGGGTTGAATGGTATTTCTTTCTTTAGGTCTTTGAGGAAAGATCACACTGTCTTCCACAATGGCTGAAATAACTTATGCTCCCACCAACTGTGTAAGCATCCCTTTTTCTGCACAACCTCACCAGCATTTGTTATTTTTTGACTTTTTATTAATAGCCATTCTGACTGGTGTGAGATGGAATCTCACTGTGGTTTTGATTTGCATTTCTTTAATGATCAGTGATGCTGAGCTTTTTTTTCCATATGATTGCTGGATGCATGTAAGACTTCTTTTGAAAAGTGTCTGTTCATGTCCTTTGCCCACTTTTTTATAACCCACCTTTTTTTTAGGCTTTAGAACATCTTAGTAGACATCAGGTAAGAAGGGAAATTCATGAGGATATGCATAAACTGCAGTTATGCTTGGAATTCTCTTGCTAAAGTTATTTGTGGAGATAGTCCTTGAATCTTAAGTACTTACTTAATTAAAATATTCACAGCTACCATAAGAATTAATATTATTTCTCAGAATCACTCCTGGGAAATACATTCTCAACAAAAAGTTGCATTTTGGTAACCCAATATCAATAGACCACAAAGAAACACAATTTAGATATTTATCCAGTTCTTGTCTCTCTCTCTATTAAATAGAAGTACTTCATATTAGAGAGAACCACACCATCACATTCACAGTAGACAAAAATGGATGTCTATGGTCTCTGTTCTCTTTTGCCAAGGTAAATTTAGCTGTAGCTAAATTTATTTGAATCCAGGCCATGCAGTTAACATGATATCTACACCCAGACTGGATAATCAACCATGACTGTTCACATGAAATCCTGGATAAAGGGGACATTAAAACATGTTAGCAATGAAGAATGCAACAGTGAATTCTAAATGACAATTCAACAGTAAATTCTGAAGGACAAAGAGATCTAAAAGGAATAGATGGTGGGGAGGGGACAGGAGCTATGAAAAAAATGGAGAATGGATGAGGCAGTGATTTGGAGCTGCCCTGCAAACATGAATGAGAAATTGCTCAGAAAAAGGCACACCTGAAAGCGTGGGAAGACTAAAGCTTCTCGTAGGTGTAATTATAAACATGCTAAAATGCAAGGTTAGGTATCAGTGAGCTGGTCATCATACCTCATCACAAAGAAAAATGAGTTTTGCCATGTTGCCTTCCCAGTGCTCAGCAAAGGATGGCTGTAGTGACACCTTTCATGGTCCATGCGGGCCCCCATAATTAAAAGGTTGAATTAGTCATGTAAACAAATTATCTCACACAAAGGGGTTTACAAATGCTGGCTAATTAGTTTAAATTCCCCAAAGCTTTCCACTGTTTTTAATTCAATAACACAGTGTAAATTCTCCAGTTAGAAAAAGTCTAATAGGAATTGGCAGAAAACTAAATAATTGATATTGTCAGCAATTGCAGCAAGCAAGTACTCCAGTGTTATTGTTTGCCAGTGATTTCCAGAGAGGATAAAGCATGAAGTTTAATGAATTAACAATATAAGCCGTAGACAGCTGGTACTCAACAGCCTCTCCATAGGCTCAGCCTCTGGCTGAGAAAAATTCTAAAGTAGATATAAATAGACATACCTCTGACTTGGATTATAACAATGTATATCATAGCAACCAGAGCTTTAATGAACGGCTTGGAAATGGTAATGAGCTAGCTGTGTGACATCAGCAAATTACTTGCCATTTCTGAGCCTAGCTTTTCGTGATCAGTACAAACAAGTGTCCTGAACTAAATTAACAGTAACAACTCTAGAACCTCCAGATTCTTAGGAGTTACAGATGGCAAGAGGAAGAAGCTACCGTTACTTTCTGTGTTTCAAAAGTATCACGAACACTGCATATTTACCCATCATGAAAAAGAGTAGGCAAGTTCTTTAAATATAGCTTGATCAGCTCAGCTTTTCTTTAGGATTTAGAACATCTTACTGGATATCAGGTATGGAAGAAAATTCTATGAGGATATGCATGAACTGCAGTTAGGCTTGGAATTCTCTTGCTAAAGTTATTTGTGAAGACAGTCCATAAATCTTAACTAAGTACCCAGTTAATTAAAATATGTACAGCTTGTCCAGGCACAGTGGCTCACGCCTCTAATTTCAGTGCTTTAGGAGGCCGTTTGAGACTAGCCTGGGGAATATAATGAGACCTCATCTCTACAGAAAATAAAAGAATTAACCGGGTATGGGTGCAAGCACCTGTAATCCCAGATACTTGGGAGGCTGACGGGGAGGAGGATAGCTTGGGCCCGGGAGTTCGAAGCTGCAGTGAGCCGTGCTCATGCCACTGCACTCCAGCCTGGGCAACAGAGCATGACTAAAGAATAAACAAAAAAACAAAATGTACAGCTATCACAAGAATTAATATTAATTTTCAGAATCACCCTCAGTGTACCTGACCCCCCAAGCATCTCTGGTCCTGTGTCAGGAAGGATGAAGTTACAGAATGATACAGCAGTATTACTGGGGCATCGGTTTTACCTACAATTTAAATACGCACTTGCTAGTATTCATTCTAAAGTAATAAGCAAAGCATGCTTTAAGAATTCACATACAGCCGGGCGCGGTGGCTCACGTCTGTAATCCCAGCACCTTGGAAGGCCGAGGCGGGCAGATCACGAGGTCAGGAGATCGAGACCATCCTGGCTAACACGGTGAACCCCCGTCTCTACTAAAAATACAAAAAATTAGCTGGGCGTGGTGGCGGGTGCCTGTAGTCCCAGCTACTTGGGAGGCTGAGGCAGGAGAATGGTGTGAACCCAGGAGGTGGAGCTTGCAGTGAGCCAAGATGGGGCCACTGCACTCCAGCCTGGGCAACAGAGCGAGACTCTGTCTCAAAAAAAAAAAAAAAAAAAAAAAAAAAAGAATTCACATATAACTAAAAGGTTTGGGTAAAAATCAGCACATTTCTGCCCAACGTTGCTCCTGTTCCACTCCATGGAAGCAACCATTTTCAACGCTTTTAGCTATCTTTTCATTAATTACATTTTTTTCTAAATAAGATATATGTACCACTGCCTGTTCATTTCTCTCTTGAACCCCTCAAATATTTCATCTCCTGAATTAATTCTCTCATTTTCTTATTTTTTTCCTATTTTCCATCTTTTTATCTTTTTTTTTCTCTTTTCTGGAATTCTCTATATTGCATTGTTCAACTCTTTTTTTTAAATGAATGTTGAAATCTGATTATATTTTTCATTTCTAAGAGCTTATTCTTCATTCTTTATTTTTTTCTTTTCAGAACATCCTTGTATAGGTTCAAGTATATTGTGTCTTGCCACCTCATTGATGATATAAGGTATAGTCTTTTTAGACTCTTCTTTGGCTCTGTAATTTTTTTTCTGTTTCTTTTTTTTTTTTTTTCCAGCTTGCTCTTTTGGTTATAGGAAACTTTCCCTAAAAGCCCGTCAATCCTTGACCATCTGTTCTAATTAAATGATGAGAACCTGAATAGCAGATTCAAGTTCTGAGTGCATGGACAAGGTTTTTCAACTGATTGACTTTACTATTGACAGGCAGCTGAACTTTTTGCTAGAAACCTTCACGTCCACCCCCATAATGGAATTTGTATGTCTTTTCTCCGAGGTAATTTAATTTATCTGGAGAAAGAACTCTAATTCTGCCGTTTGGGGGGTTATATGCCTGACTGCAAGCATCCTCAAGACAGTTGAGAGAAAATGATTGGATTTATTTGGAGAGGTTTTACTTAATTCTCCAGATGCCCTCCTTTGTAACAGATGCTTCCAATCCTCAAGCATCTCTAGTTTAATTGCTCCAGAGAAGATGGTTCTCCTGTCTTGCGGTGGCGAGTGGAGGGGAGCGGGGGGAGTTGTGGAGTATGTGTCCCTCCTAGAACACTGGGGAGCTCTAGAGGCCCCTGGTGATTTTAAATTCCAAGTCTTTATGGGGTTCATCAGAAAGAATACCTGCTTTTAGCCACACGCAGTGGCTCATGCCTGTAATCCCAGCACTTTGGGAGGCTGAGATGGGCGGATCACCTGAGGTCAGGAGTTAGAGACCAGCCTGGCCAACATGGTGAAACCCCATCTCTACTAAAAATTCAAAAATTAGCCAGGCATTGTGACACGCACCTGTAGTCCCAGCTACTCGGGAGGCTGAGGCAGGAGAGTCGCTTGAACTCAGGAGGCAGAGGTTGCAGTGAGCTGAGATCACACCACAGCACTACAGCCTGGGCAACAGAGTGAGACACTGTCTCCAAAGAGAAGAAAAAAAAAAAGAAAGAATAATTGCTTTTATAGGTATCTCCCTCTTTTTAACCTCCCCCTCCTCCTCCTCCCCCTCCCCCTCCTTCTCTCCCTCCTTCTCCTTCTCCTCCTTCTCCTTCTCCTTCTCCTTCTTCTTCTTCCTCATAGACAGGGTCTCACTCTGTTGTCCAGGCTGGTCTCAAACACTACTGAGCTCAAGCCATCCTCCCCACTCGGCCTCCTAAAGTACCAGCTGGTGTCTCCCTCTTGATTCTCATAAATGTTTCCTTCTGCAGGAACATACGTTTAACTTCCCTCCACCTGATAATCACCCTTACTCTCTCCACTTTCCCATCTTTATATATGTTGACCATTGAATTTATATGTCTTTTTGCCCCGTCTAGCATTTATATACACAACAAATTGTGTAGAGACACACTTATTTAGGCATTTGGCCAAGATATTGGTTAAATGGATGAAACAAGACTGTGATATTTGAGATGAGAAAGGAAATTTAAGTTTGGAGACATTTTGCAAAGATGTGTGTCCATAAATCTGAACAGATTTGGGAGCACTGTGTAATTATTAAATCCTATCGAAATATTGTGAAAAGAAATATTACTTTGGAATTTCTTCTATTGTATCGCTTTTCTCTGTCAGAGCAAAATTTAAAAGAGAGAGGACTTGCTATTAAATCTGTAAGCACTGCGATGACATTAGACATTATCTAAATGTATATGAAAGGGATATAGATGATTTATGCTTATTTGAATCTTCTCTCCTTTTTTCTTGATTTTTTTTTCTTTCTTGGTCTAGTTAGTGATCTATCAATTTTGTTTATCTTTTCAAAGATCCAACTTTTCATTTCATTAATCCTTTATATTGTTTTTGGGGGGGTTCTCAATCACATTTAGTTCTGTTCTGATCTTTTGTGTGTGTATATGTTTCTTTTTTTTTTCTACTACCTTTGGGTTTGGTTCTTGTTTTTATAATTCCTTGAGGTGCTATGTTAGGTTGTTGATTTAAGATCTTTCTTTCTTTCTTTTTTTTTTTTTTTTTGAGATGGAATTTCACTCTTGTTGCCCAGGCTGGAGTGCAACAGTGCAATCTCAGCTTACTGAAATCTCCACTGCCTGGGTTCAAGTGATTCTCTTGCCTCAGCCTCCCAGGTAGCTGGGATTACAGGCATGCACTACTGCGCCCAGCTAATTTTGTATTTTTAGCAGAGATGGGATTTCACCATGCTGATCAGGCTGGTCTCGAACTCCTGACCTCAAGTGATCCACCCGCCTCAGCCTCCCAAAGCGCTGGGATTACAGGCGTGAGCCACCACACCCAGCCCTTTCTATCTTTTTGATGTAGGATTTTATGCAGTTCACTGGGTCTGTTTTCTTTGTCTTTAAAACAATGCTTGGACCATCATTAAGGATGCCTTCATCCGTAGACTAGGCTTATAGAAACAAGACAGAAAAGAGCTACCATCGGTTGGTGGATCCACAGAATAGAAACAAGCGCAATCAACAACCAGGTGCTAATAATCAATTTGATTTGTTTGAATTCAATCAGTGGTTTTGCAGATAGCAGGCAGATTGACAGAGCTAAATTATTCCACCCCGGCTCTCTCTCCAAAGCCTTTTCGTGCGTTGACTCAGGCAGGAAATAGCATGTCTCTGTTTCATAGGGCAAAAATTTAAGAAGAAAGAGTTAAAGGAAGCCTCAATGTTTAAACACTCATTTTAGCTTAAATGTCTAATTAAGATTGTGGTGTCTTGATGACTTAACAGATCCAAAAGCGGCATTTTCTTGCCGCAACTGATCACAGTTCAAGGCCTGCGAGCCAAGCATGAAGTTTTGTTAATGAGAAATATAAGCTTATAGTCAGGCCTCTGGATAGTGCCATTAAGATGTACCTAATCATGTTCTTTAAGCAGAATTGGATAATCACAATGAACTGACTTTTTACCCAGGCTATGAGCTTTTCCATTTGATAGATTTGTTCATAAGCGATTTAACTCCAAGTTAATTGATACAAACCATCACTGTCAACAAACTTTACAATAAAACATAAACTCTAAGCATTAAATATTTTTCCTTTGCAACTGACTCTTTACGAATTTTAGAGTTTTTTTGTTTGTTTGTTTTTCCCCATTCTGTCGCAGATGTTTATTGCCTCTGGAGCGCTAAATGTATAATCGTCCTGTGAAAGGTGGCTCTGGCCGTTCTAGGTAGAGTGACTTTGCTTCTCACTCTTCCTTCCAGCCTATTCTGACTTCGATGGGAGACTTCACCCAGCCCCGCCTTCCCTAGATAAACAATGTGCTCGTGTTATAAGTAAGACATACACAATTGCGAAATTAGAGAGGGCATCGCCAGCCACAGATGACAGTGACATATGAGAGAAACCAGACCAGTTAATCAGGAAGAAAGAAGATATAGATTACCAGGTCTATAGTCTATGGACTCTCAATCCCTCACCAGGACACATGCCTTCAGGAGTCTGACGTACTTAACCCAGGTACAATATGAGAGTTCAGATATGGGAATGTAGCAGGATAGGAAGGGCAATAATTTGGGTTTTCCCTTCAAGAATCACTGGCTTGGATTGCATTAAAAATGTTCTGTAATTTAGAAGGTATTTTTTGACACCTAATAAGCAAACTAGGATAGTATGATCTATAATGAGATAGGTATTAGAAATATAAGTATCTGCAATATTGATTATCAATCAAAATTGTGTAATTATTTGTGGATGGCATGTATTACATTTACCTATAGAGCATATTTTACTCCATAAAAAAGGGTAAAGTTTTGTGTAAGGCCTCTTTCCTAACCAAACTGTGGTTTTATTGATCAGTTCTGCAAGCGTTTATCAAAAATTTATTCTATGGCAGTCGCTGTGTGCAGACTGAAAATGTAAAGAGGTAGCCAGATGCGCTGGCTCATGCCTATAACCCCAGCATTTTGGGAGGCCAAGGAAGGCAGATCACCTGAAGTCAGGAG
The DNA here is from genome assembly GCF_000001405.40 of Homo sapiens. NCBI lineage: Eukaryota > Metazoa > Chordata > Mammalia > Primates > Hominidae > Homo > Homo sapiens. The sequence goes on from NC_000007.14 coordinate 68,548,662, forward strand.
TTCGAGACCAGCCTGGCCAACATGGCAAAACCCTATCTCTACTAAAAATACTAAAATTAGCTGGGTGTCATGGTGCATGCCTGTAGTCCCAGCTACTCGAGGGGCTGAGGCAGGAGAATCGCTTGAACCAGGGAGGTGGAGGTTGCAGTGAGCTGAGATTGGGCTTTCTTCCAAGGAATCTAAAGTTCCAGCCCCTGGAAACCTTATACTTACCTGGACCTATTTATGTCCTCTGTATTGATTTCTTCTGATTCCCATTCATTAGAGCATCATTTAAATGAGTTCTACTCCTTGGTAAATGTTATTAGTTTGGTGCAAAAGTAATAGCAGTTTTTCTGCCATTGAAAGTAATAACAAAACTGCAATTTTTTTTTTTTTTTTTTTTTTTTGGAGACGGAGTCTTGCTCTGTCGCCCAGGCTGGAGTGCAGTGGCGCGATCTTGGCTCACTGCCAGCTCCACCTCCCAGGTTCATGCCATTCTCCTGCCTCAGCCTCCCGAGTAGCTGGGACTACAGGCGCCCGCCACCACGCCTGGCTAATTTTTTGTATTTTTAGTAGAGGTGGGTTTCACCATGTTAGCCAGGATGGTCTCCATCTCCTGACCTCATGATCTGCCCACCTTGGCCTCCCAAAGTGCTAGGATTACAGGCGTGAGCCACCGTGCCCGGCCCAAAACTGCACTTTCTTTTGCACCGACCTAATAGTAAAGTTGCTTATCGTTCTAGCCCAGGCATCTCTGAGGTGGGGTGGGTGCTTTCCACCCTAGGGCATACAAGACAGTCCACTGGGATGTGCTAATAAAATATTAAACCTTTTACTTATCCTTATGTTTATTTTTAGCTCATCCTTTCTTAATCTATTTTGTGTGTGTATGGAAACGTACATGGATATTAATACAATAAGATATGTGTATGTATGATACATACCCAATATTTTGGAAGGGGATTACAATCTGAGGGATTTGTAAATGACTGTGATAGCTTAAAAATATGTAGCTTCACAGCTTTTGCATATTCATTCATTCATATATGCAATCCAATCTTTCATTGATTCATTCACTCTAGACATGCATCTCTGGTGTCTTGTATGTAGTCTTCATTTGCTGGGTGCTAAGGTTACATAGATAAACTGAGCACTCTATTAGCCCTTGAATCATCATCTGGTGGAAGAGGCAGAAAATCAAACAAATAAATACAGTGAAAAATGATAAGTGCTAACACCAGTGCTAGTACCAAGAGTTGATACCTGGTGCTCTACGACCAAAGAGGAAGGAACAATTAATGCAGAATTAATGCAACCTCAGGAAAGCATCAATTGCAGTGACATCTTGGGGATGAGGTCCTTTCAAGCAGAAGGAGTGGTATAAAGGCATACATGCATGACAGCACATGACATGGTGGGGTAACAACACAACAGCACAAATGGTTTAAAGTGTGTAAATTACAAAGCACCTGAATGGAATAAGATAAGGTAGAAATGGCAGGTGATACATGGTAGAAGCTGGAAGCTGGCCTGCATCACCTGAATCCAAGTATACAAATTTGAGTTTGCATCTCACCTCCTAGGACCCTGCTCCTTATAATGTGACCTACGGGTCAGCACCATCATCATCATCCAGAGATTGTCAGAAACACAGAATCTCAGTGCACACACACACACAGGTACAGGCACGCACATGTGGATCTACATTGTAACAAGCACCAAAATCAAAATCAGCACTTTCATGAGCTCTCCAGGTAATTGATGTTCACATTAAGTTTGAGAAGTGAACTGCATGTATCGTAAATAAAAATCACGAGCTTAAGAATGAACGTATTTGGGCTTAAATCTGGCAGCATCAGCTGTGTGATCTTTGGCAAGTTTCTTAACCTCTTTGTACCATAGTTTCCTCATTTATAAAATCATTCTAATAGAATATTCACCGTGGGCTAGGTGTGGTGGCTCATGACTGTAATCCCAGAACTTTGGGAGGCTGGGGCGGGTGGATCACTTAAAGCCAGGAGGTCAAGACCAGCCTGGGCAATATAGTGAGACCATGTCTTTACAAAAAGAGTTAAAAATTAGCCAGGTGTGTTGGTACAAGCCTGTGATCCCAGCTACTCCTTAGGAAGCTAAGGCAGGACGATCACTGGAGCCCAGGAGTTCAACACTGCAGTGAGTTATAATTACATCACTCACTGCTGCACTCCAGCCTGGGCAATAGAGTGAGACCCCATCTCTACAAACAAAAACAAAAACAAAAAGAATATTCACTGTAGTAAAGATTAAATGAAAAATTATATAAAACAAGCCAGGCACAGTGGCTCATGCCTGTAATCTTAGCACTTAGGGAGGCCAAGGTGGGCAGATCACCTGAGGTCAGAAGTTCGAGACCAACCTGGCCAACATGGTGAAACCCTGTCTCTACTAAAAATACAAAAATTAGCCGGGCATGGTGGCACATGCCTGTAATGCCAGCTACTCAGGAGTCTGAGGCAGGAGAATCTCTTGAACCCGGGAAGCAGAGGTTGCAGTGAGCCGAGATCGCACCATTGCACTCCAGCCTGGGTGAAAAGAGTGAGACTCTGTCGCAAAAATAATAATAATAATAATAATAATAATAATTCTTGGTATAGTACCTGGTTTGTAGTAAATGATCAGTGAGTGTTAAATATGACTTTGTTTATTGCTCAACTATAAAGAGACCTCTAGTTTTTGTGCTTGATAGATATCTACCATTTTCTGCCTATTCAAAGAGCAAAGAAGTAAATCTCCTGAACGTAATAAATAATTAAGCTAATGCTGACTACCATCCAGTCCACTTTCAGAGAATGTATTATTAATGACTAAAAGCCTTTTGCAATTTTTGAGCACCTGCGGTGAGATGTTTGGTTGGGCATTTTACAAACATCTTGATCTTTACAAAGGAAATATTATTATCCCCATTTTCCTGGTGAGGAAATTGAGTTTCTAGAGAGAAAATAAACTGTCCACAGTCATGCAGACATAAACAGGAGACCTGGGATTCTACCAGATGTGTCTCACTCCGAAGCCCATAATCTTTCACAGCTGATCAGCTTTAGAAAAGAAAAGTACTCCCACCCACCCCCCCCCCAAAAAAATCTAGTAGCGGCTGGGTGCGGTGGCTTATGCCTGTAATCCCAGCACTTTGGGAGGCCGAGGTGGGTGGATCATGAGGTCAGGAGATCGAGACCATCCTGGCTAACATGATGAAACCCTGTCTCTAGTAAAAATGCAATAAATTAGCCGGGCATGGTGGCACGCGCCTGTAGTCTCAGCTACTCAGGAGGCTGAGGCAGGAGAATTGCTTGAACCTGGAAGGCGGAGGTTGCAGTGAGCCAAGATCCACTGCACTCCAGCCTGGGTGACAGAGCGAGACTCCGTCTCAAAAAAAAAAAAAAAAAAAAGAATAAATAAAGAAAAAGAAAGCAAGTCTAGTGGCTAATGACTTGTGCTGTCATCAGAGAACATATTTTTAAATATTTGACCTTAAAAAATAATTTGAAACTTACAGACGTTAAAAACTGTAGAGTGAATGCCTGAATCCTGAATACCCTTCACTGAGATTCACCAATTCTTTTTTTCTTTTCTTTTCTTTCTTTTTTTTTTTGAGATGGAGTCTCACTCTGTTGCCCCAGCTGGAGTGCAGTGGCACGATCTCGGTTCACTGCAGCCTCCAGCTCCTGGGTTCATGTGATTCTCCTGCCTCAGCCTCCTAAGTAGCTGGCATTACAGGCGTGCACCACCATGCCCAGCTAATTTTTGTATTTTTAGTAGAGACGGGGTTTCACCATGTTGGCCAACCTGGTCTCAAACTCCTGACTTCAAGTGATCCTCGCCTTGTCCTCCCAAAGTGCTGGGATTACAGACAGGCCTGAGCAACCATGCTTGACCTGAGATTCACCAGTTCTTAACTCTTTGCCACATTTGTTTTACCTCTCTCTCTCTCAAAAATTGTTTGTAGACGTCATGTTCTTTTACTCCTATATATAATAGTCAGAATTTCTTAAGAACAAGAACATTACTTACATAACCACAGTACAGTAATCGAAATCAGGAAATTTAACATTGATGCAATACTATTATCTGACTGATAGATATTATTCAAATGCTGCCTATTGTCCCATTGGTAAATTTTTTTATTTTACTTTTTATTTATTTTTATTTTTGTAGAGACAGGGTCTCACTATGTTGTCCAAGCTGGTCTTGAACTCCTGGCTTCAAGCAATCCTCCTGCCTCAGCCTCCCAAAGCACTGGGATTATAAGCATAAGCCACCAGCCTTCACTGATAGCTTTTATAATGATTTTTGGTCTAGTTCAGAATCCACAGTTGAATTAAATTTCATATATTACATTTTTCTCCCTGTAGAAATTATACATGCTCTTGCCGGGTGCCATGGCTCATGCCTGTAATCCCAGCACTTTGAGAGGCCGAGGTGAGCAGATCACCTGAGGTCAGGAGTTCAAGACCAGCCTGGCCAACAGGGTGAAACTCCATCTCTACTAAAAATACAAAAATGAGCCAGGCATGGCGACTCACACCTGTAGTCCCAGCTACTCGGGAGGCTGAGGCAGAAGAATCACTGGAACCTGGGAGGCAGAGGTTGCAGTAAGCCGAGATCATGCCACTGCACTCCAGTCTGGGCAACAGTACAAGACTCTGTCTCAAAAAAAAAAAAAAAAATTATACAGGCTCTTTATGGAATTCTTAGAAACACAAAATTATTTTAAAAAACAGTAATTGCAATCATCTATTTCCTTCTAGAATTTTATGTGCATTTACATGTGTGCATTTCCACAGTTAAAAATCACTCTATACAACTTTATCTATGTTTCTTCATTTAAGATTATAACCCAAGTATTTTCCTGAAGCATTAAAAGGTCTTTGTAAAAATAGGATATTTAGACTGGGCACAGTGGCTCATGCCTATAATCCCAGAATTTTGGGAGGCCAAGGCAGGTGGATCATGAGGTCAGGTGTTCAAGACCAGCCTGGCCAACGTAATGAAACCCCATCTCTACTAAAAATACAAAAAAAATTAGCTGGGTGTGGTGGCATGTGCCTGTAATCCCAGCTACTTGGGAGGCTGAGGGAGGAGAATTGCTTGAATGTGGGAGATGAAGGTTGCAGTGAGCCAAGATCACACCACTGCACTCCAGCCCATGTGACAGTGTGAGACTCTCTCTCTCTAAAAAAAAAAAGGATCTTTAATGAATTCATAATATTCTATCATATTTATCTCATCTTTTCTCTGTGGCTTGACATCAAGTTTCTATCCAATTTTTTTCTTACATGTAGCACTGCAATGAACATCTTTTTACCACATTATATATTAAATAATAACATAAGTTATGTAACTCTCAGCAATTGTAAGACAGACACTTCTCCATTTTAGATGCTTTAAGTCCAACCAAATCTTTATGTATTAAAACTCAGGCTTTATACAAAACCTACTGAAATAAACTTGATACAAAAACAACCCCAGTCATTTAAATAAAATCATGTATGAAAGCTACATAACTATTCTGACATTTTTTTCCCTTCTTCCATTTGTTTTAGGAGCTCAGGAATGAAATCACGACTCTAGAGAATCTGGTAACACAAACTCAACCTCATTTATAATCTGTTCATCTAACTCACCTGTCACAATCTCTTAGCTAACTCACCTGTCACAATCTCTTAGCTGCCTCCTGATTGACACCAACAGGACTAGTTCTGTGTTTTCCTTTGACTTTATACCTGATGTAAAAATAATCACAGGCCGGGAGTGGTGGCTCACATCTGTAATCCCAGCACTTTGGGAGGCCGAGGTGGGTGGACCACCTGAGGTCAGGAGTTTGAGACCAGCCTGGTCAACATGGTGAAACCCCATCTCTACTAAAAATACAAAAATTAGCCAGGTGTGGTAGCAGGTGCCTGTAATCCCAGCTACTCGGGAGGCTGAGGTGGGAGAATTGCTTGAACCTGGGAGGCGGAGGTTGCAGTGAGCCGAGATCGTGCCACTTCACTCCAGCCTGGGCGACAGAGTGAGACTTTGTCTCAAAAACAAACAAACAAAAAAAACAAAAAAAATAAACAAACAAAAAACCGAATCACATGGACTTGCAATGACCTAACTCTTTGTCTGTTTTTGGTTTCTTGGCTGCAAATAATGGAAACAATGCTGGATCACTTACATAGGACATGAATTTATTGGGGCACCAAGCTCGGGAGATAGGAACACACAGGCAGGCCACAGCATAGCCTGGCAGTTTGATTAGGGTGATACTGGTGTCTCCACTACTAAATTTGCCATGACAGTACAACTTTACTCTGGCCTGTCACTGCTCCCAGGAAATTCTTTTTCCTATGTATTTATTTGTATCATTCCTTCAAGAGTCAAAGTGTTGGGCCCTGTTATCTAATCATGCTAGCATGGGGCATATTCCATGCCCTAGTTTCTGGAATGTGGGGAGAGAAAATAGCTGTATCCTTTGATTTTCAAAATGAGGAAAATCCTAAAAGAAGGAAATTTGGAACTGAATGGCCAGAAATCTCATCAGAGACCACCATCTGATTGATATAATGCCTATTAATATATAGCCATCCTTTCTATTATTATATATCCATTATAAATTGTTCTGGGCTGGGCTCAGTAGCTCATGCCTATAATCCTAGCACTTTGGGAGGTCAAGCTGGGAAGACTGCTTGAGCCCAGGAGTTTATGAGACCAGCCTGGGCAACATAGTGAGACCCTGACTTTACAAAAAGCAAGCAAAATTAGCTGGGCGTGGTGGTGTGTGCCTGTGGTCCCTGCTACTAGGGAGCCTGAGGCTGGAGGATCACTTGAGTACAGGAAGTCCAGGCTGCAGTGAGCCAAGATTGCACCACTGCAGTCCAGCCTGGGCCACAGAGCAAGACCCTGTCTAAAAAAAAACTGTTTTGTGTAACAACTGTAATTCTTTCCTTCGTGTATTAAAAATACATTCACTTGGGAGGCCGAGGCGGGCGGATCACGAGGTCAGGAGATCAAGATCATCCTGGCTAACACAGTGAAATCACATCTCTACTAAAAATACAAAAAATTAGCCAGGCATGGTGGCGGGCACCTGTATTCCCAGCTACTTGGGAGGCTGAGGCAGGAGAATGGCATGAATCCTGGAGGCGGAGCTTGCAGTGAGCTGAGATCGCACCACTGCACTCCAGCCTGGGCGACAGAGCAAGACTCTGTCTCAAAAAAAAAAAAAATACATTCACATCTGCACTCTAAACCCATGAAGGGAGAGAAATCAGTTTCATCAGTTATATTATTCAGCTTTGTTATGGAAGTCCTGAGGTCAAATCCCCCTTGACAGGCAAAACAATCACTTAGTCCTTATAACACTCAGACTTTCATCACATTTGAAAATAGATGAAATTGGACAGTTGTAAGTTTCTTTACTTGAAGAAGATCTAAAGTCGCATTCCTGAGATCCCTGGGTCCTTGGTGGACCTCCCTACAGGGAGACGCTGTAGATATACTAGTATGAATAGCACGCAAGGTTTGTTTGTTTGTTTGAGATGGAGTCTCTCTCTGTTGCCCAGACTGGAGTGCAGTGGTGCTATATCTGCTTACTGCAACCTCTGCCTCCCAGGTTCAAGCAATTCTCCTGCCTCAGGCTCCCCAGTGGCTGGGACTACAGGCACGTGCCACCACGCCCAGCTAATTTTTTGTATTTTTAGTAGAGACGAGGTTTCACCGTGTTAGCCAGGATGGTCTCGATCTCCTGACCTTGTGATCCGCCCACCTCGGCCTCCCAAAGTGCTGGGATTACAGGCATGAGCCACCGCGCCTGGCTGCATGCAAGGTTTTAACCACATCCCTCACTCTCCCCAGCAGCAGCAATCTTATTTCTCCTGGGTAAACAGATTCAATCACCTTGTTGTTGTTCAGGATTGTCTCTCCCTTAGTGTCATAGCTAAATCTTTGACGGGCCATTCTACTGTTCCATAGAGCTTGTTACTTGAGAGTACCTGATAAGACCAATGACTACCATGGCTCTCAGCCCATTATCTTGTTTCTTTCACTATAGAGTTACCTGTGCAGGAGCAAATGTTTATTGTGCAATCATGTCAGTGTATAAGACATTTAGGAAGCCTACAGATGCTGTTACTGACAAAAGAATAATGGACAAGAAAAAAGTCTAGATCCAACGTAAGTGTCTATTCAGTGAAGAAAGATTGCATCCCACTTTAGGAAAAAAATAAGTCTAATAAAAATCAACAAATCACCATGTTATTGGCCGCTACCCACCACTGGGTCTGTTGCCATCCTGAGACTCACTGTTGATTACTGGTTGCACACACACTGGCCACACAGCAGTGGCAGAAGCCAAGTCAAACTTGAATAGGTTAAGTCCAAGTTCTTCAGCAATGCACAGCCTATACTATTGCCCCTGTAGACATTCCACTCCTGAGCTCATTAAGCAAGCACTAAGGCAAGAGATGACTGACATCTTCCTAATTATTGAAAACTTTGCAGTAAAGGTCTTTTGTGGGCCTTCATGTAAGACACAAATATTCTTTGCATTCTGAGTCCATTCAGGGAAATTCATTCATGTAACTTCCTCCAAACGCCTTGACATCGATATTCCACTCTTGTTCTCATCAACTGCTAAATCACCTTGACTTTTCAAAGTGGATAAGAAATATTGCTTGATGTTTTCCTCTTTAGGGAGATTTCCCTTCTCTACAGGAAGGGGTGGGAACAGCCATAGACTCAGACACAGATCCAGGTCACGGGATCACGTGAGCCCTGCTGAAATTGGTCATTGTCGTGCCAGCTGCAGCAAAGCAAAGAGCTGAAACCATGTGATCTCAAGAGAACCTGAAGAAGTGCTTCACACGACAGTGGTCCTCTGCTCTGAAAGTCATGGTTTTCCCCCAGAAGTCTAAGGGTCTGTGCTGATGCCTCCCTTTGAGGGCTTGCAGGGGCTCCTTCCAGGATCCTTACCTAATGCAGGTATCTTCAACATTATTGCATCAATTGGGTTGCATGGCCATATGGCATGTCAGCCTGGACTGCAATCCTAAACTTAGTGCAGCATCTTTTGTTACTCTGTGTCCCACTCAAAACTGGCAGTATGTTAGGTGACATGGTGAGTAGGTTAGAACAGTATTCACAAGGGTAATATATGCTGCCTCCAAAATCCAGCAGCCTGCCAAGAGCTGTGCCTCTTCCTTTACAAGGAAGGGACAAGGTACCGTAGCTTATCTTTTAATCTTAGAAAGAATGATCTTTATGCCCCGAGGAGCTAAACCTACGGAGATGTTACAGGTACCTTGCTGGAGATTAATTCCTCATTCTAGGATGCATATGCCTTGTCTAAATATATGGAGTACTTTCTACTAACCACTTAATTGGGTTAACATGGTGCAATGTCCAAAATATATGGGGCCAGTGCCCATGGAATGTTAAGATGATCAAAATCTCTACAGATTGCATTGTAACGGTGTATTAGTTTATTCTCATGCTGCTAATAAAGACATATCTGAGACTGAGTAATTTATAAAGGAAAGAGCTTTAATAGACTCACAGATCCATGTGGATGAGGGGGCCTCACAATCATGGCAGAAGGCAAAGGAGGAGCAAAGACACGTCTTACATGGCAGAAGGCAAGAGAACTTGTGCAGGGAAACTCCCATTTATAAAATGATCATATCTCATGAGACTTATTCACTACCATGAGAACAGTATGGGGGGAAACCACCTCTATGATTCAATTATCTCCACCTGGCCCCACCTGTGACATGTGGGGATTATTACAATTCAAGGTGAGATTTGGGTAGGGACACAGTCAAATCATATCAGACAGCAAACAGGAAGGTTATATAGCCTTGATATACAAAGGAGAAGGTATACTGCTGTCCTTGCCATCTATGTGTAAACTGACTTTGGTCCTCTTACTAATGGGCATCAAGAAGAAAGCATTCACTAAATTGACAACTACCTGCCAAAATGCAGAGGCTGTATTGATCTGTTCAGTAAACATACCCCATATGGCACAGCAGCTGTATTTGGGGTTATCATCTTATTAAGTTTATAGTCTATCATCATCTGTCAAGATTTATCTGGTTTTTCAGAGGCCAGAATAGCTCACAGAAAGGAGGTATGATAAGAACTACTATCACCGCTGCATCATTTAAATGCTGTTGTTGGCACTAATTGCTGCAATTCCTCTAGGAATTAAGTGTTACTTTAGAATATGTCACAGAGGCTCCCATTTGGCCCTTTCCAATATATTGACCCTAATGCACACATAAGACAATAAAATGGAGAATTTTATCATTTCCTAAATATATCAATCCCAATTATACATTGGGGAACTGATGAGATAATCACAGGTAGATCTGAGGGCCTAATAAACTCAAATTGTTAGGGGCAAAAATTCTAACTATGAGATCAGGAGGGCATGTTAGGTCCCCTGGTATCAATTTCACATTGTGTCTAACAGAACTTAAAAAGTGTAGGCATTCTCCTTTTCCCAGTGTATAGTTACCTTGACAAAGAAATAAAGATCAGCTGGGTGTAGTGTCTCATTTCCTATAACCCCAGGATTTTAGGAGGCCAAGGTGGGTGGATCACTTGAGGCCAGGAGCTTGAGACCAGCCTGGCCAACATGGCAAAACCCTGTCTCTACTAAAAATAGAAAAAATGACCAGGCATGGCATCTGCTGCCTGTAATTCCCACTACTCGGGAGGCTGAGGCAGGAGAATCACCTGAACCTGGGAGGCAGAGGCAGAGGTGGCAGTGTGAGCCAAGATTGTGTCTCTGTACTTCAGCCTGGGCAACAGAGCGAGAATTTGTCAAAAAAAAAAAAAATCAAAGATCAATTTGTCAGTTTCAAGACAGATTTAAAGATGGAGCTAGACATAGATATTGATAGATTAGATAGTCATAGATAAATGGATAGGTAGAGGAGATAGATATATAGAGGGAGATCAGATAGATAGATAAATAGATAGATGATAGATTAGATAGATAGGAGAGATGGAGAGCTAGAGAGATAGGGAGATAGATATAGAGATGTAGAGGAAGATGATAGATGATAGATAGATAGATAGATAGATAGATAGATAGATAGATAGATAGGAGAGATAGAGAGATAGGGAGATAGTTATAGAGACGTAGAGGGAGATGATAGATGATAGATGGATAGATAGATAGATATATAGATATAGATTGACAGCAGATAGATAGATAAACAGATAGATTGATAGATTCATAGTGATGTTGTAGATCCTTGCCTTACAGGGACCCAGCCTCCCCTTCAATCAATAGGCTCTGGGTTTATGACCTGACTTAGATCTGGTAACCGTTGTGAGTCTTCCACTCACCAAATCTAGTTTTCTCCAGATTATACAAATTTGGCAATGCCTTAGCCAGCTTCCCATCTGTTTCACCCCTAGGATCACCATGATTAACCATTATAAATAGATACCTGCAGGTCCGGGTACCTTGACTGTCATGTCAGCCTTCCTGCCCAGCACAGCAATTATATCAACCTGGCCTCTGATGGTTAAGTGTGGCCAGCTGTTTCTGCTTCCTCACAATCTCATCATCCCTCTTCATATTAGGAAGTCAAGTTTCCCTATCATCAACCCTGGTCTACAGAAGGTAGTCACTGTCAAGCATCTCAAAGATACTAGAACCCCTACCAATGGATTTTCTATTGCCTTAGTGAATGAAGTGTACTTGTCTTCAGCTTTAATCAATCTGAACGTATCAGAGCAGTGAACCCATTGGTAAGATAATTAATGTCTCTGTAGAATAAATCGCAGAGCATAGATTCAGATAAATGATTTATACTTGAGGCAAGATTATGAAGATGTGCTGATGACCCTAGCAGGAGGAAGAAAGCTGCTTTTGATGTGCTTAATTACATAGAAATAAAACATTCTTCAGACCAGTAGCCAACCAACTAAGAAAACAACATCAGAACCAGCAACGGCGACTGGAGTGACCATCTGCTTCAATTTACGATAATCTATTGTCATTCTTTGAAACCCATCCATCCCTGGCACATGCCAAGCCTCTACTGTTTCATGTCATTGACAGTGACACTATTCTTTTTTATTTTTTTCAGGAATGATTTGCCATTTGGCTAAGAAAGAGAAACTTCAGGGACATCTATTTGGCCCATTCTTCTAATTGCCAAAGATAATTATTTCAACACATGGGGATAACGATTTCAACACACACAAATTGGAAAAATAACTGCAGTGAAGTTTTAGGAACCCAGTAGGCATTAGTGCGATGGACCTGGGTTAAAACTCCACTCCAAATGCTGGAATACAATGATAGTCTATGTCCCCAGGATTAGTACTAACACAGAGCCAGTATATAATAATATCGAGGCAGCCAGTACATTCATCCTGGTAAATTGTTACAGGTCTCTTTGTAGAAAGCCAAGCGTAAGATTTCTCTTGTTCATGATTTTGTTAGAGTTACTTAGAATACACACGATAAGTCCACTGCAAAATTCCTATAACCTGAAATATTTTATTATATCAAGTGTTTTCTCATATCTAAAGCTCATTTAGAGTGGGCAAATATTGAGTCCACATTTCAATCAACCAACAACAAGAGGAACCACAAATTAGAACTACTACTAGGTTTTGAACTAGAAAATGAAATCCAGGATTTCTTATGAGTTCCCTCATATCAGCAAATTCAGATTGATCTAGTATTGTGGGATACATTCCTGGTTCAAGCTCTTATGATATCCATTTGCACATATATTTCTATTTTTTTCTTTTATAAAGTTGTCAATTCCTGTCATTCTTTTGTTGTATTTTCATTCTTCTTACAGTTCTGACATTGTAATTGACACCATAGGGGATGATAGCATTGGACTCTAAAGTTCTGAAAACTCTGGTCAACGGGGTCATTTAAAAAGGGATAAAGAGCCTCTTCAACATAGAGGAAGAGACCTCTCTGGCTGGAAGGGGATACTGAGCAAGGGTTTGGCATTTGTTTATCATCAGAGTTCTCTGATTCCTCCCATTAATCTACAGTTTAACTTTTGGCATGCCAATCTTTCTTGATCAGTGCCTCAATGTTCATCTTCAACCTCTGCCTCCTGGGTTCCAGCGATCCTCCCACCTCAGCCTCCTGAGTAGCTGGGACCGCAGATGCACACCACCACGCCTGGCTTTTTTTTTTTTTTTTTTTTAAGTAGAGGCAAGGGTCTCACCATGTTGCCCAGGCTGGTCTTAAACTCCTGAGCTCAAGTGATCCACCCACCTTGGCCTCCCAAAGTGCTAGGATTACAGGCATGAGCCTCCATGCCCGGTCCATATTTCTTTTTATATACAACATAAAGCAAGCTGACATATCCATCATCTCACAGTTGCTCATTTTTTTTGTCATTGTTATGGCAAGAGCAGCTAAAATCCTACTCATTTATTAGGTTGAGGCAAAAGTAATTGCATATCTTGCCATTAAAAGTTAGGGCAAAAACCACAATTCCTTTTGCACCAACCTAATGGCATGAATCCCAATAAACTGCAGTGTTATTATCCATAGTCCTCATGTGTGCGTTGTATCGCTAGATTTGTTTAGCCTGCATATCTGCTACCTTCTATCCTCAGACCTACACCTCCCCATTTCCTCCCACCGTGTGCTCTCCAGCCCTGCTCCACTGCATAATGACTATTTTGTTCTCTACGTCTGTATATTTAAGCGTTTTTTTTCAGATTCCACATATAAGTGAGATTATGCAATTTTTTTTCCCGTGACTGGCTTATCTCATTCAGCATAATGTTCTCTAAGCTCATCCCTGCTGTGACAAATGGCAAAATCCTGTTCCTTTTTTAGGGCTGATTAATATCCCAACAGGATCTTGGTGGACCTTGGCTGAACTCAGGGCTGCTGGCCTCCTTTTATCTCTGCTGATTTTGTTATTCAGCCTTCTCATAATTCTCTGAGCTATCTCTGTTCACAATCTCTGTTCACAATTTTTTCTCTTTCTTCTTATGTTATCCAGAGTCAGTTCCTTTGCTGTGCAATCAAAAATACTCACTGAGGCTGGGTTCAGCGGCTCACGCCTGTGATCCCAGCACTTTGGAAGGCCAAGGCAGGAGGGATTGCTTCAGCCCAGGAGTTCGAGGCTGCAGTGAGCTATGATTGCACCACTGCACTCCAGCCTGGGTGACAGAATGACATCCTGTCTCAAAAAAAAAAAAATTACCTTTTATACATATAAATACACAATTCCTGGATCAATTCAATCAAGCCACCTTAGGTGGCATTATGTGAGCAAGAATGTGAAACCACTCCTTGCCTTCCAGCTCTAATATTGATAAGCCCACCATTGATGTTTCCCAGCCAGACTCAATCACTTTAAAATTTGCTCCGCAGCTCAGCAAAGTGCCCTGAGCCAAGCATAAAAGGAACATTTATAAGTATTTTTTCCTAGTTCTACCTCTTTGAATGGAGTTCTTCACTCTGTGAAGTGGAACTTCTTTCTGTGGTCCTAAACTTTCCACACTGCAATTTCAAAGGCATGTCCCTTGCTCTTGTATTTTCTGAGTCCTGTTTGTGGGGCTCTGGCAAGCACAGTGGGAACACAGCCCATTGAAGAAAGGTAGGAGTGACCCACAGGTCAGACTAGATGATATGATATTCTCAAAAGGGCTATACAAGGGACTGGGGACTTGGTGAAGGTTTATTCATCTAATCCTCTCCATGGGACATAGATATAAATTATATTTCCTCTCACCTTTCATTCTCTTCCCAATTTCTCTGTTCACCACAAGTTACCAAAACAACACTAAGAAAAGGGTCCTTGGGCCGGGCACGGTGGCTCACGCCTGTAATCCCAGTACTTTGGAGGCCGAGGAGGGAGGATCACTTGAGCCCAGGAGCTGAAGTCCAGCCTGGGCAATATAGCAAGACCCTGTCTCTCCAAAAAAATAAAAATAAAAATTAGCCAGGCATGGTGATGTGCACATGTAGTCCTAGCTACTTGAGAGGTTGAGGCTGGAAGATTGCTGGAATCCAGGAGGTAGAGGCTTCAGTGAGCTGTGATCACACTACTGCACCCCAGCCTGGGCAACAGAGCACGATCCTTTCTCAAATCAAAAAGAAAGAAAGAAAACGGTCCATAGCCTGCCCAGTGCTATTGAAAACTATTTTTTTAAGTCATCTATGATCTATGTTTCTCCCTTTCTGAAAGAATCCATTTGACTGAAGGATTGCTGCAAAACCTTTGCCATTCAGTCATTTCTAATTTAGAATTGGAAAAGTGATTAACTATGATGTGTTATCCTCTCGCAACAAGAGACTGAGTTTTATTCAGCTGCAAAGACAATATGAACCTATTTAGAAAGTTGGACAGAAAGTAGGCCTTTTACCACAAGTTGAGTCTTTATCCAAATAATTTCTACACTGAAAATATTACATTGTCACACTTGATATGATATGGAACATTACACTTTGGCTATTTCCAATACAAAAGTAAAATGTCAATAAAAGAAGGAAAGAATGTTCCTGGGTTATATATTCAGGAAGAAGAAATATACCTTGGGCCTAATGAATGATCTCCAGATCTATTTACCTTCTTCAAAAGAGAAATCTCTGTTCTCTAAGGATGGAGCATTTCTTCCCTTCAATACTTCAAGCAAAAAATTTCCAAGCAGATGTTCTTCATATAAAGTGTTGGTTGGAAGGATATGTGTTAGCATTTCACTCATTCAACATTTTTTACACAATATTAAAATGGATTGAATTTCCCTCCAAGAGAGACAGGACATTAAATCATATATTTGGAATGGCATCAAGGATAGAATGGGATTTGCTTCACTCCAAAAGCCAAGACTCCAAGTCTGCTGGTCAAGACTTTCCCCAAATACTTTTCCAACTCAGCATAAAGAGGCAGGGAGACAGGAAAATATTAGGTATGCTTAATATCAGCTGAAGTGCAGCCAAATAGCATAGTTCCAAGGTACACTCTCACATGCTGACACGCTGAAAGATGCAATTTCTCCATTTCCAAAACTCAACAATTTTTCAGCTGCACAGCACTATTCCAATAAAACACTGGTATTTTATTCCTCTCTTCCTGAAGTACCATACTTTTATTTTGTAGGCATCTCTAAATCACATCAATTCACAAAAGACCAAGCGCTCGCTGCTACAGTCAAATCAGATGTTACACGCACATACACATATGCTATGTTTTTTTTTCTTTCTTTCTTTCTTTTGCTAGTTAGTCAGAGATTAGAGATTTGTCGTCTGAGTCACAAAGCTCCCCTTAGGTAGCAAACAGGGCTAATGAATGCATGGTGTACATCCAGGAGCTTCACAGCCTCAGAATGCCCCCTTCACACCACTTCCCAGCTCTCAGCTCAACTTGTGTCTTCTCCAGGGAATTTTGCCTTTGTGATGGAAACATCTTCATAGCTCCTTTTTGTAATTATTATTTGTTAGAGCTTATACACGTGTGAGGGTGTTGATGTCATCAAAACAAACACTTCACATATAATAATCTTTTAGATTTCATGTAAAATCTTAGAACTGAAGGGACCTCGTAGTCCAACCAGCTCATTGTACATATAGGGAAACTGAGGGTTCCATACCCTAAGTCAGTGCATAGAGAAGCGAGTCTCTTGCTATGGGTTTCATGCTCTTTCCTCTACTTCAGGGCTGGCCAAATTTTTTCTCTGAAGGGCTGAGTATTAAATATTTTGGGCTTTGCGGGCCACAGACAATTTCTGTCATTTTTTTAAAAGGAAAATTATAACCTTTAAAAATATAACAGCTGGTTTTTAGTTCTAGGGCCTTATAAAAGCAGGAAGTAGAATGGATTTGTCAATCCTTATTCTATTTCATGATACACACATCAGTCATCAAAAATAAATGGAGTGGGCCAGGTGCAGTGGTCACACCTGCAATCCCAGAATTGTGGGAGGCCAAGGTGGGCAAATCACCTGAGGTCAGGAGTTCCAGGCTAGCCTGGACATAGTGGTAAAACCCCATCTCTACTAAAAATACAAAAATTAGCTGGACATAGTGGTGCGCACCTGTAGTCCCAGCTGCTTGGGAAGCTGAGGCTTGAGAATCGCTTGAACCCAGAAGGTGGAAGTTGCAGTGAGCTGAGATTGTGTCATTGCACTCCAGCCTAGGCAACAGAGCGAGACTTCGTCTCAAATAAATAAATAAATAAATAAATGGAGTATATTCATCAATAACTACCACAATAATGCTGCATAACAAATGGCCCCAAAACTTAATGATATGCAGCAAACAACCCATGTTTTCATGCTTGTAGGCCTGTGGATTGGCTGTGATGATGTGATGACTCCATTCCACATGTCTTATTGTGGGGCCCCAGTCAGAGGTGCAGTGATTAGTTGGGTCATGTTCTTCTCATTATGAAGGTCAGAAGCTCCCAAAGGGGTGTGCAAAAACACACAATGTACGTTAAACTGCCTTAAATGCAAACTTAGAGTCAGAATTGCAAAACTGTCACTTTCACTCACTCTGCCCTGGCCAAAGCCAATCACAAAGCCAAGCCAGATGTCAACGGAGCAGGAATGTATGCTTCCCCTTTGGAACTGGTGAGGGAGAGAGTGACTATTCGCTGGATAATAATCGAATGCCTTGGGTGGGATTCTGGAAGATAGTGGTAGTGGCTTAATTTTTCATCCCCGAGTCCTCTACAAAAAATAGACAGCACAGCTAAGATGGTACATCAAAGACCTACTAATAAGGTACTGTAAAATACAAGCAATGACATTCATGACTTAAGCCTCCTTGTGGAAGGAAGCAGGAGAGGACATCCAGGCTCGTGATGGCCACAAGAACAAGGGAAACTCAGAACATTGGTGCTCACTGAAAAGTATCACGGACTGAATGTAAATTATTTCAACCATCATGGAAGATAGTGTAACAATTCCTCAAAGATCTAGAGGCAGAAATACTATCTGACCCAGCAATCCCATTACTAAGTATATACTCAAAGGAGTATAAATCATTCTATTATAAAAACACATACACTTGTATGTTCATCGCAGCACTAGTCACAGTAGCAAAGACATGGAATCAACCTTAATGCCCATCAATCATAGACTGAATAAAGAAATGTGGTACACGTACATTGTGGAATACTATGCAGCCATAAAAAGGAATGAGATCATGTCCTTTGCAGGATCATGGATGGAACTGGAGGCCACTATCCTTAGCAAACGAATGCAACAACAGAAGACCAAATACCACATGTTCTTACTTATAAGTGGGAGCTCAATGATGAGAACACATGGACACATGGTGGGAATAACATATACTGGAGTCTGTTAAAAAGTTGAGGGTGGGAGGAGGGAGAGGATCAGGAAGAATAGCTAATAGATACTGGCTTAATACCTGGGTGATGGGATGGTCTGTGCAGCAAACCACCATGGCACATGTTTACCTATGTAACAAACCTGGGCTTTCTGTACATGAGCCCCTTCCCCCAGTAGAAGCAATCTAACATAGTGGTTACAAGCCCTGATTCTTACCCTAGACAGCCTGAGTTGAAATTCTGGCTCTCTTAATGACTCTGTGACAATGAGAAAGTGATTTAATCTCTCTGAGCCTCAGTTTCCTTATATATAAAGTGAGATGATAATAATAATACCTATATTGCTGGGCGCGGTGGCTCATGCCTGTAATCCCAGCACTTTGGGAGGCCGAGGCAGGTGGATCATCTGAGGTCAGGAG